>NC_000008.11:9494014-9798495 GCF_000001405.40 Homo sapiens | reverse complement strand
TGTATACCCACTGTGATATTAGGGGTAATATCTCCCTTAGATATCATCAGGAATAATATCACAGGGTGTACACCCACTTTGATATCAGGAGTAATATCTCCCTCAGATATTAGGAATTATATTACAAGGTGTACACACAGTGTGTACACCCTCTGTGATATTAGGAGCAGTGTCTTTTGGTAGATAGTATGAATAATATTACAGGGTATACACACAGGGTGTACACCCACTGTGTTATTAGGAGTAATGTCTTTCTTTAGATTTTATGAATAATATCACAGAGTGTTCACCCACTGTGATATTAGAAGTAATATCTTCCCATAGATACTACAATTAATATCACAGCCTGTAAACCCACTCTGATATAGAAGTAACATCTTCTTGTAGATATTAAAAATAGTATCACAGGGTGTACACCCACTATGATATTAGGAGTGATGTCTTCCCTTAGATATTACTAATAATATTACTGGGTTTACACCCACTGTGATATTAGTAATAATATCTTCCCTTAAATATTATGAATAATATCACAGGGTATACACCCACTGTGATATTAGGAGTAGCATCTTTCCTTAGATATTATGAATAATATCAAGGGTGTACACCCACTATGATATTAAGAGTCATTTTTTTCCTTAGATGTTACGAATAATATCACAGGGTGTACACCCACTGTGATATTAGGAGTAATATCTTCCCTTAGATATTGCAAATAATATCACAGTGTGTATCTAATATCAGAATATCTTACCAAAGATGTGTTATATCTTTGATATTACTGCTAATATCACAGTGGTTGTACACCCTGAGTGTACACCATGTGGTATTATTCATAATATCTTCGGTATTACTGCTAATATCACAGTGGGTGTACACCCTGTGATATTATTTATAATATTTTTGATATTACAGCTAATACCATAGTGTGTGTACACCCTGTGATGATATTCGTAAGATCTTCGGTATTGCTACTAATATCACAGTGGGTGTACACCCTGTTGTATTATTCATCATATCTTTGATATTACTTCTAATATTACAGTGGGTGTACACCCTGTTTTGTTACTCACAATATCTTCACTATTACTGCTAATATCATAGTGGGTGTACACCCCAACCCTGTTTTATTATTCATGATATCTTTGCTATTACTGCTAATATCACCTTGGGTGTACATCCTGGGTGTCCACCCTGTGATATCATTCATAATATCTTTGATGTTACTGCTAATATCACAGTGGGTATCCATTCTGGATGTACACCCTGTGATATCATTCATAATATCTTTGATATTACTGCTAATATCACAGTGAGTGTACACCCTGTGATATTTGTAAAATCTTGGATATTCCTGCTAATTTCACAGTGGTTGTACACTGGGTGTGCACCCTGTCATATTATTCATAATATCGTCTCTATTACTGCTAATATTACAGGGGTATATACCCTGGGCGTGCACCTTGTGATATTATTCATAATATTTTTTATATTACCGCTAATATCACAGTGGTTGTACACCCTGTGATGTGATTCATATCTTCGATATTACTGCTATTATCACATTGGTGATTACCGTTTAATATTATTCATAATATCTTTGGTATTACTGTTTATATGACAGTGCGTGTGCACCCTGTAATACACCCTGTACACCCACTGTCATAAATTGAAATAAAATAAAATTGAAGATTACTTCTAGTATCACAGTGTGTGTACATCCTATGATATTGTTCATAATATCTTCAAGATGACTGCTAATATCACAGTGGGTGTACACCCTGTGAAATTATTCATAATAACTTTGATATTACTTGTGATATCACAGTGGGTTTCACCCTGTGATGTTATTCATAATATCTTTGATATTACTGCTAATGTCAGAGTGAGTGTACACCCGGGATGTACACCCTGTGATATCATTCATAATATATTCGATATTACTGCTAATATCACTACTCAGGAGGCTGAGGCAGGTAACACTTATGGCTCAAACCCAGGAGGTGAAGGTTGTAGTGAGGTGAGATGGCGCCACTTTACTCCAACTTGGGCAACGGTATGACTCCGCCTCAGAAAAAAAATTGAAAAACAAAGTCCCAGGAAATCCTGTATCTCTGAAACAACTACCTTTAGCCTTCCATGACCATCTTTATATATGTGATTTTCTTATGTAAACTTGCTAGAAAAGGCAAATCTATAGAGACAAAAAACGGATTAATAGTTGCCTGGGACTAGAGACACGTATGCGTAACACTCTTATTTTTACACATACATACAGGTGTATGTATATATGCTTGATGTTCCGACAGAGAGTCAAGATTGCTGTCTTTTCTTGTGGCTTGTCAATGATTCTGTTTCATATTTTAGTTAGATGATAGGTAGATGTAAGTATATATGTATTAGCATACATACATATGGTATTTTGTAAATATGTCAGGCACATTGTTAGAGAATACTTTCTTTTGACTTTCCTTCCTCCTTTTATACCCTGTAAACAAACAATTGTTAACAATTATGTGACCTTCCCTCTTTCTCCATGCTCATAGACTCATAGTCAATATAATGTAGCATTGGGTGTAATAGTATAATCCACATACACCATTTCCTGTGTGTTTAGTTGTATGTGGGGTTTTACTCAGTATTGTTTGCTTCATAAAAACAGGACCATACAATACATAATTTTCTGTGTTTTGCTTCCCTCAATATATTGTGGAAATCCCTCCAAGTCAAGTGATAAATCACCTAATACAGTCTTAAGTTTTAGTTATTTAAATAATTTATTCACATAGCTCAAAATTCAAAAGGCACAGAATTGTGTATAATAAAACGTCTCTCAACCATGTTCCTTGGGGCAGCTAGTTTATCCACATGAAAACCTGCACATGGATGTTTACAGACGCTTTATTCGTAAAAGCCTTTTCAGATTGGCTTCTTTAACTTAGTAATAAGCATTTAAGTTTCCTCCATGTCTTTTCATGGCTTGGTAGCTCATTTCTTTTTAGCACTGAATAAAATTCCATTGTTTGGATGGACCAGAGTTTATTTATCTAGGAAATCTTAGAGCTTCCCAGTTTGGGCAATTATGAATAAAGCTTCTATAAATATCTGTGTGCAGGCTTTTGTGTGGACATAAATGTTACTAGTGTCACCAGATTTTCCCAGACTCCTCCAGAAGATATTCTTTGCATATACAAGTCAGTACGTGAAGGTATTTATGAATCTATATTTACGTAATCTCTTCCCCCATCCACTGGTTTTCACTTTTTTACATCAACATTTTTTACACCAACACATTTGTCATAAACATCCTGTATTTGCCAATCTAGTAGGTGTAGCTCGAATTATTACCTTGTTTTAAATTGCTTTTGTTTTCTTAGGAGACTGAGCATTTTATATATATTCAAGAACAATTTCTATTTTTTCTATGAACTGTGTGTTCATAAGTTTATAATTTTCACCTAACTTTTTTCTCATAGATTTGCAAGAACTCTTTGTATATTAAGGAGATTAGTCCCCTATCTATTGCAAAACATTTGTAACATTTTTGTCAGTTTGTCATTTGTCATTTGTCTTTTGGCTTCACTTGCAATCATTTTTTAAAAACAAACATCTGTTTGAGTCCCTCTGTCAATTCTTTTTCTTTTCTTTTTTGAGACGGAGTTTCATTCTTGTTGCCCAGGCTGGAGTGCATTGGCGCGGTCTCAGCTCACTGCAACCTCTGCCTCCCCGGTTCAAGTGATTCTCCTGTCTCAGTCTCCCAAATAGCTGGGATAGGCACTCATGACCATGCCAGGCTAATTTTTGTATTTTTAGTAGAGACGGTGTTACACCATGTTGGCCAGGTTGATCTCGAACTCCTGACCTCAGGTGATCCACCTGCCTCGGCCTCCCGAAATGCTGGGATTACAGGTGTGAGCTACTGCGCCCAGCCCCTGCTTTCAATTCTTTAGCGTATCTGCTATCCTGTCCTTTTTTCTTTTCTTTCTTTTTTTTTTTTTAGAGATGGGTTCTTGCTCTGTTGCCCAGGCTGTGCAGTGGTGTGATTATAGCTCACTACGCTCTTGAACTCCTGGGCTCAAGCAGTCCTCCTGAGTAGCTGGGACCACAGGTGTTCACCACCATGCCTGGCTATTTTTTAAAATTTTTTTGTAGAGATGGAGTCTTGCTCTGTTGCCTAGGCTGGAGTGCAGGGGCATGATCATGGCTCACTGCAGCCTCAAACACCTGACCTCAAGCAATCCTTCCACCTTGGCCTCCCAAAGTGCTAGGATTACAGGCATAAGCCATCACATTTGGCCTATCCTGCCCTATTTTAAAGAATATTTAGACAAAGAAAGCTGCCTCTATCGTAGCTTGAGCCCCTTTCTGCAGATATCTGACCCGCAGACCTAACCCAGCAATGGATGAGAGATGTACACTAACACAGATATTCTGCCTGTCAGTCCCGCTAAGGGGCTCTGCTCTGAGTCTGGAGCATCCCGCTGATAAGCCAGCGCAGTTCACATTTATTTAGTACAGATTAAATGATAAAGGCTTTGAGTCAACACATCTGTGGGTAATTGACCTGGTTGCCGACCCCTGAGTAGAGAGCAGTTATGCACCTGCGGTTGATCAAAGGTTGGTCTTAGGACCTCATGAGTAAACAAGCTATTTAGATAAACTTCCCCACATTTCCTTGTTATTTGCTTTTTTGCTATCAACTAAAGGTAAAGAGGATTAGACTGCCTTCAGCCAAATCTTTTACTGAAGCTATGCTAACCTTCTGGCTTTCCAAGAAGGTTTGTGTCTATATCCTATAACTTCATCTTACAATTTTTCTGGCCACACTGACTGATCCCCTATACCTTTCTTCTGAAAAGAAGTCTTCAGATTGGCTTCTTTAACTTAGTATTAAGCACTTAAGGTTTCTCTATGTCTTTTCATGGCTTCATAGCTCATTTCTTTTTAGCACTGAATAAAATTTCATTGTTTGGATGGACCAGAGTTTGTTTATCCATTCTCCTACCGTAGGATGTCTTGGTGGCTTCCTAGTTTTGACAATTATGTGTGCAGGTTCATGTGGACATAAGTTTTCAACTCATTTGGGTAAATACTAAGAAATGAATGAGAGTTCCTGTTGTTCCACATTCTTGTCAGCATTTGGTGTTGTCAATGTTTGGGATTTGGGCCATGTGAATAGGTGTGTAGTAGTATCTCATTGTTTCAATTTGCATTTCCCTGATGATTTATGAAGTTGGCCATCTTTTCACATTCTTATTTGCCATCTGTGTATCTCCTTGCCCATTTTTTACTGAGGTTGTTAATTTTCTAATTGTGGAATTTTACAACTTCTCTGTGTATTTTGGCTAACAGTGCTTCATCAGTTATATCTTTTGCAAACATTTTCTTCTACTCTATGAGTTGGCTTTTCATTCTCTTGACAGTGTCTTTCATAGAGCAGAAGCTTTTAATTTTAATGAAATTTAGCTTATCAATTATTTCTTTGATGGATCATGTCTTTGGTGTATCTAAAAAAGTGATTGACCAACTCAGGGCATCGAGATTTTCTCCTATGTTATCTTCTAAGGGTTTCAATTCTGAGTTTTACATTCAAGCCTATCATCCATGTTGAGTTAATTTTTGTGAAGTGTGTAAAGTCCGCATCTAGGTTCATTTTTTTTTATTTGCATGTTGGATGTCCACTTGCTGAAAAAACTCTTTTCTCCATTGTATTGCATTTGTTCTTTTGTGAAAGATCAGTTGATTATATTCATGTGGGTCTGTCTCTGGGCTCTCTATTCTGTCCCATTGATCTATTCCCTGCCTCCCCCCTTTCCTTTCCTTTACTTTCCCTTCCCTCCCTTTTCCTTTCCCTTTTCTTTTTCCTTTTCCCTTCCCTTCCTTTCCCTTTCTCTTTCCCCTTCCCTTTCCCCTTCCCTTCCCTTCCTTTCCTTTCCTTTTTTTTATTTTTTGTTGAGATGGAATCTCACTGTCACCCAGCCTGGAGTGCAGTGGTATGATCTTGGCTCACTGCAACCTCTGCCTCCCCAGCTCAGGGAAACCTCCTGCCTCAGCCTCCTTCAGCTGGAACCATAAGCACACACCACGATGCCTGGCTGACCTTTTGTATTTTTGGCAGAGATGGGGTTTCGCCATGTTGCCCAGGCTGGTCTTGAACTTCTGAGCTCAAGCAATCCTCCCACCTCGGCCTCCCAAAGTGTTGGGATTACAGGTGCGAGCTACTGTGCTCAGCCATCGATTCACTGTTCTTTCACCAGTACCACACTGTCTTGATTACTGTAACATTATAGTAAGTCTTGAAGTCAGATAGTGTCCGTCCTCCAGTCCTCCAACTGTGTTCTTCTCTGGGTCTTCTGCCTCTCCATATAAACTCTGGAATCCATTCATTGATATCTACAACGTAGCTTGCCAAAATACATCAACAGCAGAACCTTTTCCTTGAACAGCCCACCTAGCTCAAAGCTGTCATGCCCCATGTACACATTTAGAGCTTTCAATCAACTTTTTAGTTTGTGAAGTCAAAATAACTAAGACAGATCTCAACCTATTTATTTATTTATTTATTTAAGACAGAGTCTCATTCTGTCATCCAAGCTGGAGTGCAGTGGTGTGATCTTGGCTCACTGCAACCCTACCTCCTGGGTTCAAGTGATTCTCCTGCCTCAGGCTGCTGAGTAGCTGGGATTATAGGCACATGCCACCACACCTGGCTAATTTTTGTATTTTTAGTAGAGACAGGGTTCCAGTCATGTTGGCCAGGCTGGTCTCAAACTCCTGGCCTCAGGTGATCCTCCCTCCTCGGCCTCCCAAATTGCTGGGATTATAGGCATGAGCCTCCGCACCTGGCCAGGTCTCAACCAATTTAGAAAGTTTATTTTGCCAAGGTTAAGGACTCTCCCATGGCACAACCTCAGGAGGCGTGATGACGTGTGCCGAAGGTGGTCAAGGAACAGCTTGCTTTGATACATTTTAGGGAGACATGAGACAACAATCAATACGTGTGAGATGGACGTTGGTTACGTCCAGAAAGGTGGGACAACTACAGGTGGGGGAGGGGACTTCCAGGTCATAGGTAGATAAGAGACAATCTTTTGAGTTTCTAATTAGCCTTTCACTGAATACGTGATTTATACGTGAGACAAGGGTAGAGGAATAGTCACTTATGCCTTGGTCTGGCTCAGTGAAACAATAGGGCAGAGGAAGAAACCAGATATGCATGAGCCTCAGGGATGACTTTGAGTTCTCTCTGTCCTTTGTCCACAAGGAATTTCCTTATGAGTCAATTGTGAAGGAGGTATGTACCTTTTTTTTTTTTTAATTTTTGTAGTTATCTTTTATTTATTTATTTATTTTTTTAGAGATGGAGTCTTGCTCTGTTGTCCAGGCAAGAGTGCAGTGATATGATCTTGGCTTACTGCAAACTCGGCCTCCCAGGTTCAAGTAATTCTCCTGCTTCAGCCTCCCGAGTTGCCCGGACTACAGGCACCTGCCACTACGCCTGGCTAATTTTTGTGTTTTTAGTACGAGGATTCACCATGCTGGCCAGGCTGATCTTAAACTCCTAACTTCAGGTGATCCACCCTCCTTAGCCTCCCAAAGTGCTGGGATTACAGGCATGAGCCACCGTGTCTGCTGTAGCTATCTTATTTAGGGAAAAAATGGGAGGCAGGTTTGCCTGATGTAGTTCCCAGCTTGACTTTTCCCTTGGCTTAGTGATTTACGGGGTTGCAAGATTTGTTTTCCTTTCACAGGTTCCATACCCTTTCTTTAGTTTTTAAAAATTTGAGATACAACTTAAACGTACACAAATTATAAGTGTAGAGCTCGGCCAGGCGCAGTGGCTCATGCCTGTAATCCCAACACTTTGGGAGGCTGAGGCGGGCTGATCAACTGAGGCCAAGAGTTCCAGACCAGCCTGGCCAACATGGTGAAACCCCATCTCTACTAAAAATATAGCAATTAGCTGGGTGTGGTGGCACACACCTGTAATCCCAGGTACTTGGGAGGCCAAGGCAGGAGAATCACTTGAACCTGGGAGGTGGAGGTTGCAGTGAGTCGAGATTGCACCACTGCACTCCAGCCTGGGTGAGAGAGTGAGATTCAATCTCAAAAAATAAAAATAAAAAGTGTAGAGCTCGGTGAATTATATGTATTTATACACCTATGTTGTGTGTCTGTCACCCAGAACAAGATGTGGATTTTTTTTGCCTTTTCCTAGGCCACGTCGTCCCCATCTCTATGGATACTCCGCTCACTCGTCTTGTTCAGCTTCTTTTTCTTATGTTCTTGAATTTCAGTTGCAAATGTTCACATTGCACCTCTTCTAATTTCTGAAGTTTTAAATAGTGACTGTGGCAACTGTCAAAGCTGCATTATCAACAATGAGAGTGGATTGTGTTACCGTTCACAATACCCAGTAGCCCTCCATGTGGGAGAATCAGACTTCTTTCTCCTCCCCATTGAACTTAGACATGGCCATGTGACTTGTCTTGCCAATAAAATGTAAACAGAAGTGGTGTGTGTTGGTTCCAGGAAGAACCTTGAAGAGCATGTGTGTGCTTGGTCATACTTTTTCCCTCTCTGCCAGTTACCAGAATATTCCAAGTCGTGGCTGCTTTCCCTGCTTGGATCCTACATGTGAACTACATCATGTGAACAGAGTACCCAGACACCTGTGACAGACATGTTGTATGAGATAGACACCTTTATTTTTATTCTTTCTCAATTGAGTGAACTGCTGGGCTCCAGCAATCTTCCTGTCTCATACTCCTGAGTAGATGAGTGTGCACCACCATGCCTGGCTATTTTTTAAAATTTTTTGTAGAGATGGAGTCTTGCTCTGTTGCCCAGGCTGGAGTGCAGTGGCATGATCATAGCTCACTGCAGCCTCAAACTCCTGACCTCAGGCAATCCTCCTGCCTTGGCCTCCCAAAGCCTGGGATTATAGGCATGAGCCACTGCACCCAGCCAAGAAAATTTTTTTTTTTCTGAGACAGGGTCTCACTCTGTCACCCAGGCTGGAGTGCGGTGGTAAAAACATGCCTCACTACAGCCTTGACCTCTTGGTCTCAGGTGATCCTCCCACCTCAGCCTCCCGAGTAGCTGCGACCACAGGTGTGCACCATCACACCCAGCTAGTTTTTAAATTTTATGTAGAGATGGGATTTTCCCATGTTGCCCAGACTGCCTCAGCCTTTCATAGTGCTGGGATTATAGGTGTGAGCCACTGTGCCTGGCCCAAAAATTTTAATTGTCATAAAATTCACATAAAATTTACCATCTTGCCATATGAACCATTTTTTTAATCATACTGTTCAGTAGTTTTAAAAACATTTAAATTGTGCAACCAATCTCTAAAACTCTTTTCATCTTGCAAAACTAAAACCCTATATTCATTAAATAATAACTCCACGTTCCCCCTTCCCCAGCCCCTGGCAACCACCCACCTACTTTGAGTCTGAATTTGCCCTTTCTAGGTATCTCATACAACTGGAATCACACAGTATTTGTCTTGTGACTGGCTTTTTTTCACTTAGCATAATGTCCTCCAGGCTCATCTATGTCACATTATGTATCAGAATGTCATTCCTTTTTAAGGCTGAATAAACATTCCATTGTGTGTATATATAAGTATACATGGGCTGCGTCTACCTTTCGGCTATTGTGAATGACACTGCAAGGAACATTGTTGTACAAGTATCTGTTTAAGCTTCTGCTTTCAATTGTTTGGGGTATATATATACCCAGAAGCAGAACTGTTAGATCATATAGTAATTCTATGTTTAATTTTTTCAGAAACTTTCATTCTGTTTTCCATAGTGACTGCACTATTTAATTTTCCCACCAACAGTGCATAAGGGTTCTAATTTCTCCATACCCTTGCCTTAAAAAAAAAAAAAAAAAAGATGTCATCTTAATGGGTGTGAGGTGCTACCTCATGGTAGTTTTATTTGCATTTCCCTAGCAACTAGTGATACTGAGTGTATTTCATGTGCTTATTGATCATTTGTATATCTTCTTTTCTTTCTTTCTTTCTATTCTTTTTTTTTTTTTTTTTTTGAGACAGAGTCTTACTTTGTCACCCAGGCTGGAGTGCAGTGGCACAGTGCTGGCTCACTACAATCTCCACCTCCTGGGTTCAAGAGATTCTCCTGCCTCAGCCTCCTGAGTAGCTGGGATTATAGGAGCCTGCCACCATGCTCGGCTAATTTTTGTATTTTTAGGAGTGACGTGATTTCACCATGTTGGCCAGGCTGGTCCTGACCTCCTGACCTCAGGTAATCCATTTGCCTTGGCCTCCCAAAGTGTTGGGATTACAGATGTGAGCCACTGTGCCAGCCTACATGGTAGAGTTAAAAGCTCCGAGAAGAACATATGGAACCCTCTCTGCTTCTGGCCCTGCCCCCCTCTGTCGGCCTCTTCACCTCTCCACTGTCATCTCACCCAACGCTCAGCCACGGCCAACTCCTTCCAGCTTCTTGAACATGATTTGTTCTTTCTTACTGCCATTCCTTTGTATATGCCTTTCCTTCACCTGGAAGACTCTATCTTTGCGTGGCTAACTTCTTTTTATTCCCAAAGCTTCAGTGCAATTCTCTTCTTCCTTTGAGAAAATTTTCTTGATTCTATTCTTCTGCCAGCCAAGATCAGATGCCTCCATCATCTAAAGTACGAGACACATATTTCATATTTCTTTTATAGTTCAGTTCAATTTAAAGATGAGTACTTGGCTGGGAACTAGGAAGACCATGACAGTGACACATGGCTCAGGTCCAAGTGGCTCACTGTGGTGGTAGAGGAAACATACAATTACGTGGATGGTGATGTAGTTTAATGAGGTACGTATTGGGCACAGATTGGACTCAAAGGGCTGAGTGGTCACATGGCACCAGGTAGGCAAGGAATGGCTTTTCTTGAAAGATATTTGAGCTGGGACTTGAAGGATTCTCTGAGTGAGAAGACTTACCTCAATTATTTTGCATTAACTTTGCATCCATTGCCTCCTTCCCCATTACTTGGGAGGTGCTTACGTACCATGAAGTCACACACTCTGGTCCTTGAAACTGTACTATCTGCAAGAGGGCTGATGTGACAGAGGAGGAAGAGGAGTGATGGAGGGGGAGGAAACATGAACATTGTATAACTCAAGATTGAGGTAGTGTAGTCTCTTGTATCCTATTCTAAGTAGGCTAACTCTTTTCTTCTGGGTATGTGGTTTAATTCAATAAACTAAATGATTTATTAAAATAAGTAATAAAAAGTATTTGAGCTTTTTCATTTGGTTTGGACTTTTGTGCTCTAGGAACTCTGGGATAGTCTGCCTGGTAGTATCTGTGGAGGCTACCACTGAATCAAGGTAACTTCCCACGTGACATAGTTCTCTAATCAGAGTTGTGCTTTCAGAAGATTTTGGTAGTGGGGGTGAGCAACTGCTAGTCCAGGCATGATCTCAAGGGATGAATGAGAGATTTGATGGCTGAAATATTTCTACAAGACTTAATAGCTCTTTGTAGAAGGTTAGAAGAAAGAGGAAAGAGTGTGAAGAATTAAAGATGGTCATTTTAAGAATTAGTGTCATTGGGTGGGAATGCTATTTATAAGTCCAAATGAAAGCCAGAAGTTTGGATTCTGGTGTCTGCCCTGCCTCACTGTAGCTATGTGGCCTTCTACAAATTCTTCATTAAAAAAATAACAGAGCTGGACCAGGTGATCTCTAAAGATCCATTCCAGTTCTCAGAGTCTACGAAAAGCTATTTTGCACTCCTATCCTCATCCTTTAGCATGTGGTCAGCTTAGGGTATTTGAAGGTGTTTTAACAAGATCTAGCTACAGTCCGTTTACTAAAGGACAGGCTGCCAGTGTGACAGCCTGTTCAAATGCTGCTTGGAAACAGAATGAGTGCTCTATGTTCAGGGCACTGTGGCAGGTGGTGTTGGGGATCCCATGGTTCCTGCCATGAAAAAAAGAGCCATCTAATCAGAGACAAGTCCAAAGCACATAGATAGCCAAGCAACTATAATCAGGACTATAAAAGTGCAATTTATCAGAGTAAAAGATTTGGAAGAGATTTAAATTAATAAAAAGTGTTGGATAAACCTTTGCCTTTCTCTCACTCATGGCTGTGACCATAAGAAATGCTACTAGATGCTGATGATGAAATCAGGCTTAAGTCAACTTGAGTGGCAACCAGGATTTTTGCTCTCCTGCTATGAGAAAACCTCAAACCTCTCTTTGTTCCTTCTTTTCCTCTAAGCCTCCTGCTCAAGTTTTAGAAAATGTCCAACTGGCCAAGTCTTTCCATTATCAAAGATGTGGTTACTTTGATCACCCTTTGGATAGTTTCCTTCCTGAACTCCTAGATACACTTACTGAATGGGAGGCCCTCCCCTGAACTCCTCCCCTACCCGTCACCAACATTTGCCTTGAGTCTATGGCAGACTTCTAGAGTCTAACCCTGATACAGTAATAGTTTTAGGCTTTTCTTTCTGGGGATTTGGATGACTTCTGGGGAACTTTGCTATACTATGCTCATCAACATCAACACTGATGAAGATGGACATCTGGTTCCACTCTGCAGCACTCTGGGCTTCAGTTAGGCAGAAACTTTTTTTTTTTTTTTTTTTTTTTAAGACAGAGTCTCGCTCTGTCGTCCATGCTGGAGTGCAGTAGTGCGATCTTGGCTTACTGCAAGCTCTGCCTCCCAGGTTCACGCCATTCTCCTGCCTCAGCCTCCTGAGTAGTTGGGACTACAGGTGCACACCACCATACCCGGCTAATTTTTTGTATTTTTTTTAGTACAGACGGGGTTTCACCATGTTAGCCAGGATGGTCTCTATCTCCTGACCTTGTGATCTGCCTGCCTTGGCCTCCCAAAGTGCTGGGATTACAGGCGTGAGCCACCGCGCCTGGCCGGCAGATTCTTTAAGGGGTCTGAGTCAGTCATGGATATGCTTTCTTCTAATCTCCCATTCTAGCCAATCAAGTACTTTTTCTTAGGGGACAGAATGGAAAGACAGTTTTCAGATTAAAAAAAAAAAAAAAGAACATACTATGCAAGTTAACTCATTTAATTCTCAAAGCAACTCTATGAAATAGTAGTAGTAGTAGTAGTAGTAGTAGTAGTAGTAGTAGTAGTAGTAGTAGTATACTCATTTTTAATGATGAGGAAAGTGAGGCCCAAGAAGAATAAGGAACTTCTCAAGGTCACATGGCTAGTAAGTGGTAAAACCAAGCTATGAACTTGGGCCTTCTGATTGCAGGGCTGGAGGTTTTAATCCTACAGCCTTTCAGCTAACTAGTTATGAAATTGACCCAACAGCCCCATACACAGTTGTTTTTGGATAAACATAGAAATGGACCCTTCTTCTCTTAAAGCTTAAAACTTATATTTGTTTTATCTTAGTTCTTTCCTCAGGAAAGGAACCCTCAGGCCTCTCAAAACGTATCATAGAACTGAAACTCACCAGATCAGCACATCCAGACAGTGAGATGCCCAACACCTCAATCATCATGATTGCTTCCTTGCCTCTCCCTCGTTCCTGTTTTTTTACGCATTACTTCCCTGCTATATAAACCCCTAGTTTTAGTTAGGGAGATGGATTTGAGACTGAACTCCCATCTCCTTGACTACAGCACCCTATTAAAGCCTTCTTCCTTGGCAATACTCATCATCTCAGTCATTGGCTTTCTGTGCGGCAAGCAGCAGGGCCTAGATCAAAACCCAGGTGTTTTGGTAACAGTCACCCTAACAGACTAGACACCTAAAATTCTCATTGTTCTACTTCCATCTTCTCCTCAGACCCCAAAAGCGTTCGATTTGTATCACCTTGTACATCTTTTAAGTAGTCCTAAATTAAATAACTGTATGGCAGCCAGCATCGTCTGGATGTGCTGCTGGTGAGTATTCCTACTTGACAGATGAAAGGTAGAGACATGGCCTTCATAGAATTGCCTTGGAGTTATGAAGCAATTCTGTACTGTAGGGCAAGCACTGGTTTCCTGACTTCAGCCTCTACATACTCCCAATGACTCATAACCACGGTTACCTTATACTTTTACTTTGTGTTACATACCACTGATTTGCAGGCAGAGTTATGAAAGTACAGGTGAATAGACTTATTTTATAAATGGGTCCTTGGGCGGGAACAGTATGCCAAGAATCATATTAACAAAATTAACATCTTTCATATTGTCCGATGCAAAGTTGTTTTATTAGCACTGTATGGTAGATGGTAGTTGGTAGAAATGAAGACGTACACACCATCCCCTTTTCCACTGTTTTTTATATATCCAAGTGTTCAGAGCTAATGCAAACCAGAAGACCTGACACTTACGTTCCAACTTAATGGGAATGGATGACCCAACTTTCATTATTTCCAGTATAGTGTCAGGTGCTCTTTCAGCTTGGAGGTCTATTGTACAGTCTTATACGATAATGAAGAAAAGTGAACCTAGCCAAATGATAAAGGTTGACAGGTGCTATAAATAGGACACGCTACCTCTAATGTGAGAAACTAGGTCACAGCATCCAGACACTCAATGTAGACAACGTAATCCAAAAATACTTCTTCAAAACTGGCTACCAAGAAGCACCCATCCCTTTGATTAATAGGATCTAGTTTTCCAGCAAGTAATTTCCTTCAGAAAATAAACCCAATCCAGCAAGTGATTTACAGCTGCTCCATCCCACTTCCCCCAATCCCCAACCCACAGTGGTTGATGCTACAAAAACAGGCCCTTGGAATACATCCATGTCATAAACTAACCCAGGCTTTTGAAATTTTAAGTTACTGTTTTATATTCCACTTGCTTTTTGTGCACAATTCAGATTTCTATTTCTATAACCCTTTCTATAACCCCTTATTCACTAAGTTGTCCCCTCTATAATTTCCTTTTCTATAACCAAAAGGGAACACCTGAGTCTAATGGCATTTAGAATCTGATTGTTGTGTGAGATACTGACATAAAATCATGTGGTAGAGTCAAGTCTGTGTTTTTATTCCTGCTTAAACACTGAAACTCCATCTGTGATTGGTGATTGGTACATAGCAAATGGTACTTAATTTTTTTTTTTTTTGAGATGGAGTCTCACTCTCTTGCCCAGGCTGGAGTGCAGTGGTGCGATCTCGGCTCACTGCAAGCTCTGCCTCCCGGGTTCACACCATTCTCCTGCCTCAGCCTCCCGAGTAGCTGGGACTACAGGCGCCCACCACCACACCCGGCTAATTTTTTGTATTTTTTGTAGAGACGGGGTTTCACCGTGTTAGCCAGGATGGTCTCGATCTCCTGACCTCGTGATCCGCCTGCCTTGGCCTCCCAAAGTGCTGGGATTATAGGCGTGAGCCACTGCGCCTGGCCTTCTGGTACTTAGTCTTATAGTGGAAGGTATTCTGGGATATAACATAACTAATTTAACCACTTCCAGTTTCAGTTCCTCATCTGTGAAACAGAATTAAAAGGCCAGTTTTGCAAAGTTTTTGGGGTTACTAATGAAAATGTATGTATACAAAGTACTTGGTTCACGTAGGGGCTCAATGATGGCTATTGTTATTTGCAGGGTTACTAGAATACTTCCATTTAATTATGTCTGTTTGTTGCTCTGACAAGCCCTCTGGCAAAAAAGTTACTGTACAGATAAAATTCTAGGTTCAAATTTGCTATGTAACGGACCCCTAGGCATGGAGAAAGAAGAGGGGAAGAATGGAAGGATTTTCTTAGTCCTCTGCGCCAGGCACTGTGCTAAGTATTTAATACTGACTGTTGCATGAAGCAGGCGTTCTTCCCCTCCGTCTCCCCCGAGAGGTGGAGAAGGTGAGTCTGTGAGCAATCATGTTGTGCAAGGCCCCTGGGCTGCCTTTGGACCTGGTAGGAGGTCTGGCTCTAAAGTGTCAGCCTGTTTGTTTAAGAGATATTTCTGAAAGGAACCCATGTTGCCCGTGCTATTGCAGAAGTTATTCAGTAACTGCCATGTGGGCTGAGACGTGAGGATAAGTCACTTAAAACCCAGGTCTCACTGGAAGATGGAGAGGGAGGGTTGGTATTTGTATTCTGACAGTTTTTCAAGTCAGTTGTGTTAAGGTTGGTCAGGCAGAAATGAACAAGCAGGGCAAAATGAAAATACTTAAGAGCTAACTGCTATCCACACAAGTGTACTTTAAAAATGGTTTTATTGAATATTAATCATTTACAAGTACAGTGAGCTAGACATTAAGCCAAAGCACAATTGCAGGTTAAATATAATCACAAAGATGTCTTAAATAGAAACCCACCAGGCAGGCAGGTTAAGTTCCTTGATGCCCTCCTTTGGAAAGAAGTGGAGGGTGAGGGAAAAAGGACTTCCATTTCAGGTGACGAGATGATGACTAGAGGACTTTAACATGCTGTAGGTGATTTCCCATGACCACAGCTGTAGGATTGCCAGATTTAGAAAAACCAAACAATGAGAAAAACCAGCATGCTCAGTTAAATTTGAATTTCAGACAAATAATGAATGCTTTTACTGTAAATATATGCCAAATATTGCATGAAACATTCTTAACGTGAAATTGTTTCTCTGAAATTCAAACTTAACTGGGCATCTTGTACTTGATCTGACAATCCTACAAATAGATAAATACAAAAAAGAAAGGAGAGGGGGTTGTAACCCCTGCCACTGTTGGGTCACACAGAGACTAAAAATAAAAACAACACGAATAATGAACCAAAGAGTCACTACACTGGTTGCTCACACAGACCAACATCACAATGAGAAAACACAATTACTACTCCGAGTGCTGTTGCCAGGCAACATAACATTTTCTCAAAGCTGGTTTTGTAAATGTTTTGAGAAACCTTGATAAAAGTACCTTTTTAGTTTGTAGGTATCAAAGACAAACATTACTACTACAAAGATAAGATGAGCTTGAAACAATGGGAGCAGAAGCAGGTGTTATATGCACATGAAGAGTTTCAGTGTTTTGTGTCACGGAGACAATGTTTACATACTCAAGGTCATCTTCTAGGTCTAGGCTATCGGCCTCAAAGATCTGTGTTCTTTCCTAACTTTGAATGGGTTTTCTAGCCTTTCATCCTGAACTTTGGGAGGGGTGCGCGGGTGTGTGAGGGACACCCCACTACCAGGGTTCAACTGCATTTCTCTGCAAACACTCTGAATCAACACAAGGGCTTTCAGGGCTGCCTGCAGAAATGGGTAGACTGATGTAAAAGAAATCACAGAACAATCTGAATTCTGGAACGTGAAAGAAACCTCTTTGAAAGGATGGGAGGTAGGGCAGGTGCGAAGACGTGAAGTGTAAAGCAAAAAAGAATGTGAAAGGAGGAAAAGCCGAAATGCAATCTACAGTGCGAATGTTATTTCAGAGGAGGCAGAACTCTCTGGCAATGTATAAAACTCGTCATACTACGACCATATTTGGTCGTGCAAAGTATATAAAATCATTAGCTTCCTCTAGGTTTTCACTTTAGCATAACCATAATTTACATTTTAAAACAATTAAAAAACACAGCTTGCATATCACTCATATTCTACAAGGTATCACAGTTGCTGTCGTATCCCCACATACACAACTGAATAGGCTTTGAAATCTTTCCAGCACTTCTCCAAACCAGAAATCTGGTAGCTGAGGAAGTTCCAATATGGAGAAATTGAAATGGATTAATTTTAATCAGCTCCATTGCATGTAAGGGAATATTACTTATGAAATATACCATCATAAAATAAGATGAACAGGTCTGAAACACATGGAGACATGGCCGACTCACTGACACACCTTTCAAACACTAAGAAATGGGACTACAATGTTTTATTTATTAAAATATAAAAGGTTAAAAAGTTTCCGCCATAGTTAAGGCTTTCTAGAGGGGAAAAATTTAATTTATTAATGGCAGAGTGCACAAGTTGCTGAAGAAGCCTCATGTTCTAGAATAGTAGTTTTCGAGTGCATTTGCTTTCCATATGCTAGATGTGTACAATAGCTCAAACATCACTTTCACAATTACTTTCTTTTCACTTCTGTCACTGATCTGACATTAAACAAATTTGACTTTACTCTTTAAATACGTATCTGACATGAAATCCTATCTTAATGGCAGTTTTGAATACCTGCCAAATTAGTAAGGTCTATAGCTTTACGTGAGACAATTAGTCCAACAGAAAACACAAGAAGAAGGCTATTTGTCACAGATATCACACAAGAGGGATTCGGATACAATGGGGGAAAGGTGCTTGAAAATACACACCACTTCTGTTTGCAAGGCCATTTACAGGAATCCAGATAGTGCACATGTTAAAAAGGCGGGGGTGGGGACAATGCCCAATAACCCTTCGTGCCATTGGGAGAGACACTGAAACAGAAAAACCTAGACAACTTATTGCATTCTAATGCCGTTCTCCGGCATATATCAAAATTTTATTTTTTGTAAAACGGATACAATAATAGAATGTTAATCTACATTATTTGCTTGCCATATTCAGGCATTTCTCTGTATACTTCAATGCACTTTGTATTTTGAGAGCAAAGGGAAATCAGTCTAGCCACTAACATCAAGCTCAAAGAAGTATAAGGATGCTATTTCATGAAAACATCCTAATGTTGATTCTACTTATGCTGCTTGAAAAGCTAGAAATTCCAAACTCCAAGAAGGAAAAGGAAAACAAGAATCCTGGTTGCACTGCTGTTATTTTGCATCGAATCAAAACTCTGGGTTCCATGCTGTCATTTGTTAACAAAGCGGCAGTGTTCTGAGCAAAGCGCATGAGGCCTAATACCCATTCCTGGTTGTGATACAAAAGCTAGGAGGTATCTGGTCTCCTTTTTTAAGACCCAAGATGAGGAGAAAATGAATGGAGTCAAAGGTCATTGCTGGAGCTAATTTTAATTCCAGACTAGTAATTTAGGAAAGAGGGAAGGAGGTCAAATACAGGGAGAAAGTTCGGGACCAGGGCACTTAATTTATGCCTGAGTCAAGTATCCAGCAGGCCAACAGCAGGTAAACTGGAACCATCAGGTCTGGAGAAGCCCTTTAGTTTTGGAACTCGGGTAGAGCCGGTGGAGACGTTCAGATTCTTTCTTCCATGTGGTTAGGGAAACAGAGGGGCCATTTCGGGGTAGGCCATATTGGATGATCCTAACTTGCTAGTATTTCTATATAGTACATATACAAAAAATAAAAGACTTCAGCCTAATTTAATGCCATGCTTTTATATTGGAAAGGGTTCTTCATACGGCTACAGATGAAAATCCCAAATGTAATAAACTTGTCCTAACTTTTGAGTGCACTCATGATGACCTTTGGTTTTCAAGTTCTGAAAAAAATGTATTTGGCTCCTCTGATATATCCATTAACCCACTCTCTTAAGCAGATGAGTAATATATGCACACTCTTTCAAGAACTACTATATACTTGAATCATTATAGGACAAGAAGCACCGCAAATGTCTTCCTTACACAGTACCTTCACCTGGCACACAGAGCATGAGACGTATAACACTGGCAGTTTAAATACTGAACCACAGTTTAACTTCTCAAGTGTAAGGACCAAGATGAAAACTGGCGCATCCATTCATCTAGTTAGTATGATGGAAACAACATACAACCACAGTTAGGTAGTGGTTTATCTTTTTAATGAAGCCATAAAGCTTTCCATATCTATATCATATTAACTCTTTTACTTAACTAAAAATCACAGCTGTGTTTACCATTTTAAACTACGTCTGGGGGAAGGTAAGTAAGACACACTTGACAGCTACTGAAAACTACACAGATGGCAATTTCTTCAACCCTTTGTTACAGCAAAAGAGAAGGAAAGAAGGGGAAAAAAAGCCCTCTTAATGAATATCAACTCTCAAAGCTTCACCTGGAATTCTAGTGCTATTAAACAAGTAGCCAAGACACAAACACCCAGCTTGGGTCACTGAAACTTCAAAAGAAGCAACAACTGAGGCTAATTCTCGATTTAATTTTGAGGACCCATAAAAATTCAGCTACAAACATTCAAACTAGTCTGGATGCCTAGTTCCAGCACTGGGTTGAAGCCAAAATCAAAGCAAAATGTATATATTTTAAGAGTCTATTTCTAGAAGTTTTGCATGTAACCATTTTATTTTGCTTCAGGAGATTAAAGGAGGTCACAGCTTAATCACCTTGCATTAAACCCATCGTTTTCAGGGCTTTGAATTGCAATGGCAAGTTTGTGTCACACTGTCTTTCCTATTCCTCCTCGTGTTTATATTTCTTTCGCTTCAAAGCAGAGTAGATGCACAGTATATCAAGTAAATAAGTTAGTGCACTCAATTCATATTCAGTTAAGGTGAAAAGGGCAAGTGTAAGAACTATAAAGGATCATTTTTTTTTATAAATGTCAATGGCACTTGGTAAATGTTGATGAAAATAAACAGTAATTTCACAAAGAAAATTGTATGGTATTTCTTTCTCACCTTCATTGAAAAAATAACAGAAAGGGCTTTGGTTTCAATTTTTGTTCTCCTTGTCTAAACACACTAAGAAGTTTGAAGAAATGGTTCAGAAATTTAATGCAAGGATCTTTATGAACTATTTGAAGCATGCCACTCAAAATAAACCCCAAATCTGGAGTAAACAAAAAAGTCCTTGCATTTGTGTGTATCTATCCACTATTCGAGTCTGAATCCCAGCATTCTCAACTAAAGAAACAATCAAGTGGTATTTTTGTGACCCTCATCAAGTGCAGTAATTTCACTGACTTTTGAAATAAGGCAGCTAATTTGGAGGGGTAACAATCCCAACAGTACAGATTAAGGGAAGGGAAGCATGTATTTTTTGGAGGCATCCCCTGGATCCATTGGGGCTGCCATGATACAGAACCACACGCTCCTCACCCTCCTTAATGCAGCTCTTCCTTCACAGCCTCCCCAGTTTTTTCACCTTGGAACTCAAGCCCGTGTCAACCTGCATCTCCAGTACTGTCCCGAAGACCTCTGTGGCAGGCTTGTGTTGGAAAGAGCAAGTGGCCTTCACCGGCTTTGACTTCTCTGAATTTAGGCGTTCCTAAGTCAGGTTGGTGTTTGTGCCCTTCTCTTGTAAGATAGGCCAATTCATAAAAAGGTACTAAAACTTGATGTTTTTTCCTTTTCATCTCAATTTATGATAACGAGAAGTGCAGCTACAGAGCAAAATAAAAAAATTTTAAAAAGTGGAAACTGAATCTTGCTCAGCCAGAAGCTTGGGTTGCACTGCTAATGATTTTGTCAGCGTGACTTTGTGCAAAATATCCTCAAGAAGGCTCTGGCTCATTTTCAAAGTAACCCAAAAAACACAAAAAAACAAAAAACAAACAAACAATAGCCAATGATGCATGTCTGGCAAATCAAAAACAAGCTTGTTGCCTGTCGTATGTGTATATTTGTTATAGACACGTCATGCATAACAAAACAAATGTAGTGTGTGAATTGTGAACATTTGAAAAAGCATTGGTTTTCTTATTTTCCATTTCCAAGTCTAGATCGAAGCAATCTTGTTTTAGAAATGGATAATTGCAATGAAAATGAGCCTGAGATATGTTAAAAGGCCGCCCCTGTAAACATTTCCTCAAAGGGAACAGTAGCAGTTGAGTATGTATCAGTTACTCATACTATTCATCACTATAGCAATGCTTTATAGAAGACAAACAGCTTATTTCTAGGCTGTCAGGGACTTCTAGAATATTGATGTTGTTATTAGAAACAATCCTCTGTAATCCAGTCCCAGGTTGAAATCTGATCTGGCCTTCACCAGCAGGCATTCACTAGGTCTTCTGCTCTGCGGCTGTTGCGGTCTGGGAAGGGGCTTCTGGCTTCATGATCTGGTAAGTGATAAGATACTCTGGGTATGCCTGGGAAGGACAAGAAGAAAAACAAATCACCCTTCTAGTAGGCACAATATTAAAGCCTTGCCGAATGTGGAAGCCTCAAAGGCTGTTAATCGTGACCAATATTCTATATAGACTCAGTTTCTTAATAGGTGCCTGAACAATTTGAGGTTCACCTACTTAACTGTAAATAAATGTGTATAAACCCTACAATCTAGAAAACTGAATGTTATTTCTACTTCGAATACTGTCAATTAAGCTCCATTCATCCCTTATTAGAGAGCCATGTGTCATAAGCAGGGAAACTAAGGCCCGAGGTAGCACTAATATCTTTTTCACCTCACAGAGCATTGGTGCTGTCACACAGCGTGTGTTCAATAAAAGTTTGCTAAATGAAAGAAAAATTTTGCTGAATCCAGTCCAAATTAATCATAGAAGATGATGTAACCCACTGAGCTAGAAGGAGTAAGGGTGAGATGTACTGAGTCACCAATAACCCAGAAACAACAGTTTGGGAACAATATTTAAAAACTGACTACTCAAAGGCATCATTTACAGGAGAGATAAGGGCTCCGATTTAGACTGGCCTCCTTCATATTCTCTTTCTCTTTTTTCTTGCAGTCAGTAAAACACAAGGCTGTGTCTGGAATGGGAAGAGTTCTTCTTGGTGGGAGCAGGAAAAAGGAGGCTGATCAGAGGAAGCTGCTGAAAACCTAACCAGAAATTGCAGTGAAGGCAGCAATTTGGAAGGAGAGGTAGGACACCCCTTAGTGAGTAGACTACATAGGAATTCTTCAGCCCTAACTATAACATGACGATGAAACTAGATTCAGTAGTTCAGAGTGGTCTGTGACTAAAAGAAGACTCTTGGGTGAGCAAAGTGTTTTGGGGACCAAAAATAGTTTGTTCAATGCTGACCAACAAACTACTTGCATATAGATACAGGATAAGATAATAAAAGGAAAGAAAGATAAGTAAAAACTGAATAGTAATATTAGGATTTTTTGTGAGAACTAAATGCAAAAGTCTTAGAATAGGTCTGGCATAGTAAGGATCTATTATTGTTATTATTTTTATTAGTATTATTCATTAGAGAGTACTCCCTCCTAAAAGCTCTCAGCAAGGACTTTAAAAATAACAAAAAAACATAAATGTTAAGTTCTGTCTACATATATATATATATATATATATATATATATATATATATATATATAGAACCATTCATAATATTCTTTTCCGTAATTCCAGTCTGCTCTGATTTTAGTTAAAAACAACAACAGTTTCTATTTTAGTACATTTAGTGGGAAGAAACGAAGATTGAAAATCTCTCCTGACTTTCCAATCTGAAGTCTCAGTAACCAGTCTGTACTTTTATTTTTGTGAGAATATTACAGTTTCTCACAAAAGAAACTATCTGTAGTTTTATCTTAAGACATACACTTAATTTTTGAAATGGTTTACTAAAACAATCTAGGTCAGATACCTACTGCTAATTCTAGAGTTGGGTATAAAAAAATCTAGCAAAGCTCACATACTGGTAAAAACTGAAAATACTAATTAATCAACCAGGTGGCTTAATGGTCAAGAAAACTATTTATCACTAGCATCCGTGTATTGAGCATCTACCACATAAGAACACTCTGGTGTGAGATGTGGACCCTGCTGTGAAGGAGCTTACCATGCGGACAGACAAAAACAGGAGAAATGTAAAAAGAACGCAGGCTGGCATATGCTGAGTGTCAAAAATGAGTGGATGCCCACCCCTACTTCCTTTTATCCGAGTGAAGTTTAATATCTATAATACTTTCTATGACATTTTACTTGCGGAAAAGCTGTTGAAGCAAAGGAGTCAATAGTGCCGGTGTCTGCATTTAGGTAGCTCATGATTTAAGGGGATCCCTGACACACGTCCATCTTAGTCAGGTGGATTCTAAGATTCTAATGGCATGAGTTCCTTAAAGGTCCTTATCTAAATGCTCCCGGTTCCTAATGATTAGGCTACTGAATTGTTTCTGTGTGCCCTTTAAGTTACTAATTAATCAATTACAGTCCAGAGGGATTAAGGGTAAGGGAATTACTGAACTGCAGAACTAGAAGGGCCTAAGATGGACCAAAAACCGTCATTTTCCGTCAGGTCACTTTAAATCCATGCTGGTTATACCAGCGTAGGATGTATGTATGTATTTATTTACTTATTTTTTAAATACACAACCACTTCTGCTAACTCATTTTCTGAATTTTCTTCTTAATCCAAATCCCTAACACTAAAATTTGAATTCAAATGCTCTCAGTTTATGTCTCATAGAGGTGAGGAAGGGACCGTCATGCTCTCTTGAATGATTCTGTATGTTTGGAAACCATTTTAGAAATCATTCTATTCTATAGTCTTTTCTTTTCCAGGTTAAGTAATTCTGCATTGTTCACATCAGTTCAGTAAAGTAGCTGAAATCTCTGGAGAAACCAATGAGCAGAGAACACCTCTCCTTCATGTCTAATGTGAAGTTTAAAGTACAACATAAACAAATACCACTGACATCTTAAGTCCAATCATATGTAATAATCAGAGCCATTTTTCTTTCCAAGTACAGTTCAGTTAACCTTCAATATATCTTTTCAATCTTCAAGAAAGAAACATTCCCACCAATAACGAATACTACTACTCAAATCATCCTCAATCAAAAACACATAAAACGTGTGTGTTTTTGAAAGTTAAACATTAAGAGTGAAAGATGATTTAGAGTATGACTAAGGAGAATGAAATAAAAGTTAGCAAAGGAAAACTTCCCTATAAAATTAGCAAAAACTGCTCATGAGAAAGTACTCAATTAGCAGACGCTAGAGTTAACACGATCCATGTGTACAAGTATACCTGAATATGGAAGAGCAATTATCCTCCCCGGAAATAAAATAAATGCTGAGTGCATTTTTTTATTTAGGCATTTTTTTTTTCTTTCAAATAAGTTTTGTACTAATCACTCTCTAAAATTATTTCATGAGACACTCTGACTAAATTATCAAGTCAAATTTTACCTGGGAGATGGTTAATTAGTAAATTTCAGAAAAGTAAACTTAAACTTATCTTCTAAGTATTCCTTATTATTTCTTTGTACCCAATTATGAAATAAATATTTACCACTACAGATAACTTATATTTAAAACATATGGTAAAGAGAACTGAAACCACTCATTAATGCCCAGTGATAACCATCTTATGTTGTGGGTGAATCAGAGATAACTTACAGTATATTTAAAATACATGGTAAAGAGAACTGAAACCACTCATTATCACCCAGTGATAACCATATTCTTATGCTGTGGGTGAATCTATGTTTGGTATATATTATGTAAATGTTAAAAAATATCAGACATATGAATATGTTTATTTAACAATTCTGCTTTTGCTTAATATTTAGGTTGTTTAAATTTTTTATTGTGATAAGACAGTGATGACTATTCATATATTCATGTATATAGTGTGTGTTTGTGACTATCACTGATTATTCCAATACAAATTTCTAGAAGAAGTATAATTACTGAATAAAAGTTAAAAAAAAGCTTCTTTTCTAGAAGTTAAAGGTTTATGATTTAAACAGAAAAATATGACAAATTTATTCCTTCCTTTTTGTAAACTTTTTATTTGGAAACAGCTACCAACTTACAAGTAAGTTGCAAAAATTAAAATGGTACCAAAAACAGCTACATAACCTCACCCAGATCTACGTTTGGGAAGGTTTTATTTATCTCATTTGCTTTATCATTTGCCCCTTCCCTATCCCTGTATACTAGATACACCCACACCCACACATACGCACTACACACACACACACACACACACACACACAGACACACACACACACACACACAAACACACACACACACATTCTCCCCAAAACGTTTACAAGTTATATACATCATCATGGTCCTTTATCCCTAAATATGCCAGTATATATTTTCTAAGCATAGACATATTGCCTTACGTAAGTACAGAATCAACCTTATAATTTTACATTGATACAATCCTTTTATTTAATGTCCATATTCCAATTCTGTCAGTTGATCTAATAATGTACTTTCTCTTCCAATACTGGATGCAGTTGGGGGCAGAAGGTTAACTTCGTTTTCATGTCTCTTGGGCCTCATGTAATCTGGAAAGTTAGCACAGCCTTTCTTTTATAATATTAACATTTTTGAAGAATACAATCTTTCAACATTAAAAAAAGTAAAACATTCCTCATTTTGATTAGACTTACATCATGTATTTTTGGCTGGAATGCTGCAGAGATGTCGTGCCTTTAGAGTATCCACCTAGAGAGATAATATAAGCCTATCTGTCCCTCATTGGTGATGTTGATTTTGATTATCTGGTCAAGGCATTGTCCCCTTTCTCCAATATATAATTACTCCTCCCCCCAGCCCCCTTTGAAAGTAAGTCTGTAATAAGAAAACCACGCAAATATTCTTCTCCTTAGTGAAACAATCCCCATATTTAGCATCCATTAATAATTCTTGCCTGGTCTAATAATGGGTACATGATGAGTCCCATGTCATCCCTCCCTCCACCCGTCCTTCCCTGTTTCTCCCTCCCTCCTTCTCTCTCCCTCTCTCCCCCTCCATCCCTCCCTACCTCTGTCTCCTCTCACTCCCTCCCTTTCTCCCTCCCCCATCCCTCTGCCTATCCCTTCTTCCCTCCCACCTCTTTCTCCCTCTCACTCCCTCCCACTCCCTCCCTCTCCCCCTCCCTCCCTCTTCCTCCCTCTCTCCCCATCCCTTCCTTCTGCTCTCCCTCACTTTCTCCCTCCGTTCCGCTCTCTAGCTCTCTCTCCCTCCCTCCCCTCTCTCCCCGCTTCATTCCCCCTTCTCCCTTCCTCCCCCACTTCCCTTCTCCTCTCTCTCCTGCCTTCCTTTTTTTCTCTCTCCTTCCTCCAATCCTTCCTTTCTCACTCCCTGTTCCTTCCTCTCTCGCTTTCTCCCTTCCTCTCTCTCTCTCTCTCTCTCCCTCCCTTCCTGCCTCTCCCCTCCATTCATCCCTCTCTCTCTTTCCCTCCCTCTTTCCTTCCTCTCTTCCTCCCTTCTTTCTTTCCTCTCCCTTTCTCTCTTCCTTCCTCTCTCGCTTTCTCCCTTGCTTCCTCTCTCAGTCTTTCTCCCTCCCTTCCTCTCTCTCCCGTTCTTTCCTTCCCTTTATCTCTTTCCCCCTTCCTTCTTCTCTCCCTCCCTTCTTCTCTCTCTTTTCCTTTCCTCTGTCCCTCCCTTCCTTAGTATCTGTCTCCCTTTCTTTCCCTCCCTTTCTCTCTTTCCCTCCCTCCCTTCCTCTCTCTCTCCCTCCCTGCTTCCCTTCCTCTCTCTCCCTCCTTTCTTCTCTCTTCCTTCCTTCCTCTCTCCTCCCTCCCTTCCTCGCTCTCTCTTCCTCCCTCACTTCCTTCCTCCCTCCCTCCTTTCCTCGCTCTCTCCCTCCCTTCCTCTCTCTCTTCCTCCCTCACTTCCTTCCTTCCTCTCTTCTCTCCCTCCTTTCCTTCCTGTCTGTCTCTCTCTCTCTCCTTCCCTCCCTTCCTTGGTTTCTCTTTCTCTCATATACACACACATGCTTATATTACTACTTACCCATAAATTTACATGGGTGTACACACACGTTAGAAACCATGAGATCATAGTAATACTTCCAATTTCAGTCCACCCTTAGAGTCTTTCTTACCTTCTCCATTCCATATTTGTATGTCCCTTCTTCTACCATGAGAATTTTGGCTCCTCAAATCAATACATCAACACATCCGCTCATGTGCTCAATCCTATAATATGCTTAAGAGTTTCACTGTTTTGCCCACGGTATCTCCATCAACACATTTACTAAAAGGAGTTCAGGATTCCTTTGTCAGTCTTCCCCCAACAGCATTCCCTACCCTGCCCATGACTGAAGGCACAGTATAAAATACTGTTTTCATAGGTTATATATATTTAGTTATTTCCTTCTTTATTTTTCTCTTTTATTGTAGTTATGGTATTCATTTGAAGTTCACTTACATTCAGACAAATTGTTTTTGTTTTTGGACAAATCCTGTGGCATGTACATCCATGAAGACCCACTAACAGCAGCTGCCCTGGCATGCTGCCCACGAAGTGGCACAAGGCATTAGTTCAGAGCTGCAGGCCTCAAAACGGCATGAGGGCCCAAGCCTTTGTTTCTCAGCTGCCCTCTTGTTCACACTGTGTTATGTGGCTGACAGCTACTAATGGGTTTTAGGTAAAAAGTTGATGTCAAAGAATTATTTTGATACCTTTATTTTGTATCTGAAGTAATTAATACTAGCACACTGTGTGGTGGATATTTCACTGAAAAGTGTCTCAAGTCTTACACGGTCTCTGTGCTCTATTGACATGTTTGTGAACTTGGTTATGCTTGTTTGATGAGTAACATACCTGTTCTCCTCTGTAGATGACATATTCAGCATATGCCAGCCCATTGACGCTCGGTCTACCAATGACTGAGTGGTGCCCTGGAGGCGCGTGGGCCATTTTCATGGTGCTAAACTGCAGAAAGGATTTCCCAAGGGTCACTCTACAGAAGAGCATTTGTCTAAGGAAAAAGAAAAAAACAATGCTTTGAAGGAAGCTTTAAATCTTACA
This sequence comes from Homo sapiens, assembly GCF_000001405.40. NCBI lineage: Eukaryota > Metazoa > Chordata > Mammalia > Primates > Hominidae > Homo > Homo sapiens. Next base: position 9,770,055 of record NC_000008.11, on the reverse strand, counting down.
ATAATATAACTGCTAGATCTATTAATTTTTTAAAAATTTAACATAAGGCAAGCTAATTTAAATGTCATTTTCAGATTTATGAGTAGGAATGGGATGGAATTTGATATAATGATTTGCTATAAACAGTTACCAGACTCAATAGTTACACTTAAAGTTTAAAGTAGTTTTGGTATGGCTTAGGAATCGGCCATAGAAAATGCCTGCTAGGGAGATCAAGACCATCCTGGCTAACACGGTAAAAACCTCGTCTCTACTAAAAATACAAAAAGTTAGCCGGGTGTGGTGGCGGGCGCCTGTAGTCTCAGCTACTTGGGAGGCTGAGGCAGGAGAATGGCACGAACACGGGAGGTGGAGCTTGCAGTGAGCCGAGATCGCGCCACTGCACTCCAGGCTGGGCGACAGAGCGAGACTCCGTCTCAAAAAAAAAAAAAAAAAAAAAAAAAGAAAATGCCTGCCAGTAAGTTTTGCCTGGTGGAAAAAGGGAAAAAACCAGAGAAAAAACTGAGCCCTTGCATGGATGGGTAGGTGGAAAGTGAAGAAAATAAGCTGATGGAAACAACACCTGAAATTAAGATTGGGTTTATTCATTACAGGGAAAAAAGTAGAAACTGGGATGAGGTAAACAGTAATAATAAAAGTGGATCATGAACGAAAGTACTTAGCTTAAATGTATGGCTGAAAATCATAATAGTCTGGGTGAAACCTGAATTAGAGCAGATGTTAAGTATCACAGAGTAAGAAAGACTGACTGGGAAGAAAGTCTATTATATACACCAGGGGTTAGCAAGCTATAGCCCATGGCTCAATCCAGCCTGCAATCTGGTTTTGTAAATACAATTTTATTGGCACACAGCCATGCATTCATTTACATATAGTCTGTGGTTGCTTTTGCGCTACAAGGGCAGAATTGAGTTACTGTGACAGGGATTGTATGACCTGCAAAACCTAAAATAATTATTATATATCCCTTAAAGAAAATGTCTGCTAATCTCTAATATAAGCAATAAACATTTTTACAAATTAGTACAAATGATCACACTGTTAAATGTAAACAGTTACAATTCAGTCAAATTGTTTTTAGTAATGGAGTATAAGCTTTGTGTTATAAGTAACCAGAGATTTTATCTTGAGTCAACTAAAATTTGTGCTGGATCCAGGACAACTGGGTCTTATCTGGACTGGCTTTTTGAGTTGGATGCTATTGATGATCCTCTGGGATGCTGGCTTGGTCTACTATATTCTCCTGCAGGTCCCAGAGAAAAGGGCTTTGCTCTCCATCAGAAGGAGGCTTTTTGAGCTCCATCTCTCTCTACATTTGTGGCAGTGCTATGTTGTCGTTAGATTCTGCTAGTCTCTTACGTCACACAAAGGTGAACTTGACAGGCCCTGGTCTTCTGCTTCCTGCCCCAGGGCTCGCCTGTTGCTGCCGAGGCAGGAGATGACGTGGGACCTGCTCAGCCAGCGGTGAGCTGCAGCTGCAGATGGGCAAGTAGAGAGCTGGCTCAAGTCTGCTCACTGGCTTGTCTGGTGCATTGTGGTGCATTCTGCAGACGCAGCAGCCTAAATGGTAGGGTTACCAATTAGCCCTGGTGGCAAATTTTGACAAATGCAAGACAGGAGCCAGCAGACAAATTCGTCTCTTTCTCTCACTGATATACTACTGTTGTGAGATGCCGTAGTTGATACAGCCTCTCCGGAGATGCCTCATGGACTGGGCAATCGACTGCACTCACTATGAGACTGTGGCCAGCTCATGAATGCACCTCACTGCGGTTGCTCTGCTGTCTTCTCCACCTCAGTTCCTTTTGGGCCCTCATTCCTGCTTCCCTGGGGCTGCACTGGCCAAATACTAGTCACATGCTTTTGCTTGAGGCTCTGTTTTCCAGAAATCCTGGCTAAGACTTAAACTTGTGTGTCTAATTTTAATGAGCGACTGTTAATTTTCATTGAGGTTCACTTTTATTGCTTATTTAGGTTCATTTTTGTCTCCAGAGGAATTAGGTTTGAAGCAAAAAAACAAACAAAAAAACCCAAAAATACTTTTACATGCTATACATTCTTGAAAATTTCTCTGTATTCTTTTTTTTTTTTTTTTTTGAGACGGAGTCTCTCTCTGTCGCCCAGGCTGGAGTGCAGTGGCGCGATCTCGGCTCACTGCAACCTCCGCCTCCTGGGTACTCACCATTCTCCTGCCTCAGCCTCCCGAGTAGCTTGGACTACAAGCGCCTGCCACCACGCCCGGCTAATTTTTTGTATTTTTAGTAGAGACGGGGTTGCACCGTGTTAGCCAGGATGGTCTCAATCTCCTGACGGCATGATCTGCCCGCCTCGGCCTCCCAAAGTGCTGGGATTACAGGTGTGAGCCACCATGCCCAGCCGAAAATTTCTCTGTATTCCTAACCACAGAGGTCTTAATGGAAGGAAGTTTCCTTCCGGGTATATGACATCCGACTCCAAATGGCTGATGGCAATAATTTTGTTCAAAACACAACTGAGAGATAAGTTTTAAGGTCAATAATCACAATTTCAAGGTTACTGGGGCTTTTCTCCCTCAGAGATCCTTGTTCTGAAATTATTTGGGTCTTTTTAAGGTCTTAACCAAATTACAAAGTATCTTATTAACCTGGCTTGTTAAAAAGAATGCATTTGGTAAGTAAGTTTACACAGAAATGTAATAAATCCCAATCTTTGTACAGTATAATTCTTTTGTATTTTTTCATTGCCAAGGAAAGGGAAAGTACTTTTTTCGCCACTGACATCACAGAGATTATACCATTATTCTCTCCAATTTTTGAGTTTTAAAAGTCTATTAACAAGGCCAATATTCATTTGTTTGCTATTAATTCCAAAGTTGATATTTTAAGTTGCCAAGGCTAATTATATATCCTGCCTTAAAACAACAACATCACCAGCAACATCAGAAGTAAATTAAAGAGTCTATGTTTTTTATAGAAGTGTGTCTTCATTCAAATGTGACTAGAGCTAGCAGTTCTTTGTTCCACAGAAATCATCCTTAGCCTTGCCATATTCTGATTACAGAGGAAGAAAAGTGAAGCCCAGGGAGAAAGCCAAGATGCAGGGAGTTTTATCATAACCCGTGACTGGAGGCCATGTACCTGGTTTTTACCCCTAGTTATCTGCTCTGTTGTTATTGCTCCTGTCAGAAGAGGCTGATCAGCTGTTCCCACCCATTCCCAGAACCAACGGGATTTACCGGGATGCAAGACTGAGGATAATCTGTGACTTCTGCAGAGCCTGATAAACCAATTTGGGGCTGGGCACGGTGGCTCATGCCTGTAATCCCAGCATTTTGGGAGGCCGAGGTGGGCAGATCATGAGATCAGGAGTTCGAGACCAGCTTGGCCAACATGGCAAAACCCCATCTCTACTAAAAATACAAAAATTTGCTGGGCGTGGTGGCAGGTGCCTGTAATCCCAGCTACTGAGGAGGCTGAGGCAGGAGAATTGCTTGAACCCAGGAGGTGGAGGTTGCGTGAGCCAGGATCGTGCCACCGCACTCCAGCCTGGGTGACAAGAGCAAGACTTCATCTCAAAAAAAAAAAAAAAAAAAAGACAATTTGGTTCGTGACCTAGGGGTGGGAAACGTTACACTAATGGCAAGATGCTTACCTGTGACATATATAGCATGACCTGTCCTTGTGTGTAGGGCAGCCTGTTCCTCCTCCAATTCCATAAACATATTGGTTGCTTTTTGAGGAGTTTTCAGCAAAATAAATCCCGGCCCCAAACATTCCTCCTATGTATGCATGTCGCTCATCAAACCCTTTATGAATAATGGCATTAATGAAAGGAGAACCTAGAAATACGAAGACAGAAAGATTCGTTTTTGAACACTTTTCTAGAAGCTCAATTACCTGCACACTATTTGCATCGGGCAGGTTAATATTAAGAAATGAATGGTGTATAAATGAAAAGTATTTTCTAAGAAGGTCTATTATACATAATAATGTACTAGTACAAAATTACAACAAAAGTAATTCACTAGGTGGCTCAATTTGCAATTTAAGTACTAAAATAATTTTAGATCAAGTATTTTCACTGTATATGCACTGGAAAGTCTGTACTGATGTGTGATACATTAGAAAGCTGGTACCAAGAAGTAATTATTTGAACAAAATAATCAAAACAAGCCGTTTTTAACACAACCGTATTATAGTCAATTTAACGTAGGTTTTTCCCTTTACTGACTCCTGCAAAGGCCCAGGGAGACGTCCACCGTCCCTGCCACGCTGCTTACCATGAAACAACATGCGCTCATTGTGATGGTTGTGATTCTCCTCAGACACTTCCTTCTGTCGGTGGCAGAACCGCTCCCTCAACTTCTTGTTGACAACTTTTTGAATCTTTAAGGATGAAGAAGAAAGAAACATTATCGGTGAAACGTGCATTTATGATTTAAAATGAAAAGTATGTTTTCCTTTTAGGAAGGTTCAATTTTTATTTTGCTTAAGACATAATTTAAAAGTGATAAAGCTACCATGTCAGTGTAATTCAGAAAATACTCTAGCTGTTAGTGACATAATTTTCAGTTACAGTTTTTGTTGTTCTATACCAGACCTGGCTGTTACCTCTAAATCACCTCAGGATTAAAAAAAAAAATAGGTAAAAAGGTTATGTTTAGGCATCTCCCCAGACTTAATACATTTTAGGAGATGGGGATCTGTAAATCTGTATTTTTTTTAAAAAAGTTCCCTGGGTTATTCTGATGTGTACCAGTATAACTTTTACAGGTCTGTTAACTCAAAGGGTTAAACCAGTTCTCTACAGGTTTTATTCATCTTTATGATACCCCTTTGTAAAAAGCTTGAGTCATCTGTTCCATATTATAAATTGAGATACCGAGATTAAGAAATATATGTATTCTGAGGTAATTACTGGTTCAATTAGATTGAAGATCCAGGACTTTGATGCAACTCTCAAATGATAAAAAACATTATTGTCAGCTATGGCCTGTATTTGTGCATGAGCAGGGAGACCAATATCCACGTAAGTATCACTAGTAGAAGCTGATTTAGCCTCCTGTTTGTAGCTTTGACGCTTTCAGAATGTCTCTATTTTTAGTGACGTATTGTCTTGGGGAGTTAGAGATATTGTAGTGAGAAGAGTGCTATCTGACTTCAGACAGGTGACGAATTATCTTTCACAGTTTGAAAATATGACTTAATAAACTTTTTTCATTGTCTAGATTTGGTTTTTAGGCAAGCCTTGCAATCCAGTTTTCACCATGAAACTTTAAAAACTTACTCGAATGACATTGTATCTGTTGAAGATGCCGCCAGCATTACCACCATCTCTGTGTTCTCGAATAGTACTTTGCATCTACAGAACAAAATAACTAATTTTATAAAAACATCCCAGTGTGTAATTCTAGACAATGATGAGTCTAAAATTCAGTATTAATAAATAAATAGGAGTTCACTATAAATTGATGAACAAGTTTAGTGGATAAGTATTTTTGGTGAGAAAATAATTTCAAACATAAATATTAAATTTATGCACTTTCTATTTACTTTTAAATAAAAGTTCTGAAAGAGTTTTCTGTAAACACAATGGGGAAACATATTAAAAAACACATTAAGTCATCTACAATTACTATCTTATCTTATTGAGAAGAAGAACTAACACTCTGATTAAGTCAAACAAAAACTCCTTAAATGCCCGTTGGACAAATGCTAAAAATAAACAATTTTTAAAAAATATTTGTTCTGTAGGTGAAATATTCCATATTATCTCAATAGTCTTCAGCTTGGGATCTCTAAGTATATTTACACAGACCAGGGGACATTGACTATAATGTACTACTAAAGGGAATAACTGTCTTCTGACTACTCTCTAAATTAAAAATAATTATGGAAAAGAAAAATGTTTTAAAGATCTAAGTTTCTCAGAGAATTAACTCAATAAAAAAAATGAATTCTCTTCCTTACTGCTCCACTTGTGAAGAGTCACTACATTTTTGACATTGTTATCAAAATGTACTAACTGCTAGGAGAATTAGGTAGTAAGACACCGGACCCCATGATGCCTTCCTGATGCGCTACGTATGAGCTGAAATACAGCCCTGGGGTCATGGTCCTGAGTTCCCTATGCAAGTTCCTAGCCTGGGAATGAAAATAAAATGAGCACTAATTAAACAAACAAACAAGAATTAGGCATACCTTTTTCTGCCTAGGTATGTGCATAACACAATTGGGTAGCTTACTTATAACAATGGCATTAGGCTGTTTGTTTATGCATAAGCCGTCAGTGGAGCAGGAGTCTCACTGGCATCTGACCACCAGGAGGGTTACACAAACAGCCTTCATAGGGGCTCAGAAGAACTGTGACTGGAAAAATGTTATGCAGAATAATGAGGCAGACCCAGAAGCATACGTGACGATTAGGCATATTATTTTATAGTCACATTTATAACTGCATAAAAACAAGGATGAGAACATATTTGCTCTCTATGAGGCAAGAGTTTTTCATTCTATGTCATTCTTAGGTGGCACTGTAACAATATAAGAAAATAGTTGTAATAGGCTCCTTATTTATTTTGCATGAGATTCAAGAAAATCTCCAGAATAAAAAGACAGATGGGCCCCATGCATTAGAAAACCTAGGCTTATGATGTGAAAACCATGGGGCGCCGTCATATTTTAATTTTGGCAATATTCTACCACAGTGGCTAAGACAGACTGATTAATAGGCATGTGACCGCAAGGCAATGTAAGACGAGGTTAATTCCAGAAAAAGAGGTTTATCCACAGATTTCAAGAAAAGCAAATGAAAGATTTCTGATGTATATTACCTCTTCTTCCACTGACTGATATTCTTTATCTTCTGGAGCAAGATCCAGCAAAATCGTTCCCTGATTAACACAGTGAAAAGTCAAATAAGGATTGGTGCCTGTCGGAGAGAAAAATTAACATATAAAACAAAAGTCTACACTACTCAGGCTCTATTTTATAAAAAAAAAAAAAAAAAAAAAATTCATAATAAGTAATTGAGGTTTTGGAACAAACCTAAACTATCTGCAATTTGAACCTGATAAATTCGGTTACTTTAAACAAATATACTCAAAGACAGACAGGAGAAAAAAATGAAGATGTTTGGGGACTGATTTTATCTGTTCTTTTTTTTTTTTTTTTGAGACGGAGCCTCGCTCTGTCGCCCAGGCTGGAGTGCAGTGACGTGATCTCGGCTTACTGCAAGCTCCGCCTCCCGGGTTCACACCATTCTCCTGCCTCAGCCTCCCTAGTAGCTGGGATTACAGGCGCCCACCACCACACCCAGCTAATTTTCTGTATTTTGTTTAGTAGAGACAGGGTTTCATCATGTTAGCCAGGATAGTCTCAATCTCCTGACCTCATGATCTGCCTGCCTCGGCCTCCCAAAGTGCTGGGATTACAGGCGTGAGCCACTGCGCCCAGCCCAATTTTATCTGTTGTTACAGAGCTTCTTGTACAGACTGCAGAGTTCAACAAATATTTGTTGAATTAAACTCTATCATGAACATACATGAAGCTATGTCTGACACAAAAAAAAAGAAAAACAGGCACTGACATCACAATATAGTCAGATCTAAAATATAAAAATTATCCTCTAAAAACTCTTGTAAGATGGCTTGAAATAGCCACTTACAATTGCTTTAAAACACATTATCTTTGTTAGTTTCATGGATGAACTAAAATACAGATAAATAAGCAAGACTCAAGCACAAAATCTTCCAGTTTGAATTTCACATCACTCTTTTATAATTTGATTAGCTCTGTAGATTCTCCTTCCTTGCTTTCCTATAGTGAAGGTGCTTCTAACAAATAGAGAAATGGGTAAAAACAGAGGGGAAAGAGGCTTGTAACGGCAAAGTACAATGGAAAAAGACAAAGCTGACAGTCATGTGGGAGGGAGGAAAGTTCAAGTTAAGAAAGGTTAGATTGTAAAAAACCATGTTAGCAATGTTTGATTCTATCCTAAAAGAAACAGGATTCTATTACAGGGGTTTAAGCAATGGAGTGATATGATCATATAATCATTTTGAAAAGATTGTGTTCACATTGTAGAGAAGGTACTGGAAGGAAGCAGGAAGCAAATGTAAAGGCTGGAGATAAACCAGGTGGCTGGGACAGTCCACGAGAGAGAATGGTGGCTTGGATCAAGTGACAGTCATGGGAAAGGACAGAAGTACAGAGATTCCAGAAAAATTGAGGATACAAAGTGTTGGGAGACAGGGAAGACTGACTCAGATTTTTCCAGCTAGAGGGAGCATGAGGCCAATAACTGAGATGGGGAAGGGACAGGAGGTACAATAGTTCAGTGTATGGTTCTGGGACTGGACTGCCTGAGTTCAATTATCAGCCCCAATACTTACCTTGTACCACTGATTTCTGAAATTTTTTTTTTTTTCTGAATAGCTTACCTTGTTGTCCACCTAAGAGTCTTTCTACTCCTTTGATTAATTTGTGGCGGTGCCCATATGCATTGATGCCTATTTCTTTCAACTCTTCATGACCCATATCAGCCAACACATCTAGTGTAATCTGAAAAATGAAACAAAATTAGCTAGGATATCTTTAACAGTTCTTAAGAGGACAAAAGCTTTTCCAATTGCCTTCAATGCTACGAGTACCATTCAAATTAAGAAAATTCTTTTGTTCCCTTTATAAACATGAGCTTACAATTTTTTTAAAGTTGTCTTGATAGTCTCATCAGCTTTTCTGCTTACTTGAAGTACTCTTTGATTTGCTTTTTGTCCATGAGAATTAAAAAGGGAGAAACAATACTATAGAAATACAAAATGATCATCACTATATTTCCTTTAGATTATTTTGTTCTATCATCTACTGCTTGCCTCAAGATAGAGGAGGAATCAGTAGCTTGAAAATGGGAAAACACCAGATCCTAGTATCCAGCAGGGAGTAGAAATGAACGGTGGGGGAAAGGGAGAGGCGTTCAGCACAAGTAAACAACGCAGGAAAAGGAGAAAGCAATTTTTAGATGAAGATAAGGAAGAACTTCTCAGTGCTAAGAAATACTCAAGCCCGGGACAGGCTTCCTTAAAAAGCAGTGAGATTGACATCTCAAGTATTTGGTTAGATTACAAACTGTTTTAAAGAGGCTACATTTTAAAATTCCAATTTGGATAAGAAAATTAGATTCTTTTTAAACTCTCTCATAAATTCTCAGACTTAATCCCTTCTCCTTAAAATACATTCTGTTTTTATACAACATAGTGCTTTTTAATTTTTGGTTAGTTTTTAACTTTTGGTTATTCATCCTTGTAAAATGGAGATGATTAGTTGGCTCAAAATAACCTAATTCCTTTATGGACTAAAGTAGCTGGGACTCTACTACCACCCAGTGGCTACATTCTGAACACACAGGATGAACGCGGGTAGCCACATTTCTTGAAGGCTGAACATGCAATTTTCCAGCCCTGATGAAGCTAGCTTTGTGACAATCCATATACTAGTCTACAAGATTAGTCTTTGATTTTCCCCTGCCTTGGAAAACCAAGAAATCCTTTTATAGACATGCAGTTTCCAACTCAAACAAGATCGCTTTTTTCCACTTTTTAACTTGCAAGTAACATTTAAAAAACTGACAAATTAGGCCTGGACCTCTGCTGATTTTTTTGTCAGAATAAAATATGAGTTTGATCTTTCCAGTGAAATGAGCATATATCACTCGTTCTTTGGAAATAATTTTCTATATTGCTTCTAAGTGGCCATTTAAGCAATAATTGCTTCATTGCACAAAGCGGGCAATTCACATCCAACCACCCAAAAGAAAGGTTTCAGCAGAGCTTTAAAAACAAAACAAAACAAAACAACAAACCCCAGTTCTGAAATACACATCTTTGAGATGGAATAGTTCACAAAATAATAGGAGCCTTTACATTCTTAGCTAGACATGATTTTAATATAATTTGGAAACTATGTTATTGATGTCCCATTTTTTTCTTCTAAATATTCTAAACTAACTTCAGTTTAAAACCAAGGGTCTCATATCTATGTGGTAACTTCAACTTAGAGAATTCTCAGACTTTACTTTTTTTTTTTTTGTTTTGTTTTCTTTTGAGACAGAGTCTCGCTCTGTCGCCCCGGCTGGAGTGCAGTGGCGCGATCTCAGCGGCTCACTGCAACCTCCGCCTCCTGGGTTCACGCCATTCTCTTGCCTCAGCCTCTCAAGTCGCTGGGACTACAGGCGCCCGCCACCACGCCCGGCTAATTTTTTTGTATTTTTAGTAGAGATGGGGTTTCACCGTGTTAGCCAGGATGGTCTCGATCTCCTGACCTCGTGATCTGCCCGTCTTGGCCTCCCAAAGTGCTGGGATTACAGGCGTGAGCCACCGCGCCTGGCCCTCGTCAGACTTTTCTGGATTGATACATACAGTGCACGTCTGGAGGAAGCAGACACCAGGCCAGCAAAACACAATATTCTCTACAATGTTCTAGAGGAGTAATGGAGAATATTTAATATATTTATTCATTTTATAGCTCTAATCATAAAATGAATACAAAAAACCCAAACCAAACCAACAAAACAACCTGAAAAGACTGATAGCAAGTCACTTAGTTTAGAAGGCAAGGCTGAGAGGAGCTCTCACACCTAACGTGGAAAGTGCTCTCCTACCTCCTGGCATTTGTGTCTTCACTGTAATCCCTTCCCCGTGTGAGACAGACTTATGAACTCACTTCTAACAAATATAATACAGCAGAAGTGATGGGAAATTACTTTTTACATTAGGTAATAAAGAGACTGTGGCCTCCATCTTGGGCGCTCACGCTTTGGACTGCTCACCCTAGAAGAACTGGCTGCCACGCTATGGCAGACAGACTCAATGATTCCCACCTCCTTACATCACATCCTGTGTGCTCCCCTCCCCTGGAGTGCAGGCTGGCCTAGTGACTTGCTTCTAACCAAGCAAATACAGCAATGGTGATGAGAAGTGACTAGCAGATCATCTTTCTCTTGCTGGCTTTGATAGAGCAAGAAACCATGTTATACAGGCTCACATGGCAAGGAACTGAGGGCTTCAGTCCAACAGACTGCAAGGGACTGAATCCTGCCAATAAGCACGTGAGGGTATGGAAGGGGATCCTTCTCCAGTAGAGTCTTTAGATGAGATACTGACCCTGGCTAATGCTCTGTAGCCTTGTGAGAGATCGTGAAGCAAAGGACACAACTAAGCTGTGCATAGACTCCTGACTCACAAAATGTGTGCTGTTTTGAGCTGCTGAGTTTGCGGTAATTTATCAAGCAGCAGCAGGTAAGTAATACTCCATAAGGTCACTGTGGAGAGGCCCACAGGTGAGGAATCAAGGCCAGTCAACCAACACTGTGAGAGAGCTTGAAAGCGGGTCCCAGCCCTTGCCAGGTGAGTCCCCAGGTGAGACTGCAGACCTGTTGGACAGTTTACTGCAGCTTCAGGACAGACCTTGAGCCAGAGGCACCCAACTAAGCCATGCTTAGATTGTTGACATACAGAAACTGTGGAATAATACATGTTTGTTATTTTAAGCCATTAAGTTTTGGGTAATTTGTTACACAGCAGTAGATAAGTGATCTACCTACGCTATCTTGGCATTTATCCAATTAGATACTTACAGTCACACAAAAGGAATGCATATGAAAATAAGTAACTAAAGAAACAAAAGAAAATGTTTATTAGGCTATCCTGAAGGATAGAAGAGATGAAAAGCTATCAACCTGTGGAATCTAAAAAAAACAAAAAGGGAATGGGACAACTTTCTATACTTGCAACTGAATATAAATATACATTATTCTTGCAATTCCATCCAACCATTCATCATCCAACCACCATCCACACAATATTTGTTGTGTACTCGCTACATAACAAGCACAGTTCCGAGCACTTTATTTACATTTCCTCATTTAATCCTTACAATGACAGATAATGAAGTACTATTAATGTATTTATGAGGTCACTGGTACTTAGAGAAGTCATAAAAATAGTACACAGAAGAGCTGAGATGTATAGCTGTATCTGTCTTTTCCCTGTTTATATTCTTTAAAAGGATGACTAGAAGGTGGACATGATTAAGCGTTAAATTTAGTCGCAGTGAGTTACATGGTGTCCAATTTGTCCACATATCTATCAGGCAGTGGCCACTGAAAAACCTTCAATGAAAAGCTAAGAAATTCAGATTTATGTTAGCTCATTCACATATAAAATGTTTAATGAGTACCTTCTTTATGCTATGTATTTCTTTAAAAAGTAACTAAATATTTCATTTAATTCTAAAACAACCCCTTATAGTTGGAAAGTTACATAGTTGGTCCAAATAACTGATAGTAAAAGAGTGGGGCCATGAAACAGAGTGCTAACCAAAGTTCATGCTATTTACTTGAGGTAACCAAGAAACAAAAAGTGGGTCAATGTCTTGGACAATCCCTAAGAGAACTCTCGTGAAGGTGACCTGCTTGGTCACGGTTGCAAGGGGGGCTGGGAAGGAAGGAGCAGGAAGGAGATGAGGAAAGGTTCTCAGAAGAAGGTCATAATTCAGCTAAGCAGCAGGAGCTCATCAGTCAGGGGAAGGAGGGAAGTGGGCTTAAGACAGAGGGAATACCATGTGCAAAGGGAAAATCAGTTAAAAGAATACAGAGTATTTGAGGGACCTTAAGTACTGTAGTTCAAAATGGTTACAGGAGAGTATGTATCAAGGATTAAAAGGAGCACAGCAGAGCAGCAGGCACAGAGAGGATCTTAAAGGGCCTTATCTATCAAACTAAGAGGCTTAGAAGTATACCAGAGGCTGGCCAGGTGTGGTGGCTCATGCCTGTAATCTCAGCACTTTGGGAGGCCAAGGCGGGCAGATCACGGGGTCAGGAGTTTGAGACCAGCCTGACCAACATGGTGAAACCCCATCTCTACTAAAAATACAAAAATTAGCCGGGTATGGTGGCCTATGCCTGTAATCCCAGCTACTCAGGAGGCTGAGGCAAGAGAATCGTGTGAACCTGGGAGGCGGAGGTTGCAGTGAGCTGAGATCACGCCACTGCACTCCAGCCTGGGCAACAGAGCTAGACTCCATCTCAAAAACAAACAAACAAAAAAAAACAAACAAAAACAAAAAAAGTATACCAAAGGCCCTGGGAAGTCTTTTCAGCAGAGTAATATGATCAAAGTTGTATTTTAGGAGGATGAGACTGTTGGCATTATGAAGGGCAGATTTGGAAGGGAAGGCAACTGGGAATAAGAAGAAGATAAAATGGCATGGAAGGGATGAATCTGAAAGCAACTGGAGAACTGTATTTACAGGGCCTGGTAAATAGAAATGGTTAAAATAAAAGGAATGAAAGTAAGATTATTCCAAAATTCTGTAGCTGGGTAACTATGAGACTTTTGCATCAACAAAAGAAATAGAAATATCTGGATGGAAAGCAGGTTAGTTGGATTTTAGACATGTTGCTTCAAGACTCAGGAATTTTATATATACCCCTATCAGCTGTTAGACATTTTTTTTTCTGAAAATCATATTTAAATTAACTTGCTCCTTTTTTAAAACCTTGACTTAGTTATTATACTGAGGAAATCACAAGCTTGTTGGGCTAGTTATTTCTATCTAGTATACATTAAAATAAAATTACTAAGAATAAAGATTATCCACGTGTCAGTTAAAGTCATCTTGCACATAAAGCAAAGGTCACTGCAAAAAGAGCTACCTCTAGCTTCTGAGAGTCATTTTACTTTGGGTGGGGAGAGAAAACTAGTTTTAATGAAAAAGACGTCCTCTTGCTTGGGCTTAAAAGGTTGTATGGTACAGCAGGAGTAATAAGAACTAACTTTATAATCAAGTTCACAATGAATTATGGGAGGCCATGCTTTTGTCTTCAAGAATTTGAAATCAAAATTTATCTGGTCACTTTCCATGAAAATACATAGGTTAACCATAAAAATGTCCACAAGCAGTCTTCCAAGTGATAGCATTTATGTTCTAGGAATTGCAGTGTAAATAAAATCTGTCTTTCCCATATAAAAAGTGTTCCTACCTATGTTCATAGGTACAAAGCTATGTTATAAAGGAAGGGCCAAAGTCACATGGGTACTATATTTCATTAACTAGAAAGGATACTATATTATTCAACATAGAACTTGGCAAAGTATCTATGGGAAACAGGACAATTTAGTTTAGAGACTTCCAAGAGAGTAACTGTGAAGATAGGAGGTGAGGCTATGATGTGCCGAAGGTTTTCTTCTGGGACCAGAAATAAAATAACTACATTCCACACCCCACTGGCATCCATGAGTAGGAACACAGGCAATGAGACATAGAAGCATGTCAAAGAGCATCAGAAAACAACGGCTCCCCTGGCTTAAGCCAAACAGATATGAATTAAATGCGTTCAATGCATGCACCCTCACTCCTCCCCGACTATACAAATACATTGACCATCATCACATATTACTGATATAGAATGTTAATGGGAGAAAATGCTAAGGGTTAAAGTTATGGAAAAGGTTATCAAATTTATTTATAATGGAAGGCTAGATAAATAACATTTGCAATTAAAATAAAAATAAATTTGATTGCTTGATGATTGGGCCAGACACAGTTCAATACAAAGAAAGGTAGTATCACCTGTCTGGAGGGAAAGAACTGTGCTTGGTAATATACATTAAATGCAATCGTCTATGTATTGATCAATAAAAGGCTATAGAAATTATTCTGGCTAAAAGAAAACCAATGGAACCATTTACTCAGAATGAAACTGCAGTAAAAAAAGAACAATGAAACTGATGAAACCAGGACAAGCTGTCAGAAGGAGTGACTAGGAGACTAAACTATTAAACTATTCAAATCAATAAAATGTGATAAATACGCCACAGGAAGTCAGTTACTGACAATGCGAATATACGATATAAATTTAAAAAGAACACATAAAATTATAATGCAAACTGACTAAAAGAAGAAAAATGAACATTCTTTAGAAAACTTTCATCAGTAAATTGGAATTATTTGTTTGAGTTAAGGTCTTTGGTTTATTTAGCAAAGATGTGTTTGAAATTTTACAATTATTGTGGAAATGATTTGGGAAGAACAGCTATAGCTGTAATATGGGAACAGCAGAGTATAATGGTTTTAAATCAGCTTTCACACCTTCAGTTAGGGAATAAGGATGAAGCAGTCTTACTATTTAGGATATTGTCCTAAGAAAGCTCCAAACCAGAGGATGAATAAATGGTTGGAAAAGAAAATGATTTTATAGACAGCAGTCTATAAAGTCCTAACCATTAGACGCAAAGGCACCTGTGATGCATCACTGTATTAAAAGCTGACACAGCAGCACAATATTACTGAGGATTTTAACTCTCTGAACATTTATAAGCATTAGGTTTTACAGGTAAAGGAAGTGATAGGATAAATGTCATTCAGCCCAATTTTACACAGCTAGTAAGAGGGTAAAAATAATTAGAATTAAGGTCTTCTTTTAGTCCAGTGCTATCCCTACTCGGCTGTTCTTATCATTAAGAGCATTAAAGATGAACTATAATGAAAAAATGTAGCTAAAAAAAAGAGAGAAAGCAGAAAAAAAATCTTAACAGTATAATTGATATAAATAAGAAAAAAGACCTGGTTTTTAAGTTAACTCCAAACTGACTATAAGCCTAGAAGGGAACCATAATGGGCCAAAGGTGCCAGTGAAATACTGGAAAATTATGTCATATAAAGAATAATTGAAAAAACAGATTTATTCTAAAATAGGGGAAGATGTGTAGAGGTGGGTGATTGAAAGGGTGACACCTCTGATAAGTTGACTAGGTCTTAAAAAGATATCTAGGGCCATATTATGTTGTAGTGGGCTGAATGGTGGCCCTCAAAATGATACGTCTATGTTCTAATCCCCAGAACCTGTGAATGTCACCTTCCTTGGAAGAAAAGTGTCTGCAGACGAAATTATGTTAAGGGTCTAGAGATGAGGAGATCACCCAGGATTATACTGGTGGCCTCAAATTCAATGCAAATGTCCTTAGAAGAGATAGAGAGGACAGGAAGGCAATGTGAAGATGGATGCAGAGACTGGAGTAGCATGGCCACAAGCCAAGGAAGCTGCCAACCATCAGAAGCAGGAAGAGGCATGGAATAGATTCTCCCCTACAGCCTCTGTAGGGAGTATAGTCCTCTGAAACTGAATACATATGTAGACTGGAGATTAGATCTCTGTGCAAAACAGGGTAAGCGTAAGCGTAAGCTGAAAACAAAGGAATTATACCTACGGGCAGATTTTGGCACACTTTAAGTTACAAGCATTCTATTACACCTGTCCCAAATTGTAACAAGATATCTTCCTTGGCTGGAGGACTAACATGGGTGTTATTATACAAGGGTGATCCCTACACCTGGGAGAATAATTTTTCTCTAAACACCTTTCCCATTCTTAAATTTCATGTATATCAATAGTCCATTTAAATTCAGGAGTTACCATCATTCAATATTTAAAGCTGATCATAATAATGAAAGCATACAATATTACAACTCCTTATCCTGTATGAAAACAGTAAAACAAACAGAAGAATCCTAATTCATAAATGCCCTAATGATGACTCCATCCTTAGACCTTCACAGACATTTAAGATGGATCCCAAAATAGGGTGGGTCTATTGGAATGTATGGCCAACTTTTGGTTTAATATTATTTAAGACTCCAAGTGGACAACAGAAACTTCATAAAGGGGCAATTTTTTAAAAGTGCAGTTGTCTAAGTACTACTGTGCTTTCCAAATTAATGGGCAACTGCTTCAGGAGCCTAGTCACATGAATAATGAAATGAGATGAATAAAGACTGACATTTTTCGGAAACAAACAACCAAGGACAATCATGAAAACATTCTTTTGAGGTAGTTGCATGGTCTAAGTTTTGACATGTAATAAAATGCATAGTGCTAGACTGCTTATAAAGATAAAATAAAGACTCATTTGTTAGACAATTTTGGGGAGAAGTATAAAATACTGGGCTCCTCTGGCTTCTTATAGAAATGTGTTGTGGGTTTAAGAATAGCTCGTAAGAAGCAAAAGAGGAAGAGGTGGGTGGCAATTAATAAGTCTTTCTTTTTTTTTTTTTTTTCGAGATAGGGTTTTGTTTTGTCGCCAAAGCTAGAATGCAGTGGCACAATCACAGCTCACTGCAGTTTCAAACTCCTGGGCTCACATGATCTTCCTGCTTCAGCTTCCCAGCAGCTAGCACTACAGGGGCCCAGTAAGTCACCATGCTCAGCTAACTTAAAAACTTTTTTTTTTGTAGAGATGGGGGTCTCGCTTTGTTGCCCAGGCTGGTCTCAAACTCCTGGGCTCAAGCAATCCTGCCGAAGCATTCCAAAGTGTTGGGAGTAAGGTGTGAACCACTGCATCCAGCCTAATCTTAGTATTTAATTTAAATGACTCAAATATATACAAGAGTATTTACCTGTTCTGTTTCAAAGATATCCCGAAGGTGTTCAAGGCCAAGGCTTTTTAGAAATTGGCTGATATTCATGTCAAGACCAGCAACTAAAACAGAAACATATTAAAGATTCTCAGAAAGAATTCTCTAAATATAAAGAAAATTTCAGTATCCATTTAGACATGACTCTGACAACCTTGGCTGTCAGATGATTTTCCATGGCATAAAATAATACAGAATACACAGATTTAATTTAGACACTTTATTTCTGAAGTTGATTGGGAAGTAAAAACAGAGTGTTTTATCTTTATCAAATTAGTATTTGTATTCTAATATTATGGTTAGAATATAGAATTATAACTTATTGTAATTTATAAAAATATAGAGAATATTATACTAATTTTAACATTATAGTATAATTCTTATACTACAGAATGCTACTTATATAGAAACATCTAAAGCTTTTAATGAATTAAAAAATCTAAATGTATCAGCTATCATTTTAGTTTTCATTCCTGAAATGACCTCTCAGTTGTGTTCTGACACAATTTCAGTATAAGTGGTTCAATAAGATGCTATGGTTGTAAACAGATGCTCTAGAATATACAGAAATAAGAACAACGACAATGCCAAGAAACGTGGCAGCCTTCTATGAAGAAATATTTCTTGTAAGATGTTGTGTGTATGAAAATTTACAGACAGGACGTCTCTAATTGAGGCATTCAATAGTTATCAATAGAAAAAAGTCATTCTGCTCCACTAACAAAAGGTATAAATAAATAAGCATTCATGGGGTCTACTCACCTTCTCCTTCCTTCCTTTCTGTTCCCGCGGCGCCATCCCCTGCATTGGAGGCTCCTCCTACGGCCAACTCTGCTAAAGGGCCAGTGAGGTTGTCTATGCTGCTGGCAGCCGAGAGGCAGGAGGGGGTGGATGCTGGTGAGATCAGAGAGGCACTCACTACAGTAGCCTGAGGTTTAAAACAGGTAGGTAAGGCCTCTGGGGGCATGGCATCTATCAGCAAAGCTCTGATATCGTCAGCCTAAAAAAATGATTAAAAACAAAAACCATGAAAATACTATATATTAAAATGGTAAGTTTTTCACTGATAACCAAATACTTTGTGGATTTTTTCCTTAATGAATGCCTCATTATCACCTACTGGTTTTTGATCATTCCTTCTCCTATCCACAGCTCCAAAGAGTTTCAATAGTTTCAGTAGACAGAATTGGAGAAACTATGTAATTTTTAAAGATATTTCTTCTTTCATTTAAAAAAAAGCACTTTCAGTGTTAACTGTCACCCTTCTTTAGAAAAAATTTCTGTGTTTACTATATTTTGTTTACGTTTAAACAGCTATAATCTGGTTATTTACTTCACACTTAATAATTTCATGTACAATTAACATCTGGTGAAATTTCAAAGGGATGACACTTTAATTTAGCTCATTTATTCATAAACTTTTCAGTTTTTAAGTATTAGATGCAACTGCTTTTCGAGTATGCGGGAGATAGTCTCCAAAGACAGCCACCCATCAATTCCTTCCTCCCGTCATGTATGCCTCCCCTTGAATTTCTGCCCCCTACCCGCCGAATGTGGTTTGCCCTGTGAGTTGTCTTGACCAATAGAATGGAGAAGAAGTGACATTCTGAGGCTTTTGAGCCAGGCTTTAAGTGGATTGGCAGTGTCTACTTTTACTCTCTTAGAAGCCATCTGCCATGTTGTACAGAAGTTTGGGCTAGACTACTGAGTGGTGAGATCCTATGCAGGGAGAGCCCTGCGGGATGAAAGGCCATCTTGGAAGCTCCAGCCTCTGCTGAGTTCCCAGGTGCAGGTAACTGCAAAACCAGAACCACCCAGCTGAGCCCAGTCAACTCCCAGACGTGTGAGAAATAATAAATTGTCACGTTAAACCCTCAGTGGGTTTGGGGGTGGCTTAGTGGGCAGCAATAGAGAAATGAAATGCACACCAGTACCTGGAAGTGGGGTGCTGGTGGACATGTGGCTTTGGTTGGAGGCGTGAAGGGTGGCCTGGTTATTGCTGAGGGAGGCTGTGAATGGAAGATAGATAGGCAAGTGCTACTGAAGGCGAGAGAAAGGGGACTAATGCTGTGTAGCAGAAAGTTTGGCAACGCTGCCACAGGAGGTCTTACGGAAGGTAGAACGTAAACCTAAATAAATTTGTAAATTTGGCTAAGGAAATTTCCAGAACAAATTCTGCCTTGTCAACTGGACTGGTGTGTTTATCTGCCCATGATAAGGTACAGGAAGAGAGAAAGGAACTGTCCAGTTCTCTTTAAGGAAATGTATTCACCTAACATTTGCTAGCTTAGAAAACAAAATTATTCACCATTCCCAGCCTCTCCATCAGCAAAAGTTTCTTCAAGTAAGGCACAGCCTCAGGCCAAAGGTCAAATCCAGCGTGCTGACAGGAAAACATGGCCTCAGAATAAAAATCAACTAGAGGTACAGATATATTACCTCAAAATCTTTAAAAAACCTCTAAGGTGGTACCTTGTGAATTCCCTTGGCTAGATGAAAGAGCTTCAAAGGATCTTATGGGCATTGTCCCACTGCACCTTTACTTGGATTCCATGTTAGAGAGGGACCTGTCTTGAAAAGATTTGTGGGTGGAGCTTTTGGCTGATGGAGTGGTGTGTAATTTGATGGGAAATCCAAAAGTTTACAAAGGAAGAGTTGTACTAGTTTGGACTAAAAGGGACAGGTAGATCAAAATGATAAAAGGCTCAGGGTCCCGAAAATTTCTAGGAGCAGGGAACAGGTTGAGAAAGCCACTTGGCTGTAAATATGATCCATTTCTTATGAAAAGAGAAGGATAATTCAGAGGGCATGGCCAAGAGCTACAGAGGCTATGTACAGTGGTTCACACCTGTAATCCCAGCACTTTGGGAGGCTGAGGAAGGAGGCTGAGGGAGGAGCCCAGAAGTTCAAGACTAACCTGGGCAACATAGCAAGACCCTGTCTCTACAAAAAGTAAAAACAAAAAAAATAGCCAGGCATAGTGGCATGTGCCTGTAGTCCCAGCTACTCAGGAGATTGAGATACGAGGATGGCTTGAATCTAAGAGGTTGGGGTTGTGGTGAGCCATGATCACGCCACTGCACTCTGGCTTGGGTGACATAGCCAGACTGTGTCTTAAGGGGGAAAAAAAAAAAAAAGAAAAGAAAAAAAAGGAAAAAAAAAGACAGCCACAGTGAACCACTCCCTGGGAGCAGAACTGGGCCCTAATCAGGGATCATTCCCTAACTCCAGAGTAGATGGCCCTGATAACATGTGTCTGGCTGAATTTTAGAATTGCTAAGGACCCAGTGATGACTATCTGCCCCCTGTTGGTGGGGGGAGCACGTGGCAGGTGAGTGTAATTTGAATGTGGGAAAAATAGATTTAATTTGTATTCACAGGGAAGACTGTGGCTGATTAAAGATGGCCACGAAATTTTTGCTTCTCCTTTCAAAGAAGGTGGAATCTGTTTTCCTATCCCTTGAACCTGAGCTGACTTCATGACTTGCTTTGCACAACAGAATGTGGCAGAAGTGACAGCATGTCAGTTCCAGGCTTAGCCTTAAAGAACAATGACAGCCTCTGCTTTCTCCCTCTTGAGATACAATTATTCTGTGAAGAAATTCTAACAAGACCACTTAATGATGAGATGCCACATGGGACTAGAGAGGCCCCTGCCTTCTAGTTGTATCTGTCAAGGCCCCAGGCATATGAATGAAGCCGTCTTTATGTTTCTGCCCCAGCCACCAGCTATATGCAGTTGCACAAGTGACCCCAGGTAAGACCAGAAGAATCTCCTAGCCAACATACAGAATCATAAGAAATAATAAGTCATTATTATTTTAAGCCACTGGGTGTTTTGAAACAGTTTGTTACGCAGCAATCAATAAATGAAACAGAACATAACTTGAAAAAACATTTCTGGCTTAAAAATTAGAAATTACTGTGACTATACAGTAACTCCCTGGTTTTCAGAAAGTTCACGGAAGATGATGCAGTGCTTAACTTTGCAGTTAAATAATACTGCCCAGAGTTAATTTTTCTTTGACTATCTCACAGACTTAGGTAAATTATCATGAACATTAGTTGCTCTACAATAACATGCCAAATATAGAAGGTACAAGATATTTTACTAAATATAATTCTTTGAGGGTACACTCTAAAAACATGTTTTCTTAAGATCCATGTTTTCCCAGCAGGCTAAGAATGGCAAAAAATTAAATTAACTTACTGTTTAGTTTGTCTTAAGAGTTTTAAATTATATTTTCATAGAAAAAGTGTGAACTTCAAAAATTTTCAGAAGATCTCTGTTCTAAGTGAAATAAACACGACTAAAAGTAAGCTGGTGAACCCGAGAATCTGATGTCATCTGTGAAAGTAGAAGGAACAATAATCAGTATCTGAAATGAGGACTTACTGTTGCCAGATCCAGAGGCGTCTGGCCTTCCTGGTTCTTCATGGTGGGGTCTGCACCATGCGCTAGGAGGAGGGCGCACAGCTGCGTCCTTCCTTTCTGGGCTGCTTCATGGAGGGGAGTAAACGCCCACTTATCTGTTGCATTTACACACGTGTTGTATTTTATCAATAAAGCCGCTATGTCAACATGCTGAAAAAAAAGAAAAGGATACAAAGAGTTAAGAATGAGATCATCTGGTAAAGCACCATTGTGTATACCTGTTTTTATTTAACAATTCACTCCTCTGTATCTCCATTTTCATCCTTAACAGAAGTTTCTTCTAAAAAAAAGAGTATTTCAGTCTTCTACTTACACTTTGGACTCCATCTTTTCTTGCCTCCTTCAAAATCTCAATTACACAATTATACTATTACCCTGTAACTGTTCATGGGCTTTTTTTCAAAAAATGCATCCCTCTAATATATTCAACTTTATTTTAAAAACAAATACTTTGTAAGGTGTTTCATTCTGTAAAGTGAAACTAGTACCTAATTCAAATCTTCTGTTAATGGTCTAATCTATCTGCCAAACTTTTCAAATATGCATTCTATTCACATTGATTCTCTTATCTTCCCATTTCTTTTCTACCTACTGCAATCAGATTTACTGAAATACTCATCTCAAAGATTCTCAATGTTTTCTCTTTAGCCTTTGAAAAAGCAACATAACATTTTATGAAAATTGGTCTGTTATGTCTAAATGATTGCCGGGTGGAGGAAATGTTAGCAGCAGACATGCTAATAACCTGGGCATGAGGTGATGAGACCCTGAACCATTGACAGTTACAGAAAAATGGAAAAGAAGGGCTAAATCTGAGAAATTTTGAAAGAAAAAAAATTGTGTTTAAAAGCCAAATTCACAACAGAAGAGAGAGAGAGAAAAGTCAAAGATGACTACATTTTTTTGAGGGGGGGAAGGAGGGGGGAATCTGGAAGATTAGAAAATAAGGTAGAACTATTAAAAGAAATTGAGTTGTAAAAGTTTAAGTAGGGGCTGGGTGCGGTGGCTCACGCCTGTAATCCCAGCACTTTGGGAGGCTGAGGTGGGCGGATCACCTGAGGTCAGGAGTTCGAGACCAGCCTGGCCAACATAGTGAAACCCCGTCCCTACCAAAAATACAAAAATTAGCTGGGCATGGTGGTGCATGCCTGTAATCCAAGCTACTCGGGAGGCTGAGGCAAGAGAATCACTTGAACCCAAAAGGCGGAGGTTGCAGTCAGCTGAGATTGCACCACCGCACCGCAGCCTGGTTACCAGAGCAAGGCTCCGTCTCAAAAAAAAAAAAAAAAAAAGTTTAAGTAGGTATGAAACTCTCAGATAAGGCTCACTGAGGTAGGCACCTTCTGAGGTAAAACATCAAAGTAAAGACATTGTGCAGATCGTTTGTCAGAAAAGGTTGGA
This sequence comes from Homo sapiens, assembly GCF_000001405.40. NCBI lineage: Eukaryota > Metazoa > Chordata > Mammalia > Primates > Hominidae > Homo > Homo sapiens. The sequence continues at coordinate 9,746,772 of NC_000008.11, read as the reverse complement.
GCACAGTCGAGGGGGCATCATTCACTTACTCACTCTCCCACCACTCACCTACCAACCAGCATTTGCTCAATACCTATGGAGGGCTGAGGACTGGGGCTGGGGGCTCCAGGGAGATTACGAAATGGAATAGGGGATTAATAGTTGTAGCTACTTGATAAATGAGCTCATTAAGGAAAGGAATACAGAAAGATAATTACAAGGTGGATAAAACCTTGAAAACAACAATATTTTGGAAAAGGAGAGTGGAAGAAAAATCCTCAGAGGAGACAAAAGGAAAAATGGAAGCTGGAGAAGAACTATAAAGGAGCAGGACTATAAAAGCCAATACAGAAGCAAGTTCCATGGAGACCAGGTTCACTCAAGCAAGAGCTCCACATAGCAAAAGGCTTCAGCTTCTTCCCAAAAATCCTTATAAAATAAGCTAAGACAATCGATCACACAATAGGCACTACTGATTCAACAAATAGGCTTTTTAAGAATATTAAAAATAACTTGTATATTTTTATAAATACATTTAGGATGTTAGGCTGGTTAGCACTTAAGTATTTCTGAGATCCATTTCAACTCCAGTATGCTATAATTTGGTGCAACTGGCACATTTGTGTCCCTTACAGACACATTTCTGGGCATAACTTGGTCAGTTTGGATAATTAACTCAAAAGCACATCATCTATTGAAAATAAATTTCTAACTCATGCTGCTGCTCGACTACCACACATTGAGGCTTTTAAGGAAGACATTTATGAGAATGGGAAAAGACAGGGAAGGCCAAGAAAGATCCCAAGATGCAACTTAATGCATGTCACTTTCTATCTTCCTTAAGATATCGTCTTCCCTGCACTCTTGAAGACACTCACTTCAAAAAGAACAGGCACTTTTTCTGAGGTAGTATTTAACTTTATGTAATATAAATATCTGTATTTCCTAATTTTAGAAATAGTAGTTTCTGAAAACAAAGTGAAGAACATTTATCTAAAAACAAAAGTACAGATCAGCCAACTACTAAGGAAAGCTTCCACATTTGCTCTAATAATACAAAGCAAAAAACGCCCCCAAAAACAAAAAATAGGCCAGGTGTGGTGGTTCAGGCCTGTAATCCCACCACTTTGGGAGGCCGAGGCCAGCAGATCATTTGAGGTCAGGAGTTTGAGACCATCCTGGCCAACATGGCGAAACCCCATCTCTGCTAAATACACAAAAATTAGCTGGGTGTGGCGCCACACACCTGTAATCCCAGCTACTTGGGAGGCTGAGGCAGGAGAATCGCTTGAATCTGGGAGACGGAGATTGCAGTGAGTCAAGATTGCACCACTGCTTTCCAGCCTGGGTGAAGAGTGAGATTCCATCTCAAAACAAAACAAAACAAAAAACCCCATAAACAAAAAATAAAATAAATAAGCAGCATAATCAGACTAAGTCTTCTCAGAACAGGATGTTTTGTGATTCTTCTGGGATTATAATATCACTATAAAATTAATTCTATAGCTTAATTATTTTTAAATTTTCTAACACAAAAGATGAAAACAGAGGTACCACTCGTGGTATTATCAAAATCACCTAAAACAAAACCAAACCTAGTAATTTATCTCCCTTATTCAAAGGCTATATGTTGAAAAAAGGCAGCAATTTTTGTTAAGTTAACCCAAAAGCACGGAATAATTTCAAGCTTCTCCCCAGTGAGGTTACAAGCTACTTAAACTGTGTTTCTGATGATTAATTTTATTGAACTCCCATGTTTACAGGCCGAATAATATAATCTGGTAGACTAATTTACACAGGCTTCCAAAATTACAAAAAGTCCAAGGAAAATTACCTGTTTCTGTATGTGTGTATAAAATGAATTGTATATCTGGTATGTATTATTAAGCTTTCTTTATATTGAAGTTATAGTTTATGCTTGGACAAACCAACTACATGCTTGTGAAATTTTCTGACAAATGTCTGAAAGAACAATGAACAGGAAGGAGTATATTACTACCCAAATAGACTAAAAATACAGTTCTTAAGCTGTTTAATTCTTTTAAATAGCTACACCATTGAGGCAAAAATAGTAACTGGAATTTAAGGCTGACAAATCCAATAAATAGCAGTTCAGTTCTATTCAACACAGTATATAAGAGCAAAGTATTGAACTAGAAGGTCCAGAAAAGAAACTGATCTCTGTTGGAATGTTTCCAGGAGAAACAGACAATTTAACCTAGTTTCAGAATCCAGCTGCAATACAAAATGCTTTAAATGACAAATACAACCTAAAAAGACTGGGAAGCTTTTAATTTTAAAAAGGTGGGAAGTAGGGGAAAGAGAAACATGCTTGGCTTCAGTTAAAGCCATTTAATTGTACAGAGGCTTTATTACAATTATGTCATGAAATTCCCCAAATGTTATCCATTTTAGAGAAAGCACTGGAAAATAAAAACAGTTGAGAGAAAATGAATCAGTCAATTGATTTACTCTTATAAGATATAAATTTACATGCTTTGTGGTAATAAGTATCAATGCCATTTACTGACTTAGCAGAAAAGTTAACTGTCTTGTATAAACATGTATTCAAATATAACACAAGGCATTATTATATAAAGAACACCGACACAGTAAGGCACACTACCACTAATATCAACTCTCATGCAACTTGTAATTTTTATTGATGCTTCTTAAATAAATATGTATTTTTTTCTCCATTTGGAAAAACTGAGGTTCTTTTTATACAAAAAAGGCTCAAAGACACACACAGAGCAGATTGAGCTCTCTAGGGGAAAAAAGTAAATAAGTATGAAGGAATAATGATCAATAAATAACTACATAAGTAAATAACTATGTAATTTCACAGCTACCTCAGATTATTATTTCATCCTCAGCCTAGTCAATTAATCTGTGTTTATTTAACACAGCACTGAGCCAGTCAAATATATAGATTATTCCTAAGGCTGTGAAATGTAGGAGTGACATGCAGCCCTTATTCTGACTGGCTTAGTACAGGAACTGTGGGAAGCAAGGAATTTACTAATTTTTAATATCTATACATCTATAGATATGGATATGTATTTTTTGGTAGAAATGGGGTCTCGCTATGTTGCCTAGGCCGGTCTTGAACTCTTGGGCTTGAAAGATCCTCCCGCCTCAGCCTCCCAAAGTGCTGGGATTATAGGCATGAGCCATTGCACCCGGCCATGAAGCAAGTTATTTTATAATAACAGTATTACCTTGCATTTTTATAATGCCTTACATTAGTTAATGCAATTTCCACATGCATGGTCTCATTTAATCATTACAACAAGCTGGAAAGGAGGTCTTGGAATCCAACTTTTACTACTGAGAAAACCAAAGATGAGAAAAAGTTAGACACTTGCTGAAGACTACTGGGTTATAAAACAGAAGAGGAAAGACTAGATCCCAGATATTCAGACCCTAAGTTCAGGTTTTTCCATTAAACCACAGGTGCCTGCAGAGTTTGCTAGACTAAAACACAAGAGCCATTTTCCTTCCAAGCTGAAAATGGGAAAGAGATAATATTAGGAAGAAGAAATGATTTAAGTAGAGATCACTGGGTAACACTATACCTACAGTTGCTCTATAAATTGCTTGATTTTCAGAATAGAAGCTGTATTCCAGATGATATGCCACAGAAAATCTACTCCACAAAATGATATGTGGCCAGGCTAGTTCAAGCATCATCAAATTCATGGGACGAATACAACATAATCAGTGTTTTTCTATCCTAATAGAAATGTAGACTGGAGTCCTATGATTTCATTAAAATATCCAGCCAAGGCAGGATAGAATGAATAAAAAGGAACTTTTGAAAGATACACAGATTTATCAATCTACAAATAATAGAACACAGTTGTATCTACTCTTAAGGGGAGACAAAGTAGCTTTTTAAACTTTTTATATTGTGTTAATATTAGTACTCCTTAAATATATAAATGTATGTATTTATTACTCCTTAAATATAAGGATATACATGTATATCCTTAAATATATAAGTATATATATTTAAGGAGTACTAATAAATACTTCTTAATTTAATTCATTATATTTTAAATAAATATTTATTAAATATTTATTTATAAATAATTATATAGAGATAGGGTCTCACTATGTCGCCCAGGCTGGTCTCAAACTCCTGGCCTTAAACCATGTTGCTGTCTCAGCCTCCCAACGTGCTGAGATTGCAGAAGTGAGCCACCATGCCTAGCCTTACTTTAAGTCTATTAATTGAGATTAAGAGAAATACTACTTAATATGGTTACTGATTGGTTACTAATAATAGATTATAGGTTTTACAAGTGGCATAAAATAAAATTATTTTGCGGAGCAGAGATCGTGAACAGGGAAAATACCAACTGAGAGTCACTGTATGTCATGCGAGATTGCTGAGGGAAGTGGGTTGCCCATGTTAAAAAACAAAAAAAAGGTATTATCACACTCATGTATCTGACCAAAAAAAAAAAAAGGTAATTAAAAAAAGGTCTAGAAATCACCAGAGTCAAAGTTTGCCAAAAAAAAGTAACAGTCATCAACTCACGGATGCCTGATTTTTAAATTTACAAGTTTAATACATGAAAAAAATTTTTGAGTGACTCAATCCACCCTCACAATGAGGTAAAAATACCTGCTATAAACACATTATGTAGCCCATTTGCATTCTTCCATACAAGGATGAGATGAACCAGGTTGATCAAAACCTCTATCAAATGCCCTTTACAAGGCCTGGAGAATTTTTTGATCATTCTCACCTCAGTAAGTTACCTTCATTTACAAAGAGCTAAGTAGTAGGGATTTAACAAACATAAAAAGAGGATACCATAAAAAGAGATAGTGAAAAAAAGTGTTCATTATTTTTTCTTACTTGGAGTTAGAAAAGGAGAAGGGGAGTTATGGGTGATGGTGAATAAAGTTTATGAAAATGAAAGAGTGGACTTCCGGTCAGGAGACCGATTGCATTACACCTCTCTTCAGGTGACAGCAAGTCAGCCTCAAGGGAACGTGAAGTTAGACAAGGTCGACCAGTACTCTACATTACGCTTGAGCCACAAGAGAACCACTGTACATTTTACTGTCTTCACAGTGGTCATCGAGTGACACACACGTAGAGTAAGTAACATCTTAACTGATGGGGATCAAAAGGTAAAATACTTAGTTTATAAATTAACTTTCCTTTATCCTCTGTGACAGCTATAAAGACTGTGCAAGGTGAAGACTAATGCAGTAGAACACATCTTAACGCTATCCCATGAGAAGAATGAGGATCAAAAGGTAAAATACTTTATAAATTAATTTTTCTTTTCCTTATCCTCCGTGACTGCTATAAAGACTGTGAAAGGTGAAGGCTAATGGAGTAGAACTTCCTTACATCCACAATGTATGGGATCTACTGTAGTCTACACAGTTGACAGTGTAACATAAGCCTTACTAGATCAGTTCATTATTATAATTCTATGGCCACCATCTGTCCCTACTCATAGTAAGTTTACAGAGACGATAAAAGATCTAATTTCAGTTCTACCGATCCCATTGGCTTTATAAACCCTTAACTGAAGCTTAGCAAAAGGATTAGTAGAAAACCATATGAAGAGAACAATTATGCTAAGAAGTGCTGAAAATTTGTCTCCAAATGATATACATGTGTAAGTTATAACTTAAGGGTCAAGAATTACATGTAGGCCGGGCGTGGTGGCTCACGCCTGTAATCCCAGCACTTCGGGAGGCCGAGGCAGGCGGATCACGAGGTCAGGAGATAGAGATCATCTCGGCTGACACGGTGAAACCCCGTCTCTACTAAAAATACAAAAAAAATTAGCTGGGCGTGGTGGCAGGCGCCTGTAGTTCCAGCTACTCGGGAGGCTGAGGCAGGAGAATGGCGTGAACCCGGGAGGCGGAGCTTGCAGTGAGCTGAGATAGCGCCACTGCAGTCCGACCTGTTCTCAAAAAAAAAAAAAAAAAAAACAACAAGAATTACATATAAATGTATATGTAGTATGTTAGCAGCAAATATTTAGCATGCTAAGTCTTTGGTAGAAGTATTTGTTGCTCAGAGAAATTGAGAACCTTATGTGAAGGAAGGTTAAAATTTCTACGAATTTTAATAAAAGACTACTCATCTTTAGAAAGGTAACTTTAAATACTGTAGTTTCAAGAGGATTTCAGTACTAACACTCATTAAATATGATACTTTCAATTAATTTATATCATACTTGGAAGCATAGTTTTCTTTCAAAAAACCGGATTGTTGCTTTCCTTAAAAGTATCCTCACTCAGATTTGTCCTCTCTCTGAAATACAGGTCTTTGTAAAATGGGTCTGAGAGACGACAGTCTCATTACAAAGGGCCAGGGAGAAGGCGGTAGGAGGAAGAATATGGTAATCAAGGTGGTTGGGTTGGTTTGGTTTTTATTTATAGTTTGTCAGGCTTTTGCAAATCTAGAAACCACCTTCTATCAAGAGTGATTCCAACTGTGAGAACACCTGGTACGTATGAACTGGCATCTGTGGGTTTTTACAGTCAAGAAGGGATTAAGTGGATGAACTGTCAAGCACATGAGCATTCATCCTATTTCTGCCGTGAGCCAGGCTTGAGTGGGCCTTAGTTACTTCCAGTCAGTCAGTTCTGACATACGGCATCAAGGCACTGCAATCCATCTCTCTTCCTCTTACAACTGATGACAGTGTTTGAAAGGATAACTCTGGACTTTCTTTTTTTTTTTTTTTTTTTTTTTTTATTATACTCTAAGTTTTAGGGTACATGTGCACATTGTGCAGGTTAGTTACATATGTATACATGTGCCATGCTGGTGCGCTGCACCCACTAATGTGTCATCTAGCATTAGGTATATCTCCCAATGCTATCCCTCCCCCCTCCCCCGACCTCACCACAGTCCCCAGAGTGTGATATTCCCCTTCCTGTGTCCATGTGATCTCATTGTTCAATTCCCACCTATGAGTGAGAATATGCGGTGTTTGGTTTTTTGTTCTTGTGATAGTTTACTGAGAATGATGGTTTCCAATTTCATCCATGTCCCTACAAAGGATATGAACTCATCATTTTTTATGGCTGCATAGTATTCCATGGTGTATATGTGCCACATTTTCTTAATCCAGTCTATCATTGTTGGACATTTGGGTTGGTTCCAAGTCTTTGCTATTGTGAATAGTGCCGCAATAAACATACGTGTGCATGTGTCTTTATAGCAGCATGATTTATACTCATTTGGGTATATACCCAGTAATGGGATGGCTGGGTCAAATGGTATTTCTAGTTCTAGATCCCTGAGGAATCGCCACACTGACTTCCACAATGGTTGAACTAGTTTACAGTCCCACCAACAGTGTAAAAGTGTTCCTATTTCTCCGCCTCCTCTCAAGCACCTGTTGTTTCCTGACTTTTTAATGATTGCCATTCTAACTGGTGTGAGATGATATCTCATAGTGGTTTTGATTTGCATTTCTCTGATGGCCAGTGATGATGAGCATTTCTTCATGTGTTTTTTGGCTGCATAAATGTCTTCTTTTGAGAAGTGTCTGTTCATGTCCTTCGCCCACTTTTTGATGGGGTTGTTTGTTTTTTTCTTGTAAATTTGTTTGAGTTCATTGTAGATTCTGGATATTAGCCCTTTGTCAGATGAGTAGGTTGCGAAAATTTTCTCCCATGTTGTAGGTTGCCTGTTCACTCTGATGGTAGTTTCTTTTGCTGTGCAGAAGCTCTTTAGTTTAATTAGATCCCATTTGTCAATTTTGTCTTTTGTTGCCATTGCTTTTGGTGTTTTGGACATGAAGTCCCCACTGTCAATATTAGACAGATCAACGAGACAGAAAGTCAACAAGGATACCCAGGAATTGAACTCAGCTCTGCACCAAGCAGACCTAATAGACATCTACAGAACTCTCCACCCCAAATCAACAGAATATACATTTTTTTCAGCACCACACCACACCTATTCCAAAATTGACCACATAGTTGGAAGTAAAGCTCTCCTCAGCAAATGTAAAAGAACAGAAATTATAACAAACTATCTCTCAGACCACAGTGCAATCAAACTAGAACTCAGGATTAAGAATCTCACTCAAAGCCGCTCAACTACATGGAAACTGAACAACCTGCTCCTGAATGACTACTGGGTACATAACGAAATGAAGGCAGAAATAAAGATGTTCTTTGAAACCAATGAGAACAAAGACTCCACATACCAGAATCTCTGGGACGCATTCAAAGCAGTGTGTAGAGGGAAATTTATAGCACTAAATGCCTACAAGAGAAAGCAGGAAAGATCCAAAATTGACACCCTAACATCACAATTAAAAGAACTAGAAAAGCAAGAGCAAACACATTCAAAAGCTAGCAGAAGGCAAGAAATAACTAAAATCAGAGCAGAACTGAAGGAAATAGAGACACAAAAAACCCTTCAAAAAATCAATGAATCCAGGAGCTGGTTTTTTGAAAGGATCAACAAAATTGATAGACCGCTAGCAAGACTAATAAAGAAAAAAAGAAGAATCAAATAGACACAATAAAAAATGATAAAGGGGATATCACCACCGATCCCACAGAAATACAAACTACCATCAGAGAATACTACAAACACCTCTACGCAAATAAACTAGAAAATCTAGAAGAAATGGATACATTCCTCGACACATACACTCTCCCAAGACTAAACCAGGAAGAAGTTGAATCTCTGAATAGACCAATAACAGGCTCTGAAATTGTGGCAATAATCAATAGTTTACCCACCAAAAAGAGTCCAGGACCAGATGGATTCACAGCCGAATTCTACCAGAGGTACAAGGAGGAACTGGTACCATTCCTTCTGAAACTATTCCAATCAATAGAAAAAGAGGGAATCCTCCCTAACTCATTTTATGAGGCCAGCATCATTCTGATACCAAAGCCGGGCAGAGACACAACCAAAAAAGAGAATTCTAGACCAATATCCTTGATGAACATTGATGCAAAAATCCTCAATAAAATACTGGCAAACCGAATCCAGCAGCACATCAAAAAGCTTATCCACCATGATCAAGTGGGCTTCATCCCTGGGATGCAAGGCTGGTTCAATATACGCAAATCAATAAATGTAATCCAGCATATAAACAGAGCCAAAGACAAAAACCACATGATTATCTCAATAGATGCAGAAAAAGCCTTTGACAAAATTCAACAACCCTTCATGCTAAAAACTCTCAATAAATTAGGTATTGATGGGACGTATTTCAAAATAATAAGAGCTATCTATGACAAACCCACAGCCAATATCATACTGAATGGGCAAAAACTGGAAGCATTCCCTTTGAAAACTGGCACAAGACAGGGATGCCCTCTCTCACCGCTCCTATTCAACATAGTGTTGGAAGTTCTGGCCAGGGCAATCAGGCAGGAGAAGGAAATAAAGGGTATTCAATTAGGAAAAGAGGAAGTCAAATTGTCCCTGTTTGCAGACGACATGATTGTTTATCTAGAAAACCCCATCGTCTCAGCCCAAAATCTCCTTAAGCTGATAAGCAACTTCAGCAAAGTCTCAGGATACAAAATCAATGTACAAAAATCACAAGCATTCTTATACACCAACAACAGACAAACAGAGAGCCAAATCATGGGTGAACTCCCATTCACAATTGCTTCAAAGAGAATAAAATACCTAGGAATCCAACTTACAAGGGATGTGAAGGACCTCTTCAAGGAGAACTACAAACCACTGCTCAAGGAAATAAAAGAGGACACAAACAAATGGAAGAACATTCCATGCTCATGGGTAGGAAGGATCAATATCGTGAAAATGGCCATACTGCCCAAGGTAATTTACAGATTCAATGCCATCCCCATCAAGCTACCAATGACTTTCTTCACAGAATTGGAAAAAACTACTTTAAAGTTCATATGGAACCAAAAAAGAGCCTGCATTGCCAAGTCAATCCTAAGCCAAAAGAACAAAGCTGGAGGCATCACACTACCTGACTTCAAACTATACTACAAGGCTACAGTAACCAAAACAGCATGGTACTGGTACCAAAACAGAGATATAGATCAATGGAACAGAACAGAGCCCTCAGAAATAATGCCGCATATCTACAACTATCTGATCTTTGACAAACCTGAGAAAAACAAGCAATGGGGAAAGGATTCCCTATTTAATAAATGGTGCTGGGAAAACTGGCTAGCCATATGTAGAAAGCTGAAACTGGATCCCTTCCTTACACCTTATACAAAAATCAATTCAAGATGGATTAAAGATTTAAACGTTAAACCTAAAACCATAAAAACCCTAGAAGAAAACCTAGGCATTACCATTCAGGACATAGGCGTGGGCAAGGACTTCATGTCCAAAACTCTGGACTTTCACCTGGAGGTTTTAGCTAGTAATTCCTACTCTCTGAAACCATATATATCAACTGCTCAACCATTTAATTTTTTTTTTTTTTTTTTTTTTTTAGATGAGGTCTCACTATGTTGATCAGGGTGGCCTTGAACTCCTGGGCTCAAGCGATCTTCCCACCTCAGCCTCCCGAATGGCTGGGATTACAGGCGCATGCCACTGTGCCTGCTACTCGAATATTTTTAAGGTGCTGATGATAAATGTAAGCCAACATACTTTCCATGCCTGTATAACAGCTGCACAGCTTTTCTAGTTTTTAAAATATACTTGAGGTAGAATTAAGAAATTGGTATTTATTATATTATTTTACATTATATATATTATATTACAATATTGATAAATATAAACTGAGCACCCATTACATGCCTATTATTGTGCTTGATAACGTGCTGAGACCAAAAAGCAATAAAAAGCATGACTGTTGGCCAAAAGGTAGTTAAGCTTAGCCGGGAAGATACACCAAAACTCTGAACAAAAGATTAAAATTATGCTAAATCATGCTATTAGTTAGATATCTACTTACTTAATGCATAGTATGCATTTAATAAAGTCGTAAATGCCAGGGAAGTTTTCTAGATTTTATTTTATTTATTTATTTATTTATTTTGAGTCAGAGTCTCGCTCTGTCACCCAGGCTGGAGTGCAGTGGCGCGATCTGGGCTCACTGCAAGCTCCGCCTCCCGGGTTCATGCCATTCTCCTGCCTCAGCCTCCCGAGTAGCTGGGACTACAGGTGCCCGCCACTATGCCCGTCTAATTTTTTGTATTTTTAGTAGAGACGGGGTTTCACCGTGTTAGCCAGGATTGTCTCGACCTCCTGACCTCGTGATCTACCTTCCTCGGCCTCCTAAAGTGCTGGGATTACAGGCGTGAGCCACCGCGTGCGGTCAGTTTTCTAGATTTTAATGTTAGTATGCTTACCCCATAAGATGCCGCATTATGAAGAGGAATTAAACCACCCTTGTCCTGGGCATTAACATCAGCTCCATGCTCTAGAAGATATTCAGCTACTTCCAGGTTATTATAGCCTGCTATTTAGAGTAAAAAAAATACAGGAAACGTGTCAGCTTAAAGGAAAAAAAATACATACATATGTAATAAGGACCAGAAAATGTTAAGGTTTTAATACTTTTTGCTTCAAAAGCTAATACTGTTATCACATAATGGAGGGACTTCACAATAAGAAATTATACAAAACTATGTCAATCAAGAGCATTTTACTAAGTAGTCCCATTTGTGTTCAGCATGGCTTTCGTCTTTTAGTAAACTGTATTAGGTGTCCGAGAAAGGAAAAGGAGGCTTGGAGGCACTGGGGGCGCTTACCTGCCAGGTGCAGAGGGGTTGAATTTCTGCCCTGGGTGTCTCTGCAGTTGATATTCTCTGGGGTACAGAGCTTCTGCACTCTTGCCAGGCAGCCCTTCTTGGCAGCATCCAACAAAGCAGCATCCCCTCTCAGTAAGTCCTGAATATCTGTGTCTCCTTCCTTTACCAAATCCAAAGGTGTATTTCCATCTCTGTTCTTTTTAGTTGGATCTGCTCCATGCTACAAAGAAGAAAAACCAAATGGGGTTTGTATTTTCTGTAGTAAGTAGGTAGGTAGGTAGGTAGGTAATTAATTTACTCTACCTTTGTTCCTCTGGGGAAGATATCTACTCTATATGCATTTTGAAAAACACTTTGCAAAATTCCTACTTAGTAATATAATGGATCAGCTTTCTAACTATTAATACTATACAGTCAAAGCTTCAGGATCAATGGTGATGATAAAGTAGGGAGAGTGTTAAGTATCTTTGAGACAACCTATATAATACACTTTTTCTCAGACTCCAAGTTGTCTTTGGAAACCTATTTTACTTTGAAGAATAGCATGGATGTTAATTTTGACCAGATTCAATTACATAAAGATACTCAGTAGGTATGAAAAAGAAGAGAGTAGAGTAAGACACACTGGTAAAAAAGGACTTAATTCTAAAGGCCATCAGTAAGAATAAAGTTTGGTAATATTTTTAAGATTTTTATCCTAAGTCTTAACATCTATCATGAAATTAGATATAAATGTATTAAAAATTATAGATTTTAAAAGTTTAATTACCAATAGCTATTAAATAAAGTAAATAGAAGTCAATAATTTTTATTATGGGTCGGCCACAGACTGTCATGGGCTCACTGCGGAAATTAGTTGTAAGTCAAGGTGGACAATGGATTCACAATGACTTGGAAGTTATTTCTTACCAACCAGTGATAATAAAAATGAGTATCAGATATTGTGTTTTTCTCAAGATTCATAAGAATGTATTTGATATCATAAAAGTGAAGGGAGAAGAATTTTATTTAAACACTTCAATTTTTTTTCCGTAGTTAAAAAAAAGCAAAAGAAAATCTCATAAATACACATCTGGTCGTTTTTTAAAAATATACTTTAAGTGAGCATAAATTATAGTTAGTTTCATATAACTACTAGTTTTCACTCTTTTACATGTATCTAAAATCTATATGAACAACTTTAGAGATCATCTTATGTTTTAATAAAAATCTGATACTACAATAAGTTCTTAAAGACACAATATTTGATGTTTACTAGTGAATGAGTTAGTTAACAATAATAAAATAGCCAACAAAGAAAAAAAACCCAACTTGATTGAAAAGCTTGTTTCTCCTGTACAGTTTTTTCTGATATTAATACTATAAGTACTAGACAAGCAATGCAAACTATTTCAGCTCTTTCTAAAACCTACTTTGATGAATTTTTATGACATGGACTTAAACCATTTCAGATATTCACTTTAGGCACTACGCAAAGCTATGTGTCATATCACATAAACGGTCTTCTGGGAAATAGAAAATGAGAGCAGTCTCTACAGCAGTATTGTTCTTAATAGAATAACATACCCCAACTTACTTTCAAGTAATAACCAAAATATAAATAAAATTAGTTATATTTCATAACTTTTTAAACTACATACTTTTAAAAGGAGCTTGCAGATTTCATACTTTCCTTTAGCTGCTGCTTCATGGAGAGGGGTAAATTTCCATAAGTCCGCCACATTGACAGAAGCCCCATGCCTTACTAAAAGCTCAGCCACCTCATAGTGTCCATATGAACAGGCATTATGAAGGGGCACCAAGCCACTAAACAAAAGAAAGTTATTTTAAAGTCATAAAACAAACCTTTGAGTTACAATGATTCTTATAATAAAAATCCTACCATTCTTCTATGGTACTGACTATACTGAACACTGCGCAAAAAGAAATACACCCACCTCTGTTCTTTAAGATATAGTTATCCATTTCTAAATAAGGAGTAATAATTTCAAAAATGTTCTTTCAATGTAAAGATTTTTTCCTAAGTTTCTTGGGGATGGATATATACTCACAGCAATCCTTATCTTTATGAGTTTCGCTAATGAAAATTGTATGCTTACTTATAAAAAATATAATACAATTAGCTTATTTAGGCAAGTTCTACCTTGGTAAAAAGTTGTGTAAATCATAGTGGTGATTAAATCATAGTGGTTTAATCATAGTGGTGATTCAGTGGTGATTTCCATGCACAGGTGTAAATATTGAGGTGCCAAATATTGAAAATTCATAATCCAGGTAATTCAGAGAAGTATTCAGTAAGAAAAATGACGATGTCAACTATAAGTTCTACTCAGATGAGAAATGGGCAAACTATTCTGAGAGGAGTCTAAGCTCTGATTTGTAAGCAGCTGACATTCTAAAAGGACAAAAAGATGCTCCCACAAAAGAGTACATCAAAAGAATAAAATGTTGAAGTTAACACATGGCAGAAGCAAAGTATCAAGTGCATTTTTTTTTTTTTTTTTTAGTTTTGGGATGAAATATGCTAACTGTTAAAATGAGCAATAGAAGCAAATGCTGATTGCTCTCCAATGCACTGAAACAGTTTGAAATATTCATGTCTGATGTGTCCCTTTTAAAAGATAAATAAATACATAATGGTTCGATGAGGCCTAAATCGTGCAGTTTAATTCTACTGTGCACTTGTATGTAATTACACAGAAAGCTACTGGCTTATTTTGAGATGATGTGAAATTAACTCAGAACACGGGAATTAATATCAGTTAAAATACCTTTCTCACATTTCTAAGTAGCTGCCTTAAGCTTTGCCTAGACAAAATAATTTAGCAAACTAATATAAAACATACAGTATCTGAATTAGTAAAAATAAAACTATGCTTCTAGGAATACTGATGTCTTTGGGATGGATGACTTCTTTTTAGAAGAGACTGTACATTTTTAATAGCAAAAAAGAAGAATAAACAATAACTTACAGACTATATAAAAACATTCATATAGGGCTGGGTGCAGTGGCTCACGCCTGTAATCCCAGCACTTTGGGAGGCCGAGGCGGGTGGATCCATGAGGTCAGGAGATTGAGACCATCCTGGCTAACACAGTGAAACCCCGTCTCTCCTAAAAATACAAAAAATTAGCCGGGCGTGGTGACGGGCGCCTGTAGTCCCAGCTATTCGGGAGGCTGAGGCAGGAGAATGGCGTGAACCTGGGAGGCAGAGCTTGCAGTGAGCCGAGATTGTGCCACTGCACTCCAGCCTGGGCGACAGAGCGAGACTCTGTCTCAAAAACAAAACAAAACAAAATTCATATAATGTAATAAAATACTATATACAAGCATTAAAAGAATGAGACTATTAAGTACTGATATGGGAAGACTATTCAAGATACACTACTGAGTGGAAAAAAGTAAACTGCAAAGCAGACCATATAGGAAGGCACCACCATTTGTGTTAAAAATCACCACCACCACCATCGCCACAGCACACACACAAGTCTATGCATTTACAATATCTGGAGGAATAAGGTCAACATTTGAATGCTGTATCTCTGAGCAGGAGGTGGGCTGACAGGAAATTTTCAATTTCTATACTGTACATTTCTATGTTTTTTTTTTTTTTTTTTTTTTTTGAGATGGAATTTCGCTCTTGTTGCCCAAGCTGGAGTGCAATGCTGAGATCTTAGCTCACTGCAACCTCCACCTCCCGGGTTCAAGTGATTCTCCTGCCTCAGCCTCCCAAGTAGCTGGGATTACAGGCATGTGCCACCACGCCTGGCTAATTTTGTATTTTTAATAGAGACAGAGTTTCACCCATGTTGGTCAGGCTGGTCTCAAACTCCTGATCTCAGGTGATCTGCCCGCCTTCGCCTCCCAAAGTGCTGGGATTACAGGCGTGAGCCACCATGCCTGGCACATTTCTATGTTTTAATTTATGTTTTAAACAAAAAATAACGATTACTTTTTTAATACAGAAAAAATCTAAGACTTCAAAAATATTTTAAATTTTTTAAGCATGAAGAGAATGACTCCCAAACAGCTAACTTCTAACACGTACCCCTTGTCTTTGGCATGGACATCGGCACCGTGGTGTAGCAGGTACTCTACAACAGACACGCGGTTGTAGCCTGCTGCGAAGTGTAAGGGCGTGGAATGCCGGCCCTCTAAGTCTCTACAATTCACATTTTGAGAGCTGCAAAGTTGCTTTCGTGGTGCACACACAAAGACAAACACAAAACGAACATTACTCTTTATTCACAGGTTTTGCCCCAAAATAGTTCAACATCTTGGATAAGTAAATTATAATTGTCTAATGAATATTTATTTCCAAAGATTAGACAATACAAATGTTTAGAAATCAGCACTATGCCTTTCAGTGACGACAAATATTTTTTATTATGTACAGAGCAAATTAATGTTTTTCAACATTTCCCAACCAAAATCGGAATCAAATAGAAAAACCCACAATAAAGCAAGCATTTCCAAAGCAAATAATGCCTTGCTGTTTTATCTTTGTAAGTCTTTCCTCCCTGAGATATGCTCTACTGTTTGTCATAGCGTATCTGCTTGTGCCAACACCAACCTCAGTTGACTGTGTAACTAGAGAGCTCTTGCCGTCTCTAATGTGAGTCAAGCAAGCAAAAAGGGTCTGGAGAATTATTTTTCTGCCTGGGCCACTCCCTGGGTCTTTTGATTGACTGTAGCAAAGCTATGTCGTCAACAGTGCTTTACTTGCCTTTTGGGGCAACGTTTGCTTACCTTTACAAGTTAAACTGGTTTTTAATCATACCCTAGTTTTTAGGCTTTACTTCCATCTCTTTCAGAGATGTCCTCCAAATCTCTTCTATGTCTCCTTATCTCTCCCTGAATGCTTCAATTTCAGCACAATCTAAATTGTAAGCTCCGTTTGTTTACAAAGCAGCAGGATGCCATGGAAGGAATGAAAGACTGTATCACTGGTGGTAATAAGTGAGTAATGATAATATCTGAATAATAATTTACAGTTTATAAAGAATATTGGCCAGGTGCGTTGGCTCACGCCTGCAATCCCAGCACTTTGGGAGGCCAAGGCAGGCAGATCACGAGGTCAAGAGATCGAGACCATCCTGGCCAACATAGTGAAACCTCATCTCTACTAAAAATACAAAAATTAGCTGGGCATGGTGGCGCGTGCCTGTAGTCCCAGCTACTCGCTGGGAGGCTGAGGCAGGAGAATTGCTTGAACCCAGGAGGCAGAGGTTGCAGTGAGCCGAAATCACGCTACTGCACTTTAGTCTGGTGACAGAGTGAGACCCCATCTCAAAAAAAAAAAAAAAAAAAAAGAATATCATATTCTTTCAGTGAGGAAATTATTATATGTCTAAGAAGTTGATAGATAACAAACCAGGGATGGAGATTAATTTATAAATTAACTTTACAGATAAATAAATCAGGGATGAAGGTTAAGTGAGTTATCCTTGTCAAACAGTTGGTAAGGGGTAGAATAAAGACTCAAACCCTGCTTTACTGATTTTTAACCTCTTAGTCTTTCTGCTACATCATGCATCATCGCTTACTTTCCTAATTATCCAACTTGAGGGAAGTGATCAGAAGAAAGGCAATGAAAAACAGAAAAAGCAAATGAAGCAGAGCAGACAATAGCATGCTCTAGGCTATAAAGGACGATTGCAGGGTCCCTGGGGATTTTCAGGTATTCACTAATTTTGCTGCCACTTCCGTCACAGTAATAAGCTATTATTACATAAAAATTAAGAACCTGAAAAATTTCTACTGATAGAGGAAGTAGGAGTGCTACGGGTTGAATGTTTGTGTCCTTCTGGAATTCATGTTGAAACTTA
This sequence comes from Homo sapiens, assembly GCF_000001405.40. Classification (NCBI taxonomy): domain Eukaryota; kingdom Metazoa; phylum Chordata; class Mammalia; order Primates; family Hominidae; genus Homo; species Homo sapiens. Next base: position 9,729,255 of record NC_000008.11, on the reverse strand, counting down.
ATCTCCAATGCAATAGTGTTAAGGAGGTGACTGGGTCATGCGGACTCTTCCCTCCTGAATGTGGGCTTAAGGCCTTTCTAAAAGAGGCTTCACACAGCATTTGGCCGTTTTGCCCTTCCGCCTTCTGCCAAGTGAGGATACAGCATTTGTCCCCTCCAGAAGAGGCAGCAACAAGACACCACCTTGAAGGCAGAGAGACGGGGTCCCCACCAGACACTAAGCCTACGAGTACCTGGATCTTGGACTTCCTAGCCTCCAGAACTGAGAGAAATAAATTTCTATTGCTTAGAAATTGCCCAGTCTATGGTATTTTTTTATAGCAGCACAAATAGACTAAGACAAGAAGCTTTCACACAGGTAGGATAAAAACAAGCGCTTTTTAAGTGGTGTAATTTTCACATGACAGGAAGGAGTCTGGGCAGTAAAGGCGAGTTCACAGTTTCATCAACTCTATACGGAAATGCACCAGCCTCTAAAATCTGAAGAGCCATTGTAATGTGACCAGGTCAAATATCTTTTCATGACAAATGAGTCTGTGGCTATATTAATATATAAACAGCATAATTGACAAATCAAATTAAATAAAAAATGAATAAATACATAAATCAAAAAGAAAAGATGCAAAAATTGATAATAAACACCCTCTAAGGAGTCTGACATGATTGAAGCTTCTTCCTAATGCTGCTTTCCCCCACTGGTTCTTACATTCTAAATTAACTCTATTATTATTCTATTTGTCAGAATACTGACAAAATAGGAATAGGTAGGGAATGAAACACAACTCATTTTGTGAGGCTACAGAAATAGAAGCCCATCCTGCTTATTAAATATTTGATTTTTAAGATTTAGAAATTCTTTATTCTGTTTCAGTTTTCTTTCGAATGGCAAAGCAATTTCACATCCTTCCTACTTACTTTTCACAATTTCAAATGCTTTATTCAGCAGGCAGCCTTTTCTTCTAAAACCTCAGTTCTACTACTTTCTAAAGTCTCTTGGGGAAGAAATTTACCAGGCCTAATTCTCACTCAATTTGTGCTGCTTTGTTTTCTTTTGCTACTTCCATTCCACAGATCAAAATAAATTAGGCCTTCACTGTGAATGGATTGTTTAAGAAACCTAAAAGCTGTAGTATACATCTGCTTATCATATACAAAACACATGGAATTTAAAACTGTATGCTTTAAAAATAAAGTATGTATTAATTATAATAAGCACATATAGCAATTCAAGCACTGAGATGATCATGCTCTGAAAGGAAGCCTAATCGTCTTATATTTAAGAATTTTCTTTTATTAGAATACATTTCAAGTGATGAAGCATTTTTAAGAAAAAATGTACAGTTTTAGATTTAAGACAACATAAAAATTTCTCCCTAGTGGCTATCACAACTAAAATTTACTATTATTCTTTAAATAACTTAGATGCTATCGTAAGTTGGATGTGATCCTGGAAGTGCCCACATATTAAAACAAAAATAAAATTTCTAGGCAACAGAGCTTAAAACGTGTTTACCGTCACTTTCAACCAGTATATGTTATCAAGAATGCTAAAATTAGTTTGCTAAAAATCGCAAAAAGTTTGCTTAAGAAGAGGTGACAAAGTTGACAGTATGTCGTAAAAAGTACTGAGTGTCAATAGCAAATTTGCTATTAACTTTTCGATAAAAATAATAAAGGCAAAGCTGGGTGCAGTGGTGCACACCTGTAGTCTCAGCTACTTGGATAGTAGGCAGGGTAAGGCAAGAGGATTGCTTGAGCCCCAGGAGTTTGAGGCCTGCCTGGGCAATACAGCAAGACCTTGTCTCGTAAAAAACAACAAAAAACAAACCCCAAAAGACCAATCTCCAAACAAAAAACTTTTGCTAACTTCATCCCTAAGTGAATGATTATAGATGGGAAATGTGTGTTTTAAAAAAGCATACTTAGTATTAGAATATGACTATATTTGAAAAAAAATAAAACTACAACCATTGTTTCTATACCACAAATACAGACTGATAAAATTTTTGAAGCAAGTAGAGCTACACAGGGAAAAAATCTATCTTCTGCATATGAATAATTCCACTGTTGAGGGATCACAGGAATGCTTTCCTAGAATAAATGTGTGAACCTCTGAGAAAAGATCAAGAAATATTCTTTCAAATGTCATCCTGCTAATGTCTGGGCTCGATCTAGTTTATACATTTTGTGAATGCAGCCAAAAATAGTAACACTGTAATTAATATAAGTGAAATTAAAAGAGCTTTCATGTAACCTGAAGAAAAATTACTAAAAACCATGTATATGTGTGTGTGTGTATGTATATATCCATCTGTCTATCTACCTATATACATACACACACATATATATACAAATGGTTTCATAAATACAAGGCACATACTGGGAATTCCTTAATAGTAGTACAGATTTTTCCTGCCCATGACTCTGTTCATCCTTTTTACTGTTTGTATTTGAGTAGATATACTTAGAAGCTTAAAAATGAATTGGTTAGCAAAGTTCAACAGTGCTATTCCAGATATTAAGGGCACTGACTTACCTTCACAGTTTCCAAGTCTCCAGCTTTAGATGCCTCTAAGAGTCGATAATCAACATCAGAAGTACGTATAGGTGTACTCTCTGCATAAAAGGAAGGAAAGAACTCATATATATATCCAAACTCATATATTCCAACTGCATTGATTTTGGAAACAAAAATGGTTCTTGAGGGATTGCAAAGTAGTTCAGGAGGAAAAATTATTTAGTTTGGTTTTACTAAATGTTGTAGCAAAACTTTGCCATAGATTTGTTATACAAACCTAGGGAAGCCACACAACTTTCAGTACTTAATGTTTACTTTTTTTATGTATGTACATATGTATGTATTTATTTTTTGAGACAGTTGCTCTGTCACCAAGGCTGCAGTGCAGTGGCGTGATCACAGTTCACTGTAGCCTCAACCTTCCAGGATCAAGCAATCCTCCCCACCTCAGCCCCAAGTAGCTGAGACCACACGTGTACACCACCACGCCCAGCTAGTTTTTGTATATTTTGTGGAGATGGGTTTTCACCATGTTGCCCAGGCTGGTCACAAACTCCTGGGCTCAAGTGATCCTCCTGCTTCAGCCTCCCAAAGTGCTGGGATTACAGATGTGAGCCACTGCGCCCAGCCTTGATTTTTCTTTTAGTCTCAATGTACTACTTTTAAAATCAGAATCATCTTGTGAAGTATAATCAGTGAACAGAAAAGGGCTACTAAATACAGACATTTGTTTAATTCACATTTATTGAATGGCTTTAGGAAAATGCAACTTTCAATGTTTGTATAATTGGAGGTATGATAGCAATGCGAAACAGAATATAATTAAATTGGGCTGTTAGGTCTAGAGGCTAACAAATGAGTTATTATTTTGATTAATCCAATGTAAATAAACTGAAAATTCATTTCACATTGACCCAAATAAAATAAGTTTTTAAAGAAAACAATTTATAATATGTCAACCAAAAGTATGTTTATGTACATGAAGTGTGGCTTTTAGAATGAGCACACATTATGTTAACACAAAAGGATGGATCTCCAGGAGGCCTACATTTTAGACTGGGCTCTATAATCTACAACTTTGGACAACTCATGTAACAGTTTAGTTTTTGCCCTTATAAAGTGAGTGCTGAAAATCTTTCAGATCTAAGATTGTATTATCTTATGATCAGAGACATCTTTTTTGAGCCCAATGTCCAAGTGGGAGGATCAAGTGATGCTATGAAGAGGTTGTAGATTTCAGGAGAGAGTGGCTTTTACAGAATAAGTTATGACAATTCTTCAGTAAAAGATAAACTACTTATTTGATCATAATAGCAGGTAAAATGCTGAGATTAAGGGAGGAAAAAAGAGAGTGTTTCATATAACAAAGTAAATCTTTGAATTATTATTCTTAAGAGTTATATTACATTTTAATTTGTGGAAATGTTGAGGAAAGGAACCAGATCTTGCTCATCTTTATATTCCTTTTCACACAGAGAGCATTCCAAAAGCATTTCCTGGATGGATTTCCACTATGTATTGGGGTCAATGAGTCTATCAAATCTTAGCTCTTTTTTTGGCTGCTCTTATTCTGTTCTTTCATTGTCTCATTAGTCTCCATTATAAGTGTGCACATACACTACCGCATTTATAGGTAAGATGCTGTGTGTATATTATGTCTCTATGACAGTGATTCTGGATTTGACAAAATTCACTGATATATCCTTTCAATATCTACAGGTAATATTTTTAGTTTTTCATTTCAACAAAATAAAGAGACAATTGTTTATGTATATAGAGTTATAACTGAGTATTTTTCGATGACAGCACTTTAAGGATACATTTAATATGGCAAAATTTTTGAAATCTAAGAACTATTTGAAATTGGAACACATATCTTGATGCGGACTGTCTACTAAAGAGTATAATTTTCCAATCAAGCAAAAAGTCTTAAGCAAATATAAGAATGCTTCTGGAACTATGAGAAAAGAATTATTAGTCCTGGTTAAAGAGGAGAAAGTAAAGATGTTTAAAATATTGGTTAATTACTATCCAGATTGTAGAGACCTGCACCTATTACATATCTTGAATAAGGCCTAGGATAGACTTGTTTTTAGAAATAATGCGAAAAATGTATTAGCTGAAATGACTTACATACAGCCCAGGAACTTTGTATAAAGTGATGCACAATTAAAAGAGATATAAAAAATGAAATTAAAAAAGGAACATGAGTGAAAGAGTAGCTTGTATGCAAAGTACTATATTAGTAAAATTCTTTGTAAGTATGCTAGGTTTGTATAACATGAAATTTATTTATTTGTTTAGTTCTTTCTTTTTAGAGATGGGGTCTCACTATGTTGCCCTGGCTGGTCTTGAAATCCTGGGCTCAAGTGATCCTCTTGTCTTAGCCTCCTGAGTAGTTGGGACCATAGGCATGCACCACCATACCCGGCTAATTTTTAAAAATTTTTAAGTAGAGACGGGGTTTCGCCATGTTGCCCAAGCTGGGCTTGAACTCCTGAGCTCAAGCAATCCTCCCACCGTTGCCTCCCAAAGTGCAGGGATTATAGGCGTGAGCAACCACACTCAGCCTGTAGAACATGAAATTATAGTCACCTAGAATCAAAGATTAAAGATGGGCTTCTTATTTTGTCTCCAATCTTTTTCTGGCTCATTAGAGTTTTTAAAAAGTTAGAAACGCTAGGAAGCAGCCTATTTTTAAAAACATCTTTTATAGACTTAGTAGTTTGATCAATATTAGACTACTGGACTGGCAACAGGTCTTAATGGCTTATTTCAATGTGCCACTGTAAATGGGGTTTCAATGTTTAATTTAGGTATCATAAGCCTAATCTTTACCTGTGTAGATGAAAGTAATGCTTATCCCACACTGGGTTATACAATCGCAAGAATTCAGGTCAAGATCGAACTTAAAAGAAATGGCCAAAAGAACTGTCTGTGGTGCTAGAAATAGTGTTATTTGTGCTATTATGCTAGCCATTAGCCACGTGTGACTACGGAATACCTGAAATGTGGCTAGTGTAACTAATGGAAAGATTTTCCATTTTATTTAATTTTAATTAGTTTAAATGTAGCCAGATGTAGCTAGTGGCTACCATATTGGAAAGAGCAAGTCTAGAGAAAGAAATCAAATCTTTGGAAATAATGTTTTAAAGTGCTAATTCATAAAAAGCTGCTTCTCTTGTTTTCTTTACATTGATGTTAGTTTTGACACAAATATTGCCAGCAGTTTATAATGAAAACTTTATTAATGTAAACTTCTGGCAACTACAGACTTGAGAGTTGAAAGTGCAGGTTTCTAAAGTAGATCTCAAACCCGTATTAACAAGTGTATTTAAATGAATCTTATAAAATGTTATCCAGAACAAAACAAATTACTATACATCTTATTTGACTGATATTAATATATTCTTTCAAAAGTCATTATAGATATAACCTGATATTGGGTTAATAAATAACTAAAAAGTTCAGCTAATGCATGGTCCATAGTCTACAGAGACATACAAATTCCTGGTAAAAATAGTAGTTTAAAAACTCATATCCTATTTCAAATAAGAAACAATTCCCATTACAAAAAAAAAAAACCTTTTGGAGGGCAAAATTTTCCTATATATATTTTTTATTTGTATTAGCTTTCCAGATCAATAAAGAATTAAACTAAAAAGTTCTGCATGTTCTAAATTAAGCATTTAATTACCTATATAATGTCTTATTTCAAAAATCAATTTTAAAGGAGATTTATCAAAATAATCGAAGAAAAATATTTCATTTGTATTCAGTATTTAGTTTTATCTTTTGCCAGAACTCATATATTCTAACTGCATTCAGTAAGAAGACATTTTAAAAGTATTATATGGATCTGATATGCTTGATTTATTCAATACTTTCTTCTCCATTTTGTTAATTATCTCTAAAAGCTATGCACATAATTTGAGGCAAAGCTATGTGTTTGCCTGACTTATGGTTAAAACATACAGAAACTAACTTAAAATTCGGTACTAAATGATTCTCAGTAAAATGAGAAAATTTAGAAATTTTAACAAAAATCACAACTTTTAGAAATCATTAGAATTTACTGAGAGGGAAGAAATATTTCCTAGGCAAGGAGTAATATCTCCTTTAAGCAAATGTTCTATCACTCCATAAAAACAGGAAGTCAAAGTCTTTTTTTTTTTTTTTTTTTTGAGTTCAAGCTTGAAATTTATATAGAAAATTTCATTTGTTCAGCTGGATCTTACTCATGTTGATAGTGAAGACATGCTAGATAGATTTCCTTCTAAATCTTCCCGTCTCAAGATCACCATTAAGGCTGAAGTAGAATGATCACTATCTACGAATGACCTAGCATGAGGAAAATAAATCCTCATCAATAGTTTTCACAATGTTGCACAATTAGTTTTATTATGCTATTTAGCTCTGATCTTCCTATAACAATATACACATATCATAATCTCTACAAGCCCTAGAAGGGTCCCTGTTGCATCATATAGCAGTGATTCTCAACTTGGCTGTATTTCTTGGGGTCCCTTTAGAAATCTGTGGGGTCATGTTTTGTCTTCTAATATAGTTGTGTCCAATCTATTTACATAAGAACTATAAATTATTTTATTGTAACTTACTGCTATTTTCCCTTTATATTATAGTTAGGGCATTTTTTTCTTTTCTTTTCTTTTTTTTTTGTTGAGATGGAGTCTCGCTCTGTCACCCAGGCTGGATGGAGTGCAGTGGCGCGATCTTGGCTCACTGCAACCTCCGTCTCCTAGGTTCCAGTGATTCTCCTGCCTCAGGCTCCCGAGTAGCTGGAATTACAGGCACGCACCACCACACCCGGCTAATTTTTTAACATTTAGTAGAGATGGGGGTTTCACCATGTTGGCCAAGGTGGTCTGGAACTCCTGACCTCGTGATCCGCCCACCTCGGCCTCCCAAAGTGCTGGGATTACAGGCGTCAGCCACCATGCCCGATCTAGTTAGGGCGTTTTATATAGATTTTTGGAAAGGTACCTATACAGTTAGGTCATATTATCTATGAATTTCACTTCTGAAATGTCATAAGGATATGTCATAAGACATTCTTTATAAAAAGCGGGCACTGTACCTGATAGAGTTAAGAACTACCAGACTGTAGGTAGAAAAAAGTAACCAGGACTTCTGACTCCTAGTCTATAGCCTTCTACATTTTACTCTTCTGGTTTGTCATTTCATTCCATAGCAGATATAATCCACAGACAAAATTAAAAGGTTAGGAAAGAGGTTAATTATACTAAACTTTTGATTCTAGTTCATTTTGTCAGTAGGTAGACTGCATTACTTCCTCTAGTTTTGGGACTTAGGAAGCCAGTATCTATTTTCTTATCAATTTATATTTAAAATATCTAACACTATACCAGGCAGACAATGAAACATTCAGCAAAATTTTATAATTTTATATATATATATAATTTATTTATTTATTTTTGAGACAGAGTTTCACTCTGTCTCCAGGCTGGAGTGCAGTGGCGTGATCTCGGCTCACTGCAACCTCCGCCTCCCGCGTTCAAGCAATTCTCCTTGCCTCAGCCTCCCAAGTAGCTGGGGCTACAAGGCATGCGCCACTCCGCCCAGCTAATTTTTGTATTTTTAATAGAGACAGGGTTTCACCATGTTGGCCAAGATGGTCTCGATCTCCTGTCCTCGTGATCTGCCTGCCTCGGCATCCCAAAGTATTGGGATTACAGGAGTGAGCCACTGTGCCCGGCCTATAATTATATTTAAGCCAGAAAAAGACAAGATAATTTTATAATAATGCAATGAAGTTAAGAATTTTAAAAGTATGTCAGAATTTTACACAGGTAGGAACAATTAATTAAATGTCATTACCATATGAATGATTTATAATTTTCTCTATTTGATAGATTTTATAGCTACCATAATTCCACACTGTTTATATGAGTTTTAAGTCACCTTTGATCAGAACACTCATGAGTCAGGTTTTCAATTTAAACCTAAAAAAACTAAAAGCTGTATCTGCTTCCTTCCCATGACACCTACCTTACCCTACCAAAAAAGGGAGATGGGGAAGTCCACAGGCTAAATTGCAAGAAAAGACATGAGAAAAACTTCAGGCAAAGTAAACACTGCAAAGTTTGTCTGTGTATTTCAGCAGGGATGGAAGAGAAAACATAAAATGCCCTGTTGGTCTATTTTAACTCACCACTCAGAATCTGCTGCACTGCTTCATTGCCCATCTGTGCTGCTGTGAAGCCTTGTAAGGAGATGATGGAGGGGTCAGAGCCGTAACTCAGCAGGAGGCGGCAGGTCTGCAGGTGACCTGCTAGGGCGGCTCTATGCAAAGCAGTCTGACCAAGGGTGTCCAGTGCATTCATCTGAAAAATCATTGCGTGGGCACATGGAATTGAGCATCTTGTTTAGTTTCCTTTTATACCTTAGAAAATACATTCTTATGAAAAAAAAATCAACTTTCAAAGCTTTTAAAAAGTCTCATAGATATTGATTATAAACTTTTGCTCACTGATTCTGAAGAACTATCTTCTTTTTAGTTACCCTTCTCTGATCACCTTACTGAAAATTACAACATACCCTTTCTTCCCGGAATGACCATTTTCCTGACCATTTCCCATTTCTGCTACTCCCTTCGACGACTAGACTGGTCTATGGAGGCAGCAACTCTGGTCTGGTATTTACTGCTTGCCACAATGAGGATGCTCACCAAATTCTTCTGAATGAATGGATTTTTACCAAACTTTTCCCCAGAATATAAAGACAACAGCATATGTAAGCAAAGACTGTCAAAGTAGTTGATTATATTTCTTTTCTAATTTAGGTAATATAGCTAATTATAATATCTTAATTGAATTACAAGCATATTTAAGCAAAAAAAAGATTTGAGGATTCAAACATTCCTTTTTAAAGCTTTGAAGAGTTATTATACACAGGAAGAAGAATCATTTAGCTAGTTGTGAGACTGCTTAAGACAATGTGAAACACTGGCATCATGTTCTTAATCTGGTCAAACCTGACTCATCTTATCTTCCAGCAGATCCCAATCAGCACCCTCTACTCCAGTCAGACCCAAGTCCACGTTCATTGTGCTTGCTGCTCTTTTCAGAGAAACCCTTCTTTCTGCCTTTATGGCTCCTGAGATCCAGTGTAGATAAGTCTCCTCATCTCCAAGAAGTCTTCCTTGATTTCTTGAAGACTTTGATTACTCCTTTTCTGAACATCTATGTCAATTTAGCACTTTACTGTCTTATAAAATATAATACTGGGGTAATTTTTGTTTATTGAGTTAAACTAAGGTTATTGAGAATATGAGTGCATGTTACACACAGACTTTCTGGGTCCTCTAGAAAGCTCCTGCTAAAGGTACACAGTAAATTCTCAATTATATGCTGGTTGATTATTGAAAATATTTGTGTACACCCACTAAATACAAGATTAAGAAAAGAAAGGATAAAAGACAACTAGTCTCCCTGTCGCCAGTCTTTTATCATTACCAGTAAGGCTGTTGTACTTACTCAGGAAAGGGTTCATACAAATTCTTGATGGTCTTTCACAAAACTCCCATGAAATAGTAACATATTTAACTCTATCACATTTGCCAGAAGAAAAATGACTGCTGATACATACCAACAAAAAAGCACAGCCATTAGCATGTATCAATGGATAACACAAGCTACCAAACTAACTTGAATTTTGATTTCTTTGTTACTTCTTCAGCACAAAAGAAAAATCTAAAATTGTGAACATTCTAATCATTAACATTTTTCTGGAAACTGGGTAAGAAACATACTAACTTATTCTATTATAGTAATGGGAACTCCCAATCCAACTTATTGAAGCATGGGAACATGATTTGATGTCACTAAAAAATACTTAACATTCAGCACTAAAGTGATTATTTTCACCAGGTTACAGAAACTGTCTCAAATAAAGAGACTCCTACATTTAATGTTACCCCTCAACTGTGGTAATTAAATGCTTAAGACTGGCTTGACCTATCCATTCAGGAGTCAGAATAATAGATGTCTGGCAGTTTTAGAGGTAAAACATATTCCCACTTTTCCTTGTATCTAGAGATTGCAACCTTAGTGTACGTATTTTCATTTCTAACTGAGCAGCAAAAATGACTTTACAGAAGATGAATAACTCAGTAAAACTATATAAAATCACAATGACACTTGGCCCGAAATATTTAGGACATGAAATTATGATTCAAAAAATGCCAAAACAGTTCTGGAAACCGGCAAGCAGACCACAAAGAAATGGCTGAGGGGAATCCTTCAATATTCTACTCAGTGTGAACAGCCTAGTCTCAGACAGCTAATCCTGAGGCCACTTCTCCTAAACTTAAAGCTATCATTGTCTACATCACTCATTTGGTAATTAATCACAAACTGTTCTGTGACATCCGTACTTAACACCTTTAACTGTGAACATGTGTTTGCCTCAACCTAAAAGCTGATTTCAAGTAAGCCGAGAGTTGAAAACAGTCTGTACTCTTTAGCTAGAGTGACACTGCATTTTTTTTCTCAAACCACAACAAATTGAAAGTCAACAATTAAAAAAATTAACAGGCATTAATATATCTATGATAGAAGAACAAATGATAGGTTCTCCAAGTATTATGAGAACAAAGTTTAAACTCTCCAATTGACAATACAAAGATCTTGCTTTTCATTGTTTCCATTTTCTGTACCTTTTGGACTAACTAATAACTTCTGACAGTTTAACAAACAAACCCCTTTACTTCCCTGATTTTCAGTCCTTACTGAAAATGTATTGTTTGTATTTTGCCTGTATATATCTATATATTTGATTCCTGAACATTCCTAGCTGAAATTCTATTTTCTTCATGAGATTTCTCCAATCTCTTCCCCAGGCTGCCACCACCAACAGAAATAACTGTTTATTCCTCTGAATATAAATCAATCTATACTTCTCTTATTATATATACTACTTTCCAGTTCATATAGTAGTCAAGTAGACTGTGTTAGACAATTAGATTTTAAGTTCCTTAAGAGAAGGATCTTGATCAAATTCAAACTTTATACATCCTCTCAGCAGTAAGTACCATGCCTTGTATAAACAGATATTTGAAAATGGTTGGTAAGTGAATGCCTCACAAGAGCAACAAACTAATAAATTCTGGTGATAAAAAATACTACTTTTGACATACTGTTCTGTATATTGAACAAACATTAGGAACTACTAAAATGTTCGCTATCTAACCAAAATGCATTCCTCTTTCCCTGGAAATTGAGGGAGAAGGGTAAATGCCAGTGTTTATAGAATTGCTTAATATTGAAAATGAATTTGCTTTATCTGTAATCAAAATATAATTTAAATTGATTCTAATGTTTTTACAGGTGTTTTACAAGTATTCATCATTATCCTTGGTGGTATGCATAGTTAAAGCACTTCCTATGAGGAATGAAAGAGACAAATGAACACAATTTTTCAATACAATACTGACATAGTAATCAATATTTTACTTGAAATGTTTTTTAATCCTTTAATGTGTTGTGAACTCACTACAGAGTACGGAACTGGATTTCTATTTGCTAGCTGAACTTGAGTGTGCTATCTGTAAAGATTCCTGTGGAAATTTAAAAGAAACAATCAAATTCCCTGAAAATATATATATATATATATATATATATATATTATAATACAACAGATTATCTTTGGTGGTTTCAAGGGGTACTAATCTTGCTCACGTGCCTTAAGAAATAACAAACTGAGCAAAAGTGATTATAGACTAGAGGGTGCCAATCCAATGAATGCTCGTACTCAACAAGCGACTCTTATTTATAATTCTCCCTTTTTCATCCCAGAGACGGGACAGACCCTATCAGCTGCAGGTGGTATACTTCTAAGCCAAGGACACATAAAGTATGGGTTGTAAAAGACCACATTTAGGCCATAGAGAAATAATACAGAAAAATCCAGTCTGCAGAAAGAAGAATGAACCAGATGAACAAACACTGGCAGAGAAAAGAAACCTCAGAGAAAGAGAAAGAGAGAGAAAGACAGGGAGCGACGGAGACACAGAAGAGGGGAAAGAGGGAAGCAGGGAGGCAGAGACATAGAGAACGGCAGCCAAAGTACCTGATAGTTTCTAAATTCCTTGTTCTGGTCTTTTGTGAATCTCAGCTACAATTCTTACACATATTTCTGGGAGATAACCATACGGGTTTCTCACAGAAGTAATAAACACATTTGCATTAATATACATTTATATTAGTATAAAATATATTTCCATTTGTGTTTAATCTAGATTGAGTTGGTTTGTTACTGAGAACTAAAATGTCTCTGGGACACTTGCCCCTTTGGACTTTATTTTGGTATGATCAAACCTCAGATATTATTTACACTGTAAAAGATACTTTAGAGCTATAGTATCTTTAAAAGTACTTTAACATCTTTGCGCTAACAATCTACTTATCAATCTACCTCTAGAAAAGCATTAATAAAACTCTTATAATGGGCTGACACATTTCCCCAAGTGAGCAAAGACTCGTGATCGCTTCTAAATGTGAGAAATAAGCCTATTAAATGTCAATTATTATGTCACAATATCTTCTTAAACACAATGTAAATAAATCTGTCAAATTAAGACATATGAATATGAACTGTCAAAAAAATTCCTTCATGTTTCACGTATTTAACAGATGCACATAATGACAAAATAGCTATGCTTTATATATGAAGAAATGCATTTATGAATTAAACTTCTTGAATACCATATGCAGTTGGGGCGTAAGTTTTCTTAATAATGAGAGCAGACAATTCATTACTGACAGAATGCAGAATGCCAGGGCAGACTAACCATAATAAAGAAAAAATTGCCACATGAAGGATAAAGTCTTCATGTCTTTCCTATTTAGACTTTATAGTACTCCCAAAAAGCAGGGGATAATAAATTATTGATTTTTTTTAAGGAACAAAAGTTTACTCCTAGTAAATGAGGATTTTTCAAATGAATTGGGTAATGCTCCAATGTTCTTGTAACTCTCCTTACTAGCAATTTGTTTTCTAATCTTTTGCTGAATATTGCCCTTATTCCCCTCTAGAGCCACAGCCATCCTCCACCTTGCTCTGGGTCCTGAGAAAATCACTTGTATGAACCACATCAACAGACTCTTTTGGTCTTCACTGTTTTGTTGAATTTGGTCACGGGCACTGGGAGGAGATGGGGGGTACTGGGAGGAGATAGAGGACAGCAGGACAATGAAGAGTAACATTAGATACATCCTTTGATCAAAGGCTACAGGTGGTACCAGGTGGCCTTTTCCATACAGCTACCATCTTCCAGCACCAAGAACCTCTCCTTTGCCTTGTCCCTTCAGACCAGAGATGATCATACCCGCCCCCCCTGCTGCTAGTACAACCTCTTTCCTTGCTACTTTCCTTGAACCTTGCCCACGTTTCTATACAGTTCCTTTATTAAACTTTCATCAAATTACCCACTTTAAGTGTGCCATTTATTGCGAAGACCCTAACTGAGATATATCTCTGCTTCTATCTCCTTAGAATCTCTCCTTCAAAAACTACCAAAGCCCTCATATAAAAACGGTCTAAGTAATGCCCCAGTCTGCCTTGATTTCTCTCAGTGGCACTGGTCACCTGCTCCTTCTTCATACTCCTCCTGTACTCTGTAGACACTGTGATAGAACTTCCAGCTTTCTCTTCCCACCACCGCTCTATAAACATGGGCAATCCTCAAAGGATCTTTCCTTAACTCCCTTCTTTCCATGCTTTCTCTACCAGGGACCGTACTTGCTCCTAAAATGTAGAATCACTATGTGAATTCTCAGTAGATCTTTCTAATCTTAAACTCTTTTATACTCTGATGCTGTCTTTCCAACTGCTGGTTTTATTAAATGTCTTTCTGTAATATCAACTTCAAGTAGAAAATCATTATCAAGGCGTAGGAAACCAGTGTTTCTCTGTAGCTTTCTTACTTCCATTAATTGCACCACCATTCTCTAAGTCCACTCTAACACCCAATTCATTTCCAGGTAATATAATTACTCCTTCATAAGTGGCTTTTATCTTCCTCTTCCTTCTTCATTACTAATGCTGCTAAATTGATTCAGGACTGAGGTCAAGTTTGGTAACTGCATTAACTTTCAAACTGGTATTTTCCACAGTATCTACTACAGTCTTGATTATTTTGCATGCCAATATTTATGGAGTTAGTGGATCAAACCCAATTATAAAGGGATTAGATATGTGTCTTATAAAATTTAGATAATTAAAGGGAAATACATAGTACATACACATTTGAAAAGACAAATGTGGGAAAAAAGGCTCATATTCACAAATAACCAAAACATTATCTGTGTGTTAAGCACTATACTACATATTTATATACATATGCTCATTTGATTAAAAAAAAAAAAAGCCTGTAGGGCGGTTGCTTCACATATCACTGATTAGTCAACTGAGACTCAGGGAAATTTAGCCCAAGGTCACAAAACTAGAAAGTGGAGGATTCTAAACTCAAAAGCATGCCTGTCTAGGTTATATATGGCGTACATTTAGTTTAACATTAACAGCAAACCTCAAGTTTGTATGTATTACCAGGTTTTGGGCAAAAGAATGTTTTGGCTTATAAAAATACCACTAAGTTCTGTCAAAGTAAGGCAAATTACTTAATGATAATTAGGTCTTCATCCCAAATTCTTCTGCCTTTGCCTGAGAAATTGATTCATCAAGAGTAGGGGAAGGCAGCAGGGTGCTAGAAGCAGTGGAAGAGGGCTGAATCCTAATTAAAAACTGGTGCTGCTTGTTCAGAAAGTGTGTTCAGAATCAAATGGAAACCATGAGTTGCCTGAAAATCATACAGAAACCATGAGTTCCTCAGAAAGAAATACTACGCAAGAAAAAATGGGAGCCCAACAATAGCTAAGTGAGTTTCTTACAGGGAGTTTTTTACAACACATTAATCACCAGATACACCAACCATGAGGAACAGCATCCTGCCTTGGGATGGGGTAAATAGGAGTTGCTACGGCATTTGATATCTACTGATAGCAATTGATATCTATGGGTTCATAACTCTGATTAAATATAACTCTCCTCTTTTTTAAGTGCCTACTAGCAAGCGTTATCAATGTAGATGAACTACAGTGGAAAGACTAGGATGAACACAAAAGTCTAGAAGTTCTTCTAAGTCATTGACAGGGCTAGTAATGAACTAAGATGTTACTGATGAAAATGTACTGTGCACATAAAGGGCAAATAAAGAGTGAGAACCACAGACCTAGAGAAAGGCTGACTAGAACAAGTCATAATGTTATTTTCCATTGAACCTTTATAAACTAAAATGCCTGATGGGAGACAATAAATAGATACTATTTTCCCAAAATGAAGGGCATTATTCCTAATTTTTCAAGAGCATTATAAATGTCATTAGATATTTGCAAAAACGGGTCAAAGATAAATGTACAAAGCTCCTAAGTGTAGCAGAAATGTCACTTAGCTTAGTGTTTTCTGCTTGAAAGAGCAACAAGATGCTACTTATATAATAATGCAGTAGTTGTACCTACAAAATAGGTAATACATCTGTAGAACTCTGTTCCCTTTTATTCCACTTTGTCTTCATTTCATAAATTAAAAACATAAAGTGCCATTTTAAGGCAGTGATATCCAAATTTTTAAATCACACACCCTCCAGGTAGAAAAGTTTTGAGAACACTTAATATATATATATGAATTTCTTTGTAAATTATAACCAAGAAGTGCTATACTATTATAAAACTTACACAAAGAGAATTTATGAAGGATGAGAAAGAGATGAAATAATTAAAAATTTAAAAAGATTTCATGATTATTATTTTCTGAGATAGAGTACTGCTCTGTCACCCAGGCTACAGTGTAGTGGCATGATTACAGCTCACTACAGCCTCGACCTCTTGGGCTCAAGTGATTTTCCCACCTCAGCCTCCCGAGTAGCTGGGACTACAGGAATGCACCACCACATCTGGCTATTTTTTTTTATTATTTGTAGAGACGGGGTTGGCCTGTGTTGCCCAGCTGATCTCAAAATCCTGGGCTCAAGCGATCCTCCCACCTCAGTCTCCCAAAGTGCTGGGATTAAGGCATAGGCTATGGTACCTGTCCAAAACATATTTTAATTACTTATGCTAGAAAATATCCATTGACTGTAGTTTAAACATTTAAAAAAACTTATAAAAATTGTGATATTAGGAATTTGAGGGTTTAATTTTAGGTTCATTTCATTTTTCTTTAGAGACAGAGTCTTGCTCTGTTGCCCAGGCTGCAGTACAGTGGTATGATCATACCTCACTGCAGCCTCAAACTCCTGGGATCAAGTGATCTTCCTGCCTCAGCCTCCCGAGTCGCTAGGACTATAGGTGCACACCACCACGACTGGCTAATTTTTAAATTTTTTGTAGAGATAGTGTCTTGCTGTGTTGCCCAGGCTGGTGTCGAACTCCTGGCCTCAAGCAATCCTTCTGCCTTTGCCTCCTAAAGCTCTGGGATTACAGGAGTGATTACGGGCCACTACACGTGGCTCTAAGTTCATTTTTGATAATTAGTTTGAATGGCTATATTAGTTGCAAAGATTTCATACAGATTCATGGAGCCAATGAAATAAATGCATTGTTAACTATGCCTACTCAATCAGAATGCCTAATTTTAATGTAATTTACTAATTATGCTAAGGCTTTCATTGAAATTCTGTAGTAAAATTCCATCTTTACTGATGTTCTTGCGAAGTTATTAGGAAGTGCTGCATTACAATGTTTTGAATAGATTCAAAATCTACCCTAAAACCAAATTAAGGAAGGCTTTTGAACAGGTGAGAAAATTCTGTTTTTATGTGTTTAAATTATGTAGATATGACGGCTGGGTGATTCATTTATATCATTTTTCAGCAAAATCACAGAAAAGTGAACATTTTCTAAAAATCTATGTTCAAAACGTTCTCTTCATTTTTTAAAGTTTCTTTTAAAAAAGCAGTTATTTTATCATTTACCTAAAGTGTGTAACTTTTACCTTTAAGGATCTGATTATGTTTCCTTTTTAAAGGGTATCTACATGCAAGTCATGGTCATTTGTCCTCAGAGAACTATTAACAAATTTTGAACCCTTTTATTTTCATTAAAAAGAACACAACTATGACAACACCTTAAAATACTACTTCACAAAATAACCAGACCACCTTTTTACACTATAAAAGCATGTCAGGGTCACTCCCTGTGTCCCTTGTCAGGGTCACTACTCTGATCAAGTATGATATTTATAAAAGTTCTACCATTTAGGATAATATCCATAAATTCAACTCATTTGGACACAAGTAAAGTACACTATGCCAAAATATGCTGAAAGGGAACAAACAAGTGAGTTTGCCACTGTCAATCCCTCGATACTAACAAGTCCCACTCTTACCTCAGGAAACCTTGACATCACGAGTCACAATGGCTGACACGTGGACCTAGTGAGAGTGCTGGCATCATCTTTGTATTCAATATTGGTAAATCTGAATTTCCTTATTCTTAAATAAAAGTATTATAAATTGAAATGCTAGGATTTTTCCAACAGGGCATCTTGTATGCTCCATAGGGAGTCTATACCCTACTTTGGAGACAACTGCTTTGAAATATACATTCTTGAGAATGAAAAAATCTATAATTTCAAGTCACCTCTAAAAAACAACCAGTTTGCTTCTTTCCTCTCTTAAGTGCTTGACAAAGTTTCAGACTACACCATTCAGAAAATGCCAGTAAAAATTATTAAATATGTCATATTTCTTTAGTGTAGAGGTTGAGAAAATTATTACAAATCTGAAGGCATACAATTTTTTTTTTTGAGACAGATTCTCACTCTGTCTCCCAGGCTGGAGTGTAGTGGCGCAATCTCAGCTCACTGCAAGCTTCGCCTCCCAGGTTCATGCCATTCTCCTGCCTCAGCCTCCTGGGTAGCTGGGACTACAGGCACCCGCCACCACGCCCGGCTAATTTTTTGTATTTTTAGTAGAGACGGGGTTTCACCGTCTTAGCCAGGATGGTCTCCATCTCCTGACCTCGTGATCCACCTGCCTCGGCCTCCCAAAGTGCTGGGATTACAGGCGTGAGCCACTGTGCCTGGCCACAAATGTTTTTTAGAATAAGTAGAGCTATTCTGATGCTATCATTTAACATAATTTATTTTCTGATAAACTGTTATTCAAGTGGACACTATCAAAATATATCCGTATAGTATTAACTGAAAGTAATGTAAAGATGAAATCTATTTCAAATGACTATAGCTATATTTTGTTGCTTTACAGAAGGGTGACATTAAAGGATCAAGAAACACGGGTAATTATTTTTATTAGAAACAAGATCTAAATCAGCTTTATAGGAGAATCCATGAATTTAAGTACGAACTAATAGTCCTTTATAAAATTAGTTTCTTCAGAAAAATCGGAGAGAGAGAAGCAGTGTTAAGAGCAGCTGGCTGCTCAGTGCTGAGTCTGGCACTCTGCTCAGGTGTGTGCCTCACCTTGGCGCCATGCTTATGCAGAACTTCCATGACATCATTATGGGCTCTTTCGGCTGCAACATGCAGGGGAGTCATGAAACTACAGAAAAGAGGAAAGAAAGAAAAGGTAATTGTCTCTCTTTTATTGCATTTCCTCTTTAGGAACTGAACAACTCCTTCTGCAATTATACTTACTCTTTATTTTTTTCATTAACATTTGCTCCTTTTCTAAGTAACAATTCTGTCACTTGTTTACGTTTGGGATGCAGAGAGGCCACAGCACAGTGCTATAAAGTAAACAAAACCAAGTTAATAAAATACACTTCCATATGTACAGTAGCTCTTGGAATTGAACAGTATCTGCTGACCATTTAAAACATTGTTATCTCAGAGTATCAGAACATATGTATATGTTTTATATCACAGAGATGATCCATATTCTTTCTACGTATAGTGGAAATACAAAACGTAAGCGTTTAAACCAAGGTGAAATTATGCTCTTAAACATTAAGAGAGATCTTATTTCTTTTGGCTTAGCCAATCAATAAATATTCACTATATATTCCATGGAGAGCATCATAATACGTATGCCTCTGCAACGCTACAGAAATCTATAACTAAGTTACTCAATCTTTCATTAGGCCATCAGCCACACAAGTCAGTATTTCTAAGCTCTTCTACAGAGGTACTCCCAGCACTACAGGAGACGTTTATATGCCCAAGGATAAGCAAGAAAATGATAGAACTGAAGCAGTTTAGAGAAAAATATTCTCAGAAATTTTAGGTTTTAACATAATATTTATACAACTTTTTTATTCTGCTTCATTTTAATATTCGTATTAAAATTTAAAAATAAAAAACTACTTTCAACTAAATAAAATGAAAACTCCAAAAAAGTGGGTCAGGTTTATTCTGTGGCTATGAATATCTCCTAGCATAACACCGTGTAGCTTGAATCTATCTCAACCCTAGTTTGAGAGACATGTATTTAAGTGTACATATAGTTAGCCTATTTCAGTTTGGTCAATCCTTTAATGTTGTTTTATGCAGATACTGACAAACGTTTGATCTTTTGTGTCAAATATACGTAAGAATATTAATTAGGTATATTTAAGGTCTGTGATGCAGGCATCACATATGCTTAAATTCTGAATTTAGGAGCGATCACTAACCACTCTCTAGCTGAGCCTTAATGTGTCAATGACAAAGAAAATAAATAAATCTTTCCGAAAGTGCATTTGAAGAAAAAAACGTGGATAGTTTTAAGAATAATTTGTATAGTATCAAACAAAAAATTCATGATCTTGCCATTTTTCTACCATGAATATAATCAGTTCTTTGAATACAATTGCTCAAAAAGATAATGCAAATATCTAAAAATATACTTTAATCTTCTACAGAAGGAAATCTAGTATTTATCTAGCAAACATAAGAAAAAAAAATTCTATTGAAAAATCATATCTTGTAGTTTATGAAAGCACTGGCCACAAAAGTGGATTTGTTATAATGAGGTGGGGAAGACAAAGGTAAAATAATTTCCAAATTGAGGTTGAGCAAATGTCAATTCTCTCACCCATGAAAAGAATCACCCCCCAAACTAAGTTTAAAAATCAATGCAACCAAAATTAACATGCAAATTCCTGGCATTTCAGATACTAAAGTTACTTTAAGGTTTCTGAAATGAAAATCATATTTTGTGCTTACGTTATTATTATAGACACAGGGAATAGATTAACAATAAAATCTTACCAGTGCTGTTTCATGAGACTGCGGTTGTTTGAAATTAATGATTTCCAGAGCGAGTGTTTTTTTAACTTTAGCTAAGTCTGCTTCTCTGGCTGCTTGTAGTAAAGAATGACCTTTAAATTCATCTGTCAATGAAACAATGGTTGACATAAAAAAAGATGTAAAAATGTATAAAAATCTTCAGCATGATTATAAATAAGTAGGAATATTATTATTTTATGAATTTCTCTATTTTAACAACAGCAGCAATGTGATAATATGATGATAAAAATGCAAAAGATGAGGATGTAGATTAATGTGAAGTATGTATGCTCTGAAATAAGACTGTTTCACACTCTCAGAGTCATAAAGATACACCTATAAAGATACTTATTGCAGCAAAATTTTGAAACAGGAAACCTAAATGTCCACCAAAAGGAAACCAGTTAAATAATTTGTGTGCACATATGCTGTAACACTTTCTAGCTCTTAAACAAGAGATAGGTCTACATACACTGACATGAAAGTATACAGTGGTACATGAAAATTCAAAAAAGAAAGGACAGGCTGATGCATTATTTTTGGTATTGTCACTACTCTTGCTACTACTATTGCCACCATAAGTACACCATAAGTAATGGTATAGAAAACATTTACAGAAATATTTACCAAAATATCAATGGTGATTAGGTCTTGACACAGAAAAGGAAAGGACTAAAATATGGGAGAAATGCAGAGCTTGAAAATTTTTCAAAGAACAATTAATAGCTTATTATTTTCATAACCAGGTGAGAGATTTTTTGAAAAGCTGTATCTAAATTAATTGCATGAATGAGAATCCAATATTTTTATATCTTTAACTATGCTGAAACAAAAAGTTTATTTAAAAAACATTTGCATGTATATATTGGTAATATATTCAGAAGATGACCTCAACCTAATTATTTTTAAAATCTCACTTAAATATGGGAAAGTGATTATACTTGGGTCATAACACACATGACAAATAAAAATATGATTGTGCAGCCTTGCAGGGCTCGGGAAATGGGGAGGGCTCAATAATGCTAGATACCTGTCACTGTCAATGGCACAAGAACGTAAGCCCATAAGAGGTTTCAATAATGCTAGATACCTATCACTGTCAATAGCACAAGAATGTAAGCCCCAGAAGCTCAGAGCTTTTTAATGGTTTGTACACTGCTATATTTCTAGTGCCTGCCACATTGCAAGTATCCAAGAAATGGATGCTGATTGACTCATCCTCATTAGCCTTCAAAAAACCAAAAAAGGAGCTTCAACATACGAATTAAAACTAGGCTCGAATAAATACAATATATACAAAAAGTGTCTGTATATAACATTCCCATGGAATTCATGAAGAAAAGTATACAATTAGAAATGAGGATTATGAATTAGTCTGCTTGTAAGAATGGAAGGTTATTATTTAAGGTAGATAAAACTCAACAGAAATTAAATATTCCAATTTATGCGATAATGATTTCGGGATATAAATACGTACAAGTCAATCTCTCCCTAAGCTCCGGAGTTGGAGCCATATCCACAGCACTTTTGCCATGGCAGTTGACTAATGTAGGATCAGCGCCATGGCTAAGTAACAAAGAGCAGACTTCTACACGGTTCTTGGAAGCAGCCTCGTGCAGTGGAGTAAACTGCCAGAGATCCATGGCATTAACACAAGCTCCATGCTGAATTGAGAAAAAAAACATTTTAGGTCAGTAATCATTTTGCTGGATCAAATAAAACTCAAAAGACATTTATTTCTTTGTAAATTTCAGTTATAACTTGTTCAAATAAGTGTTTTAATTTCTTCAATATCACCTTTCAAAAACAGCTGAAATTAAATTCAATGTTTTAAAAATTTTAAGGCAATGGTAATATGTTTAAAAACGTATTTTATTCTCTTAAAATCTAAAAAAACAAGACTGGGCAACATGGCAAAACCTCGTCTCTACAAAAAACATAAAAATTAGCTGTGCGTGGTGGCACACCCCTGTAATCCCAGCTACTGGGGAGGCTGAGGGGGAGGATCACTTGAACTTGGGAGGTTGAGGCTGCAGTGAGCTGTGAATGTGCCACTGCACTCCAGCCTGGGTGACAGGGCAAGACCCTGTCTCAAAACAAACAAACAAAAAACCCCAAAGAACTAAACAAACTTTCATGAGGCCGAAAGTATGGAAAGTCATGACAAGGTAAAGAAAAAAAAAAAAAGTAAATGATGCTCAATATTCTGAATTTCTCTTACCTTTAGTAGCAGTTCTGTGACTTCATAATGTCCATATGAACATGCATTATGAAGAGGCACAAGTCCACTAAATGAAAAGAGGCAAATTAAAATACTTAAATTTCAAACAACTTATTTATCCATGTCGTACTAAGAAATAAAATCCAATAAATCCCAATACAATTATTTTAAAATATTTAAAAGTATTTAATAAAATAATAAAAGAATTCAAAGCATAGCTTATGTTCACACCTTTTGTATTTATCTTGTTTTTTGTATATAATCCTTGAAGATAATGAAAAAAATACCAAATAGAAGAACATTTTGGCGAAAGGAAGATCATATGCTAATTGACAAATGCATGCATTATATATTAAGTATTTACAAGAAATAAATGTTAATTGGTAGTGAACTGAAATATTCCACCATTTTAATTCACTTTAATGGTAATTTCTAGCAAAATAA
Source organism: Homo sapiens (assembly GCF_000001405.40). Taxonomy (NCBI): domain Eukaryota; kingdom Metazoa; phylum Chordata; class Mammalia; order Primates; family Hominidae; genus Homo; species Homo sapiens. The sequence goes on along the minus strand of NC_000008.11, from coordinate 9,705,809 downwards.
TCAAATATCCAAACTATTATAACTTGCATATCAAAGTATTCTAAATAAACCAAAAAAACCCTTTTTTTGTGGTGTACATCTCTTGATGACTCACCTATTGTACACCCATCTGTTTTCAGACATGCACAAGGAAATAGAGATGTACAAGAGCATCAGGCATTTATGCCCCTATACTACTGGGACACCATTCACATATGGCACAAAACCTGGTGCAGGCAAGAGAACAGCACCAGAAAAAGCAGATTGGAAATGGAAGAATTCTTCTGGTAAGTGTCTCAAGCATTGAGTTCATTTTTATGTTTCTTGACTTGGGGAGGGACAAAGTGAAAGAAACTCTCCTCTAGGGCATCTCTTCTTTATGCTGTCAGTCACAAGACTGTAACATAATCTACCTTACCTGGGTAGTAGGGTTAATTATCTTTCAGATCTTAAAGTGGGGCAATGAGAAATGTTAGTCCACCACATAGGACAGCAAACCCAATGATCGTATATCTCTGGAGACTTTACAGGAAACTGATACAAAGTTTTCAAAAATGACCTACTGGTAAAATAAATGACATAACTGCTTTTTTAGTTACCACCCATATCCCCTCACATCAACCTTCTAGGTTTTCTCAGTTTAGATGTCCAAGATTTCACCAGAAAAAAAATTTGGTATTGTATACTTATGATTTTGGTTTATCAATAAAGGATGATCCTTTACTATCTGTTGAATCTGATAGCTATGCTACTGGATTTTCATAATTTTCAATTTGTTTTATTTTTCTAAAATGCAATTTAAGAGTTGAAAAACCCTAACTGCAACTGAGACACAATTTCAACTTCAAGTAACAGAACGGTGATAAAATTAAATTGATTTGGGAAATTATTATGAGAAGTATCCTTAATTAAGTAGGTACATGAAAATAAAGCCTCAAACCAGAGTTATGAACATTCTTAAAACGTTATGTAAGCCGTAACAAATGGGACATATGACTTTGTCTAGTGTTTTAAAAGTTTAGAGTATCAGACAAAAAACAAAGCACTGACAGGAAGTAAACTGATAGACCTACCCTTTGTCTTTTGCATGAACATCAGCACCATGCTGAAGAAGAAGCTGAACTATTCGAACTCTGTTGTAGCCCGCTGCTAGATGTAAAGGAGTCGACTAGAAAAGAAAAACATCCCCTTTTCAGGTAAAAACAAACAAACAAAGAAAATCCTTGCTTTGCCATTTCAGATTTAAACACAATGAAAGTTGACACAAAAATACTGCGCTGAAATGTCAAAAATTCACATTTCATAACTTAAGGAGAGATAATTTACTGCCCTCAGGAGTCAATACTAACTTTAGTGCCATCCACCTATTTCACTTACTTGTTTTTTTAAGGCCATCAGTAATCAAACCTTACCCTACCTATTCTACATGATTTCCTATTTCTTTCCAACATGAAACATTCTCACTGTTCTGAGAAGACACACCAGGGCTCATGTTTCCTATAATTGGAAACATTCTTCCTTATCCTACTTAAATCCTGTCCTCCTTTCAATTTCTAACCTTCAAATCCCAATTCTACCATAAAACTTTATCTAAAGATCTAGCTCTCAAAATTTCTTTAATAGGAAAGATTGAAAAACATCCCTAAAGAACAATTTGAACAAACTTTAATGGAAACAAAAAGGACAATGGGCCTTATTCATTCTGTACGGCGGCTAGTAATGGTCAAAACTAATTTGCTACACTGGGTGCAATGATGTATACCAAGGTAGCATTTAATTCTTCCATTTTATGTACCACATACACAGTGTAAAGACAAGAGAGGAATACAGTTTCTTCCCAGCTAATTTCTGCCACATTGTAATTTGAGTCAAGTTATTAGAAGGTTCTCTACTAAAATTTAGTATGGTAATTAAAATAATCAAACTTCTCACCTTTTAAGAATCAGAAATAACTTCACTTTAATTAAAAACTTCTCTGCAACCATAGCAATTTTCCACCTTTGCTAATTTAAAGTTTAAATACCATAACGGGTTTTTCATACAGGCTTTAATATACTTTAATGCATTCCCTTTCATTTTTCCTGTCTTCTATTTGGGGTCTTGAGATTTAATAAGATTTTTAATTTATTTGCTTCACCTATTCCAGATGTGAAGATACAAAAGAAGTACTAAACACTGTACTACTATTGCTTTTGAGATATTTCATACATTTTACATATTCTGTCAGTCTCTAAGTTTAGAAAATATTTTGAGCAATGCACAGCTATCAACGAGGAGACCATTCAGATTAGAAGAGTCCTGAACAGGAAGTCAGGAAACCTGACTACATTCCTGGAACTTATTATGCAACCCAGTGGAAGTCATGCTACTCGTGTGTCTCAGCTTCTTCATGTATAAAATGGAGATAAAATCACTCATCCTCGCTATCTGAAAAACCTGTGAAAATACAGTACAATTTCACTTACCTGTGGTTAATTTTAGTCTGAAAATATTACTTGTGGAATTCCAGAAACAAACAATTGATAAGTTTTAAGCTGAGCACTATTCTAAGTAGCCTGATGAAATCTGCCCACTTTGTGCCACCTTGGATGGGAATCATCCCTTCCTCCAGCATATCCACACTGAAGATGCTACAAATTAAGTAGCCATCTCAGTTATGAGATCAAAAAACCATATATAGGGTTTGGTACTATCCGAGGCTTCAGGCATCTACCGGGCTCCTGAAACGTTATCTCCCGAGGATAAGGGAAAACTACTGTAAAGTTTTCACCCATACAGAAACACATTTTTGTTTCTTTTTTGTTTGTTTGTTTTTTGGATGGAATCTCACTCTGTTGCCCAGGCTGGAGTGCAGTCGCTTGATCTCGGCTCACTGCCACCTCCGCCTCCCGGGTTCAAGTGATTCTCCTGTCTCAGCCTCCCGAGTATTTGGGATTACAGGCGCGCACCACCATACCCAGCTAATTTTTGTATTTTCACTTGAGCTGAGGTGTCACCATGTTGGCCAGACTTGTCTGGAACTCCTGACCTCAAGTGATCCACCCGCCTCCACCTCCCAAAATGCTGGGATTACAGGCGTGAGCCACTGTGCTTTTTTAAAATGTAAAATGCCATGTAAAAATAGGCAACTAAAATTTTTTATCATCAAACATGTCCAGCTAAGTTTCTGCTTTGAGATCCATGTCAAATGCTACTGCAAATGATACTGTCAGGGAGTATCAACTTACTTTCAGGACTCTTCACTCTCATTTTAGAAGAATACTTCTGCTGGATAATGAAGTTTAGTTAACTTTTTTCCTTCCTTTAATATTTTAAGAATGTTATACCACTGTCCTCTGTCTTGCTTTGTTTCAAGCCTAGAAATCTGTTACCCTTATCTTTGTTCCTTTGTACATGTGTTTTTTCCCCTGTGGATACGCTAATATTTCCTCTACATTAATATTTCACTGACTTAAAGCAATTTGATTATGATGTGCCTTGGTATAGTTTTCTTCGTGTGTGTATGTGTGTGTGTGTGTGTGCACGCACACGCATGCATGCCCACAATTGGAGCTTGCAGTGCTTCTTAGACCTATATAGTTTTCACTAAATTTGGAAAATTTTTAGCTATGATTTCATCAAATATTTTTTCTGCTCCCTCTCCTATTACTCTCACTAGGGAATTATTCCCACTAGGGACTTCAATTACACAAATATTAGGTTAATTTCAAAGCTTGCTTCTAGGCTTTGGTAGGCAGGGCCAGAGCAGCCTTTAGTGTAGGACAGATTTTCCCCTACTACTGAGGCATTGTCCTTTGATGACACCCAGTGAATTATGAGGGCTTTTTACTATGGCTGGTGGCAACAGAAACTATTACAGACTCTGTGTGAGTTCCTAGGCTTGTTACCTCTCATCTTTCCGTGTGGTTCTTTTACTAGCCTCAAGCAGTCTCCTCACCCATGTGTTACTCAGTACTTATCTGAACACTGTAAGGGGCCCCTGTGTGTATCTCCCTTTCCTGGCCCACTGCCTTGCTAACTCCTTCCACCTTAGTCTCCCCAAACTCCCAATTTCATCTCCTCAACTCAGGGAGACCATCAGGTTCCTCCTGGTTTTCCCCTCCTTGTGTTAAGGCCTGGAAATTCTTTGGAGGCGGTAAGTTGGAGTTGTTACCCTCTCTCAGGGATAATTACCATGTACTGCCTGATGCTCAATGTCTGAAAACCACTGTTTCATACATTTTGTCTATTTTTCTCAGAGTTTCAGGAAGCAAGGTAAATCTAGTCCCTCTTATTCTATCTTGGATTCTTTCATGACTGAATTGGACTTTTCATTGCAGTTTGAAAACTTCCTCCACAGACAAGGACTGCTTTGGAGGACTGGTCAGTAAGTCAGCAAGCTAGTATAGCACATAGCTAATATTTAATATTACATAAAAAGGGTCACATCTTTCTTGCTTATGAACAAAAAGATGCTCCATTTTCGTATTATCTTTTACACAACTTTCTTTGTATAAAGTTCATTCAGTAACTTTTATTTCTTATTCCTGAAAATGAACAAAAGTTCTCAAATGAATGAATGCATATGAAAACCTACAGTTTATTTAAAAGGGCAGGTCGGGCATGGTGGCTCACGCCTGTAATCCCAGCACTTTGGGAGGCTGAGGCGGGCGGATCACGAAGTCAGGAGATCGAGACCATCCTGGCTAACACGATGAAACCCTGTGTGTCTCTACTAAAAATACAAAAAATTAGCCAGGTGTGGTGGCGGGCACCTGTAGTCCCAGCGACTTGGGAGGCTGAGGCAGGAGAATGGTATGAACACAGGAGGCAGAGCTTGCAGTGAGCAGAGATGGGGCCACTGCACTGCAGCCTGGGCGACAAAGCAAGACTCCGTCTCAAAAAAAAAAAAAAAGGGGGCAAAACATAAGAAAAATTTAACTAGTTTTCAGATTTTAAAAAATCATTTAATTGTAAGATTTACAATGCTTTGAAAACAGTAATATATTTAGTTTTTAAACTACTGAAATTTATATAACTCAAATAAATTAGCAGGCTCTGTAATTAAGGTAGAAAGTGACAGGAAGTCGGTGAAAAAATGGAGTTGAAGGGTGAGTTTTCAAAAACTATTAGGAAGCAGAATTGATAGCCTCTGAGAAATGACTGATCTAGCTAGTGAGAGATAGAGTAGTTTCCAGGTTGGAAATGCCAATGACAGAAGAACAACAGAAAAAAAAAAAGAAGGGAGTGTAAGGGAAAGGAGAGCCCAGAGGGAAATAATGTGAGGTCTGGGTTTACTGAATTTAAAGTGCCTAGATGATACCCCAGTGGTAATGTCAGAGAGAGAGACTTACACGTATGGCACTAGAATTCAGAAGAGGTTAAGGCTAAAACAAAAATCTGGTCATCACTAGCATTCACCTAAAATATGTGAATTTCTACCACGTATCTGACACCACGTTAAGTGCTAGGGATAGCAATGAAAACAAGGAAAGCGAAATCAGTATTTTGAGCTTATGGATCTTCTTCTTTCTCAAAATCACACCAAGTTTGATTCTCTAAAGGAAATGCATATAAATGAATTCTTTATTCAGAAGGACAAAAGATGAGGAAACAGAAGTCTACATTTTAAGGAGTCAAGTCACTAGAGAAAGCAGGCAATACAATATAAATGCTGTGGATGTGGACAAATCCCATGGAAGGGGAGTTCAGGACACCCGGGAAGGCTGGAGGATGCTGGTCTAAACCACTCTAGAGGCAAGCAGAGGGAAACGGGGCCAGGGAAGATTCTCAGAAGAAACGCTTTCTGAGCTGAGACTTTGGATAAACAGAATCACTGAGGCAAAAGAATAAGAAACTATTCCAGGTTGTGTGAAGAATCCATGTTAATATTCAGTGGACAAGGTATATTTGAGAAACTTAAGAAAAATTCAGTGGCTAAGTGTAGTGTATGAGACTGGGGAGAGCCTAAGAATAATGAGAAATCACTGAAAGACTTGAAGCAGAAAATTACTTAAGATTAGAGTCTTGGAAAGATCACTTTAGTTACTAAGTGGAGAATAAAGCTGAAGAGAGAGAGCAAACTCTATGGCAGGAAGGCCTGAACAGAAGGGTACAGGACTAATCCAAGAGAGAAATGATGACGCTGTCAGCAAAGTGGCAGCAGCATCTAAGTAGGAGTAGCTGAGCTATGAGAGTGGTGAATTCACAAGAAGGGTGAGTGCAGAACAAGCTGGGTGAGACTTTCCAAGTCATCATTCCCATGTGAATGCTAATCCTGCAACTTATATAGCATCACTAGAAGGCACATAGAAATAAATAAAATGCATGCAATAAATTTGAGAAAATGGCAGACTGCAAAGAGAAAAAGAACAGACAAATTGAGAAAAAAAAGGATGATTTGCGCAAACTCATGCCACTAAAAGCCCTGAGGTTTTTCAAACTTTGGGAAAAAAGAAATTTACAACTGCTATTTACCAAATGCTGTCTCCTGATCCAAAGCAAAAAAATCACACACCCTAGGACTAAACCTAGTGAATGGTTACCACATAGTGCCAAATTTATATCTCAACTGCCAAATGGCAAAGCAATGGTAAAAGTAATTTTCTAATTGCTAGGATAATTAACAGAGTATCATTTGTTTTAGATAAATAAGGCAGCCCCATTTCTAAAATACACATGTTGCTACGTAATTTGATGATGGTTGTAAACTAGTAAACACAAGCATCAAACATTTAGGACATCCACATACACAGCACAGCAATCACTGCCAGTTTCTACACCTCTGATTTATTCTAAAAACAGACGTTTCTGTTAGGATCATTTTAAAAGACAAACATGTAAAGTAAATTATGGAACAGACACAAATACAAAAGCTATCTAAATATTATTCTGCTGTAAGATAAATCTTATCACTGATATCTTCATATCATAAAATGTTAACAGAAAAAAAGGTCTTAAGGAAGTCCTATAAATTAAAGATGTCTTCTTGGATTCAGGCTATAAGAAAAAACAAACTTGCATTTGTCTATCTTTGCCTTTTCTCATATAGATTTGCGGTGCAGTATAAAGCATTTAAGGTAGTTTTAATTTTTCCTATACAACCATGCATGTAAGGCATAGCTAAAATAGTGACAACTGATAAGCCTTTTGCAAAGCTGTGGCTTCAACGTAAGTCCAGGAAGCATGGCATGCAAAAATGAATAAAGGCTTTTAAATCCTGGTTTTGCATTCTGGCTTTGGAAATTTTACTAGGTATTTGTGTTAATTTATTAACGTCTCTGCGTCCGGGCTTCCAACATCTGTGAAGTGGGAAGTGTAATCCCTATCACACAGGAATGTTTTACAGATTAAAGATAACTGTACAAAGTACATAATACGGTATTTATCACATTGGAAAAACTCAACAAATGATAGTTATTATTTATCATCATCTTATTAAGTTGCTTATATACTTAAGCTTTTTTTTTTTTTTTTTCATTTTAAAATTTAACTTTTAGATACAGGGGGCCATGTGCAGGTTTGTTACATGGGTATACTGCAGTCAAGTAGTGAGCATGGTACCCAATAGGTAGTTTGTTCTTGAACCTGTGCTGCCCGCTCTAGTAGTCTGCAATGTCTACTGTTCCCATGTTTATGTCCACGTGTGCTCAATGTTTAGATCCCACTTATAAGTGAGAACATGTGATATGTAGTTTTCTGTTCCTACATTAATTCGTTTAGGTTAATGGCCTCTGGCTCCATTCATATTGCTGCAAAGGGCATGACTTCATTCTTTTTCAGGGCTGTGTGGTATTCCATGGTGTATATGTACCACATTTTCTTTATCCAATCCACCACTGATAGGCACCTAGGTTGATTCCATGTCTTCGCTATTGTGAATGGCATGGCAATGAACATACAACTTCATGTATCTTTTTGGTATGATAATCTATTTTCCTTTGTGTATAGATCTAGTAATGGGATTGCTGGGCCTAATGGTAGCTCTGTTTTAAGTTGAGAAATTTCCAAACTGCATTCCACAGTGTATAAGCATTGCTTTTTCTCTGCAAATTTGTCAGTATCTATTGTCTTTTGACTTTTTAATAACAGCCATTCTGAGTGGTGTGAGACAGTATCTCATTGTGGTTGTGATTTGCGTTTCTCTGATGATTAGTAATGATAAGCATTTTTTCATGTTTGTTGGCTGCTTGTATGTCTTATTTTGAAAAATGTCTGTTCATGTCCTTTGCCTACTTTTTGATGGGACTGGTTTTTGCTTTGAATTAAGTTCCTTATAGATCCTGGATATTAGACCTTTGTCAGATGCATAGTTTATGAGTATTTTCTCCCATTCTGTAGATTGTCTATTTACTCTGCTGGTAGTTTCTTTTGCTGTGCAGAAGCTCTTTAATTAGGTCCCACTTGTCAGTTTTTATTTTTATTACAACTGCTTTTGGAGACTTAGCCAAAAATTCTCTGCTAAGGCTGATGCTGAGGATGGTATTTCCTAGGTTTTTCTCTAGAATTTTTATAGTTTTAGGTTTTATAATTAAATTCTTAATCCATATTGAGTTAACTTTTGTATATGAGGAAAGGTAAGGGTCCCATTTCATTCTTCTGCATATGGCTAGCCAACTATCCCAGCACTATTTCTTGCATAGGGAATCCTTTCCCCATTAATTCTTTTCGTTGGACTTGTGGAAGATCAGATGATTATAGGTATGTGGCTTAATTTCTGAGCTTCCTATTCCATTCCATCAGTCTACGTGTCTGTTTTTTGTATCAGTGCCATGCTGTTTTCTTTATTGTAGCCTGACAGTATAGTTTGAATTTGGGTAGTGTGATGCCTCTGGCTTTGTTTTTTGCTTAGGATTGCTTTGGCTACTTGGGCTGTTCTTTGGTTCCATATGATTTTTAGAATAGTTTTTTCTAATTTTTTGAAGAATGATGTTGATTGTTGGATAGGAATAGCACTGAACCTGTAAACTGCTTTGGGCAGTATGGCCACTTTAATGATACTGATTCTTCCAATCCATGAGCATGGAATATTATTCCATTTGTTTGTATCATCTCTGATTTCTTTCAGCAGTGTTTTATAGTTTTCCTTGTAGAGATCTTTCATCTCTCTGGGATAGCTATATCCCCAGCTATTTCATTTTATTTGTGGCTACTGTAAATGGGATTGAGATCTTGATTTGACTCTCAGCCTGGATGCTCATGGTGTATAGAAATGCCACTGATTTTTGTACATGGATTTTGTATACTGAAACCTTGCTAAAATCGTTTATCAGTTCTAGCAGCCTTTTGGTGGTGTCTTTACGGTTTTTTATACTTAGAATAAAATCATAGTGTCAGTGAAGAGAGGTAGTTTGACTTGTTTTTTTTCCCTATCCAGATGCCTTTTATTTCTTTTTCTTGCCTGACTGCTCTAGCTAGAACTTCCTCATGTTATTTCTTAGTGGTCATTTATCAGTCCTTATCTTATCTGACCTTATTAGCATTATTTGGTATCGATGATCACTTCTTCCTCCTTAAAATGTTTTCTTCCTTGGCATCTAGTTCACCACACTCCTTATTTTCCTCCTCCCTAGCTGGTTACCCCTTCTCAGTCCTTGCTGGTTGGTTTTCATTCTCTTGACATTGGAGTACTCCAAAAGTCTGTCCTTAAACCTCTTTTCTACATTGTCTAACTCATTCCTTTGGTGAGCTCATGCAGTCTTGTAGCTTTAAATAGCACCCATGAACTGACAACTCCCCAGTTATATCTCCAACCTAGTCCTCTTTGCTAACTTCCATACTGTGGAGGTTACTGGTTACTATATGGAGTAAATGACATATAGTCATATGCTATAATCCAACTGCCTATGTGACATCACTACATGATATATGTAAGACTTCTCATGCTTTTCTCCTGTCTAAAATGGAGCTCCCCCTAGTGCTTCCCTTGAAACATATGCTGCAGAATTTCTTGTTAATGACAACGCCATCCTTTTAGTTACTCAGGCCAAAAACTTTGGGAGTCTTTCTTCATTCCCATCTTTTTCCCACACACTATGCTCAACCCATCAGACTATTTCTCTTGGAGACTATGCCTCCAAAATATATCCAGAATCCAATCACTTCTCACCACATCTACTGTCACCTACTTGAAGACAGTATCCTCTCTCAGCTGGCTAGTGGCAACAGCCTTCTACTAGGTCTCCTTGCTTCCAGTATAATCCCCTTAGAGTAACACAACATGACAGCAGAGTAATCCTGTTAAAACCTAAGTTAGGTATACAAATCTTGTGCTCAAAATCTTCCAGTGGGTCTTCATCTCACTCTAAGAAGAAACTGAAGTGTTTAAAATGTTCTAGAAGGCCATAAGCAATCTCCCTGACTACATCCCATCCCACAACTTTCCAACTTCACCTTTTCCTCTCCCCTTTCTTCACTCCACTCCACTTCATGCAACTCAAATGCCACAATTATCAGTTAGCTAGAACCACTGAGAATTAAAGTAACTTCTGAAAAAATTAAGTCAGTAACAAAATATGAATATTTAATTTCATACATATCTTCTTAATAAATCCAAACAATGATGGAAGGTAAAATCTTCCTAAGGATTAATATTAGAATTAAAAGTTCTTATGGATTCATAATGTAGCTATCTGCTTTGGAAGACCTATATACTGTTATGTGCCTGGAACACAAAAATTTAATGACTACATCTTTTGATTTCCCCACTGAGCAATAAAATCATGACAACTATCAGTATGTCTAGATGTATTATCACATACTTAATCCAAATGGAATTTTAGCATTTACATTTTAATATAAAATATATGTTGTTATCTCACAAATGACTGCTGGGTACATAAGAAAAGGTTTCCTTGCTCTGATAATGCTGGGGAAGTTTTTCAAGTTATAACTACCATCTAGACAGAATAGCCTAGCATCTAGCTCACCTTTCATCTAAAAGCATAAAATATAAATATTTTTAATTTCTTAGGACTATTATTATTATTGAACAAAATTTTTAAATGAGATTCCAAAATACCAATGTTCCATATAATTACCTGTTTTCTTCTTGTTCTGTCTTTGGACAATATCTTTTTTTTTTTTTTTTTGAGACAGAGTCTCGCTCTGTTGCCCAGGCTGGAGCGCAGTGGGGTGATCTCGGCTCACTGCAGCCTCCGCCTCCTAAGTTCAAGCAATTCTCCTGCCTCAGCCTCCCAAGCAGCTGGGACTACAGGCGCCCACCACCACACCCGGCTAATTTTTGTATTTTTAGTAGAGGCGGAGTTTCACCATGTTGGTCAGGCTGGTCGTGAACTCCTGACCTCAAGTGATCCACCTGCCTTGGCCTCCCAAAGTGCTGGGATTACAGGTGTGAGCCACCATGCCGGGCCTGGACAATACTTTTTGAAAGAAAAAAGACTGGTCCTGAAAACACTTGCCACGATCTTTTACTCTTACACATGTTCCAAAATAATAGTTATTTACTTGTGTATCTGTCTCCTAACTCACTGTGAGTTCACTGAGAAAAGAGAACATTCCTTAATTTTATGTTTTAAAGGCTTAACAAAGCACCTTACATATAATAGGGTATTTTTTAAAAAAAAGAATGAATGAGAGTTATTGTCAGCTTTTGATTTACATTTCTAAAGGTCAAGAGAGGACAAGGATAATCCGACATGGTGAATTTAAATTTGTGTGACAAATTTACACTGACACTTCAATACAAGCATGTGTGATGTTCGATGCATTTCCTAAGGAAGAATAAAATCACAACTGTGAAGCTGTAAGTCCTCAGAGAGCCCTCTAAACTGTGACATACAGTGTATTTTGTTTTTCTGTAAGATGAAGAACCAGTTTGGCCTAGACCAACTCCTTTGGGACTTTCTAGATTACCATGACTGACTTGTCCTGATTTGCCCAGTACTTTCCTGATCCTAGGAAACCCATTGATCTCAGCAAACTAAGACGGTTGGTCACCCTACCTTAGCCAGGCAATGTAAATCAGTTTCTTTGTTTCTGGATCTGTCCAGAATGAGAAAATTGTGTGTGCGTGTGCATATGCTATCAGGTGACATATTGTACTCTACTTTTAGTAGTAAGATTGTTCAATGTACCATCAGTTTTGTAATCAGTTTTCTTAAGTACTACCTCTCTGAACTCATGTGTTCTACATATCATCCTTGTAATTTTTTTTAACTTCCTGCATCTTTCTGTGTCCAGGTCTGGCTTCACAAATAAAGTATTGTATATGTATTTTCTCAGTTTAACCAGTCTCAATATCAGTTACTTTACATTTATTCACCATCCTCTCCCCAATAACTCCTTTTTAAATTATAAAATTACCACATTCCCTCTAAAAATTCAAACAGTAGAGAAAATACTATAATATAAACGTTTATTATTTTTTCCCTCCAGCCAAACAAGCCCTCTTCCCAAATGTAATCACTATTTACAGTTGCACAATGATCATTTCAGATATTTTTCCATGTATATGAACATGTATTTGTTTTCTCTCTGAGTTCTTTTTGTTGCTGTTTTTTCCCACACAAATAGGAATGTTATTATATTCTTCTATGATTAGCTTCTTTCCTCTTAATATTAGTACATATCTGTCTGTCTTATTCTTTGTAAGAGCTGTACAGTATTTCCATTGTGTGGCTGTACCATAATTATTTAGTAATGTTCTACTTTTGCTCTGTCTTATCAAAACATATTTCATTTGATCTATCATTTGGTTAAGATCAATAAGTTTCCCTTCTAAAAATAAAATATTACATTAGCCATTAAAATGGAATTCTTAGGAAAATACAATAAACACATAATTAGCTTTATTAAATTTCTATCAGGCACAGAGACATGATTAATCTGCTAAGAAACTAAGAAGCAACGAGCTTAGTAGCTCTTTGAGAGAGTGATATTTAGATGAGAACCCTAAACAAATTAACAGCTAGAGAATCGATATAGGCATGAGTCCATGGAAATAAATATATTTCATTGCTAATGCTGTCTTTCAAAGGGATTTTTAAGTAGTACCATAATGAAGATCAGGCACTCTCATTGAAGTTACTTAACTTTTGGAACACTAGAATGATAATTTAAAAGAGAAACCTTGTGGAAAATAAATATTGATTAACGAGGTGAGATGAAAGGAAAAAAGCTGTTTTATTCACTTCTTTATCAAAAAGTATGACTCCTCCAATTTGTCTCTTCTGCAGATGACATGACTAGATTCTCTAATAGCCGTATGTTTTCTCTCCCATTACGAGTCTTTCTCTCTGGTCCTGGACCTCTTGGTCAGCGGTTCTTTCAAGCACTGTTCTTAGAGCTAAACGCATCTAACGACAGATATAGTCTCATCACAGTGGATCATGGCATGATACTACTCCTAAAACCTAAGGCTGTTTAACATATTAATGTCTTTAATTCACGGTTTTTGTAATGGGGGAGATGGGTGACAACAGTGCTGACTTCCTCACAAAGTTGTCTTCTGGTTAAAATGACACAGAACCTTTACAGCGACATGGATGCAGCTGGAAGCCATTATCCTAAGTGAACTAATGCAGGAACAACAAACCAAACACAGGTTCTCACTTATAAGAGGGAGCTAAACAGTGAATACACCTGAACACAACGATGGGAAAACAGGCACCGGGGACTGCTTGAGAGGGGAGTTGGCCGGATGGCTACCCGTTGGGTATTATGCTCACTACCTTGGTGATGGGATCATTCGTAAGCCAAGCCTCAGTAACGCACAATTTACCCAAGCAACAAACCTGTAAATGTACCCACTCCTGAACCTAAAATAAAAGTAGGGGGGACAACAAGAATCAGAGGAAGGGACAGGAGGAACAAGATAGAAAAAAAAGACATGTAGGATGCAACCAAATTTTTTATATCTGAGATGCTGTAAAATGAACAACAATAATTCATTAGCTGGAGTGTGGCTCTCTATATATCAAATAAATTATTTTGACTTTGATAAAAGATCTTCAATCTGTACTGAGTCTAAGCCAGTGTCCAGTGCAAGATGTAGAAAATAGAAAACATAAGCAATGACTAAATAAAATAAAATGACATAGCATATACAAAAAATTTTAAATACCAATATTTTATTAAAAATAACAGCTAAAATTTGGGCATTTTCTATGTACTAAGCACTTTTCTAAGTGCATTATATGTATTAACTTGTTTATACAGCAACTACCTTAGCTAGAAACACTATTACTTCCACACAACAAATGAGGGAACTAAGGAACAGGGTGATTAACACGGCAAGTTAAAAGCAGAGTCAGGAGTCAAATCCAGGCAGTCTGACTTAGAAACTCTCATTCTGCATTTCTAATTTTCCTTTGTGTGGGGGCTCAGGTTCTAGATAGGATGTTCAGAAATGGACTAATATAGCTGAGGGGCAAGAATTACTCTTGGCAGGCAGGGATCTCCTTGGTTCTGACAACTTTAGCATTCTGATCCATAGGTCAGTAGACATTAAACTCTATCAATAATGACAGTGTGACTGTTCCATTGGATAAGCGCCCCAGAAATGTGGAACTCCTTCATAACAGAAGCTGCCTAAAAATAGTTTAATATAGCAGGACAAAAAAAGAATAACAATATTGAAATTGGAAAGAATAATTGATTCTGCCTCCTTCCCAGTGCAGGATTTTTCTAGATATCTCTAACAGACAGTCACTTGGTCTCTTCTTGAACTAAACTCCCCTGCAGTTACTTCAACTGCTTATTAGAGAAGAATTTTCTGACTACCTTCTTGGTTACACTCTGGTTGGTCAATATCCCTTCTTAAAATGTGACACCCTAAATTGAGCACTAAATCCAAATATGGTCTGATCTAAACAAGCGAGCTCTCTCTCTCTTAAGCAGAACCTGTCAGAGCTGTCATAGCGAAGGTTCTAACACTGCATTGGGAGGTTGAACTAGTTGCCATTAAGTCCCCATCCAAGTAAGATTCTATGAATCCTAGATAGATTACATGAACAGAGATAAAATAGCAATTGATATTTCATAGCCTCAGAAAGGATGTTCTTCCAAAGTAATGGAAGTACTCATCTTTAGGAAGGCATTTTAACAGCTAAAGAATTTATGAAATATAAAACAAGGTTTCTGTAATTCAAGTTGCCACAAATAGTAAACATTATTTATTTATTTATTTATTTACTTACTTACATTTATTCCCAGGTTCAAATGATTCTCCTGCCTCAGCCTCCCGTGTAGCTAGGATTATAGGTGCCTGCCACCCAGCTAATTTTTACATTTTTAGTAGAAGCAGGGTTTTACCATGTTGGCCAGGCTGGTCTCAAACTCCTGAACTCAAATGATCCACCCGCCTCGGTCTCCCAAAGTGCTGGGATTACAGGCGTGAGCCACCATGCTTGGCCAAAAATTTATTTTTAAAGTGAGAATATAAAGGACTATCTTTATTTTAAATGTATGTATTAAGAAGAGAAAGAGAAGGGAAGGGAGAAGAGCAGATAAGATTGAACAAGAAATCCATAGGGTAATCTCTGTGAGAATAAAGCTCTGAATGCCAACTTAATTCAATTTTAACGTCACATTATCATTGTGGAATCTTCAAGGGGATTTTTCAGCGGCCAGCAATTTGTGTTTCTCTTTTCCAGCCTCAGAATCAGCAGAAGAATTAAAACGTGTGGTGAAAATGAGTTTCTAGCATGCTCTCACAAGATTTGTGTGAACAAAAATGCTGAGTACTCTCAAGGTGCAACATTAGGTTTTCATCATCGAATGAGAAATAGCTGGTAGATTTTATGAAAAGAAAAAAATCAAAGGTTTCTTGGTCTGATGTAACTTGATGTTTCACACTTCATGAAAGGAGAAAAATTTTCACACTACCCAAACTGCACATAAATTCCTTTTTGTAACTAATATTTTCAATCTTAGGTTTTCATATCTAAGCATCAAAGATTCTACGTAATGGACAACAGATAGAGGTCTTCTGGAAAGAAGAAACCACTTGCACTGATCGGCATTTAATAATTACATAGGAGGGAATCGGTCCACCTTAGATCATTAGATAGTCATTTTAACTGCAAACTGGGAAAGTGACAAATTCCTTCAGCTGATTTTAATGTGGCTAAGAGCTCTAGGATTCTGCAGATATGCTGTCACCTCAAAGTTCCTTAAGTGATAAAGTCTTTGTTGTTTCTGCATTTCTATAATGAATGTGGCAGCCAAAAACAGCCAGGAGCAGAGACGTCTAGTTCTGTTCCCTGCCCACAGCCTTCTCTCCCAATTCTAATGGGTATTGAACACTGTCTGAAAGTAGATTATTTTATGGAGCATTTTTATAATATTCAAAAGTAGGGTATTATGTTACTATTAACAAATTAAAGCATTTTTTTTATAAAATCAAAATATAAAACATTTTATATTTAGAATTGGTCTGTTTCCAAATTTACCAGTTTAGTTATCCAAATATGCATTTCAAGTGATTATGCATAGTATTTACAGTGCTTTCTTGAAGCTTTACTCTTGATGGCATTCTTAGTAGAGAAAAACATTTCTTTAAATTAGTCACTGAAAACATTCTTTTAAAAGGCAGAATAATATGAAGATTTTTGATACTTCTAGAAATTTGTTTTCATAACACAATCCTAATTTAACTGAATGAGATGAGTGAATGGATTAATATGCATATGTGTGAGACAGAGAAGCAAGCTTGAGTGATAATCTCTTTAATAAAAGGAAAAAAAGGCAGTGATAAAGAAAAAATAACCAGGTTTATTGACTGAATGCTTAGTATTCCCCTAAAATTTATGTTGAAGCCCCAACCCCCAATATGATAGCATTTGGAGACAGGGTCTTTGTGAGGTAATATGGTTTGGATGAGGTCATAAGGGTGGGAACCTCATGATAAGATTAGTGCCCTTCTAAGTACAGACATGAAAAAACTTGCTGGGCCGGGAACAGTGGCTCACGCCTGTAATCCCAGTACTTTGGGAGGCCGAGGTGGGTGGATCACCTGAGGTCAGGACTTCCAGCCCAGCTTGACCAACATAGTGAAACGCCATCTCTACTAAAAATACAAAAAATTAGCTGGGTATGGTGGCGGGCACCTGTAATCTCAGCTACTCAGGAGGCTGAGGCAGGAGAATCGCTAGAACCCAGGAGGCGGAGCTTGCAGTGAGCTGAGATTGTGCCACTGCACTCCAGCCTGGGCGACAGTGCAAGACTCTGTCTCAAAAGAAAAAAAGAAAAGAAAAGAAAAAAAACTTGCTCACCAGAAACAGACCATCTGACCATGCTGGAACCTAAACCTTGGACTTCCCAGCCTTTAGAACTGTGAGAAATAAATTTCTGTTGTTGAAGCTACCCTGTCAATGGTATGGCAATCCTAGCTGACTAAGACACTAGAAATGGTATACAATGAATTAAGAAATAGTTTACATTGGTTTTATATTGTGGCCAAACAATTGTTTTAATAATGTCAATTCAAAGTTACAGATAATTTCAGAATTCTTAAATCCATAATTAACTCATCACTTTCTTTTTGCCATTTCTCATCAGGCTGGAAGAATTTCCTGAAATCAGACTTCTGTTTGCACCTAAACAAGCCTTTTTTTACACAATATAGTCTTTTACTTAAATAACTTTTTGTAGAATACTCTACTGTCAAATGATATTAACTGAACAGTCTGTTCAAACCAAAGGGTACTCAAATCATAATCATTACAGAGATATTTTAAAATATCTTTATCATGTAATATTTAATCCATAGAAACATGTAAGTTATAAAGCATATATTAAAACATCATCCAGCATCCATTCAGTTGGAGAAATGGGACATCGGCAATACCACAGAAGCTGTCTTGTGTGTTTCTTCCTGCTCTTTTTCCTTTGCCCCTCTGTGACATGGGTGTTTTTCCAGCTACTGCTGTAGTTGTAATCCACTCTACTAATGTAAAGTTCGGTTTACTTGTAAAGGCAGAAAGAACACTTTAAACTTCGATTCTAACAATTTTAAAAACAGATGCTGAAGTATCATATTTGTAATTTGGCTTCTAAATTTTTAATAATGACTCACACTCACGGCCAAAGGATTTAGTACCAACTCCCTTCCGGTCCCTTGAGCAGTCTAAAGTGGAAAACAGCAGGAAACTTGTGCTTCTGGATAGGAAGGCAGGACAATTCAAAGCTAGGAGAGTGGCTAAATAGAGGTAAATGGACAACTAAGTTTTATCATCTTGCTGCTTTTTAGCACTGTGGTCGGTCCCCTTCTACTAAAAATTCATTTCTCCAGCAGAGAAAACAGCGCACTTGGCATTGGTACTAATTACCCTTACCAGTAGAAATGTCATGCTTGACAAAATAGAGATTGTTTTCGTAGAAGCAATTCCCTAATGAAAAATAAAAAAGACATTTTCAAGTCCTCATTGGTACAAAATGAATATACATAAGCATAAAGATTTTATACAATATATCCCAACATAAGGAGGCAAGAAAACTTGCTCTAAGGGATTTTGGCACTACAGTAAGATATGCATTGCTCAGCAAGACGTACTCCGAAGAAGTGACTTGATTAGATATATAATTGAACCTGAAGTATTTGAAGAGTTCCCTAATGCAGACTTACTGCATTTTGACCTTCTTGTAATCCCAAGTAGCATCTGAGCTAGGATCCATAAAAGTTGGAAATTTAAAACTGGTATGACCTTTTATCTACCAAGATTTGGCAAGAATGGAGGGTGATAAAGGTCACTATAGGCCATAGAGAGCCAGATATGTACCCCCAGGTAATGCTAACACTTCCTTTCTTAAAGGGGAAAAGGGCTCTACATAAACTTCACTGCAGATGCCATCAGTGTTCTATCCAGTGTGAGGATACAGTCACTTAGGAAATTCAATTCTGCATTATGGGTAATTGCTACTAACTCTGCTGAAAAATAAGTAACAAAATATATTATAATCTTGAAATGTTAGAGTCGAAAGGTACTTTAGAGCTCACATGGCCCAAATTCTTCATTTTTTTTAGGCTAAAAAAATTGAGAACTCAGAGATATGATAAAATTTGCCATGAACACATGGCTAATAACAGCTGAAACTTAAAATCAGATCTTCTAGCTTCAAGTTCCTGCTTTTTCCCACAATACCATGACCCCAAAAGATGCACATAAAATTATGTTTTTGCATTTCAAGGGGGAAAATACTTAAATTGTAAGATATAAATTCAAAAGAACTGAACATATCTAAAGACGTAAATACATTTGGGAAGATATTTTAAAATCCTCACTTATTCTTCCAAGTAACTATCAACGAATCATTTTCAGTAATAAAGCTGAAAAAAAGATGGAATCTTTCTTGCCCAATAGATAATAAGCATTGAGTTATATTTTCTTTTAATCAGGTATTTCAGTTATCTATTACTACATAACAAACCACCCCAACAGCAGTGAATTACCTGGGCAGGTCTTCAGCTCTATGTGGTATGAGCTACGGTGCTAGGATGGCTGATGTCACCCTAAAGATGGATCGGGAACTCAGATGGGGTTAAATTGTCTGGGACGTGTGAATAGTTAGAATCATTAAGAAGCTTCCATACGAACTCAGGTGGGTCTGTTGGCTAGGGGCCTCAGTTCTTCATGTGGACCTCGTCACATGGCTGCTTGGGCTGCCTTATGACATGGCAGCTGGGTTCCAAGAAGAATTACAAAAAAAGAAACTAGCAGCTGCCAGGCCAACTCAGGGGCGTGTCCTGAATAGGACAGAGTATCACTTGCGCCTTATTTTATTCAAAGCAGTCCCAGGCTAAGCCCAGAGTCAGTGTGGCAGGGGGCTAGACAAGGGCATGAGTAATAAAAGGGACGGTTTATTGAGGCATCTCCAAATAACAACCTACCACATAAAGACTGTTAAAATCCTGGCCAAACACAGTATTTGGAAAAAAGTTATACTGAGAGACGGGGGTACTGATCAAGAATAATGAGAAACTCTACAACCCTAAAACTTAAATGTAGATACAAAGAATTACACTAATCCTCCATCTTTCTTGTTCTTCACTGGATGGGGTTTATGGAATTCCATATATGGCATTATTTTCAGCCAGATATTAATTTTTAATCAACACGTGTTTAAAAATGGGCATATATCTCAAGAATGTATTTCTGAATTTATAAGCTGCTAATTTAGACAAATTTATTTATTAAATGTGACACTGGGTGAAGAGAGGGGAAGGCCAAGCTCCAACTGAATTAATTAAATTATATGCTTTATAGATTACAAGACAATCTATAGGTTATTTTATCCAAAGGCAGCTGGGACAGAGCTTGGACAATAAGGACATTTAAGTGGAGAGAAGGGGAACACTGGAGTACTTAAAAGTATGTAAGTGTCCATTCTAGATACATTTGAAAGTTTCAGAAAAAATTATCAAAGGAGTAGGAATCTAATTTTCTAAAGGTTACTGTGTGCTACAAACTGTACTAGGTATACTGACCACATTATTTCACTTAATCCTCTCAAATGCCTTGTGGAAAGGGTATGGTTATTTCCATTTGAGAGTGAGTAAATTAAAAACTCTAGAGCCATAGACACACACTTGGAAAGCAGAATAGAACCCAATCCCTCTGACCTTACAGTCTATTTGCCCTATCACAGTTTTTCTATGGTGTCTTCAAGGTACAGCACTAAATTCACTAAATTCTACTTTATTTCTGATTGATTTCCTTTTGAAAGTAGTTTTCAAACACTTTACTTTTCTCTGTTTCCAGTCATCTTCATTATTAACTATTTGGAAGCAAATATTTACAGAAAGTTGACACTTAAAGAAATCCTTAAGTTTTCTGAATTAAAATCATGTTCCTCCAATTACCTGCTCATCTAAATTTGTGGTTTCTTACAGAAGGGTATACTAAATACTAAAGCGTTAAAACTAAAAGGGCCAGGAAAAAACACTGTCACCTTAAATCAGCACTTTATAACTGTATCACCGCAAAAGGAATACTGTATCATTTTAATGCATTAGCTTCAATGTCTTCCATAATGTCTTAATCATTCTACCAATGTTTGAGCTCCCCGTTAACCAGTACCATCAACCATATAGTTATCTCCCATGACACTAAGCACAGTGACCCACACATGGTAGGTATTAAGTGTTGGTGGAATGAATGAATGAAAGGAGCAGAGGGAAACCTGAAATACTCAAAATTACATTGGAGATGTTATTTTAAAAGCACCTATCAAATATTAGTTACTTTTAATTGGTGACATATACTAGTAGCAACAGTAGGCAGAGTAGATATATTCAAAGATACATATTATTTCTATTTGGAAATATGTGCAATAGTCCCTAACCCCTACCTATTGCCTATTAAGATGAGGAATGGATAATTTTGGACATTTATTTTGGAAGGGGATAAAGACACCTAGAAAAGGAGAATAACACAGAGAGGAACCACAAAGAACTCTCAAAAGAGTTGACTGTTGGACTAATTTTATTCAAATATTTATTTTCATTTATTATAAAAGGTATCCTTACGAAAATTAACACTGGAAAACAAGAGAATATTACCACCTTAAATTTAGATATCAAACAAGGCCAGAACATGTGGATAATAGCTAATAAAACATCTGATACTGATATAAAACACTGTAAAGGGAGATTAAAGATCAAAAAATCCAAGTTTGAAAATAAAGGAATAAAGAATTCTAGAAAGGCAACAACCTATTTTCAGGTTCTGGTTCACCTAATGGCAATAATGAATTGTGGACTGTTATGACTAATCATACTGGGCAGAAGGTAGAAGATGACTAAATAACATCTATGTCCCTATGTTTCTAAAAGTGGTCATCATTATAACACGTATATAATTGCATAAAAGTATCATTTTAGAGCAACAACAAAAGGTAGCATTTTAGAACAAAAAAAAATTCTGCTTTTAGGGAAAAAAAAAGCCAATAAAATTTCTAGTGTAGCCAGGAGCCAATTTTGATTTATGTGTAAAATAAAAGCATAGTAACAATATAAACTGTATAAAACCTTATTGATGTTTTATAATTTTCAGAATTCTAAAGGTTAGGAAAACAATTGTCTTTGGGAAACAAAATATTAACTTCTCACATATTACCTAATTAGATAATCATCAAGTCACAGTATAGAATTAAGAGTACTTAAAATTTACACTCTCATTGTATAATCCCACATATTACATTAAAAAAAAACCTAAAGTCTCAAACCCCCACATATCTCTAGGCAAATTCCCCACCTACTAACCACTGTATAAGAGACATTTCTTTTCCAAAAACATTTCAAAATTAACATTTTCATGGGCTTTTTAAATTTACAAACCAGGAACTGTAGTAAAAACTAAGAAAAGGGCTCAGTTAAGCAATAATACAGTAATTTAGGAAACTTCCAAAAAAGGATTCGCTTCTACGCTGTGTTCTAAAATGAAATTCAGGAAATAAACTTTATATGCCTGATTTACTACATATGAAAAAGTACCTTTATCATCTCATTAATACACAATCTGACTTTCTAATTCTAAATAAACACATAGAAATGTTCTAAAAAAGGACTACATATCTACTAGGACAGATACTTGTAATTTTAGCAGCTAGATTTGTTTTCTTGATAACAACAGGAAGAAAATAAAAACAAACTGACATAACCAAGGGATCTTGTCCCAATCTCCATTAGCACCCAGAACATTTAACACCCTGTGGCTTTACTGCAACTGGTACATTTAATAAGAATTACTCTGTGCCGTAAATGAGAATAATATCTAAATAGGAATTATTCAATTCAAACCACACAGATGAGCAATTGTTAATTATTTCTTATATGCATAGCACTAAAACCTAATAAATGCTTAAGTTTAATTTTTTCTATCTAATTTAATTTGAAAAAAACCCTGATAATCTAAAAAAGTATGAGTACATTTTGGAACATTATTGCATTATTTATATTTTAGGAATCTTTTGGTACAATAATAATGCTTGAGGTACGTTCTTAAAAATGTTCTATACATTATAAATTATACGGTTCTCCCTCATGTTAACAGTACCCCAAAATAAATTAATATAATAATATTAGTAATAATAACAAAAAACATAAAATATCGCATTCACATACTTCTGATTTAATTTTCTAAATGGCAAAGGGTAGATGTTTTTCTCACTCAGAGGATAAAATTATGTTTATCAAGGAACAACAAAGTTCTATTCTAAGCTTCTGCTATATGCAAAGTGCCAGCCTTGGTCCTGGTGCAAAATACAAGAAGAGCTAGTAGAGGAGTAAAAGAAAAAGATATTTATGAACTTTAAGGAACTCTAAGTGCCACAGAGTAATATAGAAAAGGAGCCACAAGAATTTGGATGAGGAATACATTGGTTCTAGTTAAAGGAAGTATATTCTCCTTTAAGGAAAAGGAAAAATAAATGAGTTCTATACATTTGTGTAGGAGATGAAGCAGGGAGAAGAGAGAATTTGTTAAATATCAGGGATCATGTTCCTTAATTATTATGATTTATTGCACTAGGAATGTGGCTGTCAAAGTAGAAGGGTAAGGAAGGGAAAACGAGGCTGTGACAGAAATCGACTCCGGCTGTAGAAATCTCACATAAGTTCTGTAGTATTAAAACAGTTATAGAAAAGTGACGTAGGCCGGGCGAAACAAGCTCTGTCTAAAAAACAGCTGCATTTAACCACAGATAAGAAGGCCCTTTTCTACACAGTGATAGAAATCACTTTATCTACTTGGAGAATCCAAATAAAATCTGGAGTTTCAAGTGCACACAAGAGTGTGAAATTCCCTAAAGCAACTTCAAAACTGAAGGAAAAATGAACAGTTACCATTTAAAAACACTTCCCAAGAGTAACTAATAGTGCTGAGTAAATCTTTGCTAGTTTATGGCTTGATATGTGTAATTTAACCTTCTATGAAAGTAGAAGTCTCTCCCCAAATTACCCAGAGAAACAAAATACTCACTGGGCCATGTAACGATATATAAGCTATCTACAAAAACAAATGAACGTAAATTATATTCCGAGGGACTCAATTCCTTGCCACTATTTTTGGATTTCATTAAAATAGAGAAAAAGTGGGGAAGCTTGCAAAAATCTGATCTGCAAAATTATCACTCACAGAAAAGTAATTTTTTAAAAGCAAAATAATTTATTATTTCTAAGGGGTACCATCCATCCTGATATTTGCCGTAACATTTTCACTGTAAATAATTTCAAAAGAATTCATTTCTAAATATCAGACATACAATTTTCCTCAATTTTTGTAATGTGTCTTTAAAAATGTTTTAGGTTTTTAGTTAACATTAAAAAATTAACTCTCATTTAAAAAAAAACCAACTTTATGGTACAGAGTGCATTGGTTTTCAATGTCTATTACGTAAATCACTACAAAACTCTGCAATTACCAAAGCCATAAAGGATTACATTTCAGTCTATCTTCAGCAAGAATACAAAGTAGATAATGAAGCTGCCAGCTGTATATTTTATATATTACCTTACATTTATGGCAACTGCATATTAATATAGAATATTCCTCTCTGTTTTAATCTATTTTCTTTCAATATTCCACAACTAAAACTTAGCCAGTACAAATAATAATAAAAGAGCAGAGCTGTTACATAGATGTAAAAAAATCATTAACAGCAATTTCTCAGCTTTAATGGAAAAAGTGTTGGTATCTAGCAAACAAATCTTCTTCTGCCAAATAAGAAATCAAAAACACAAATGTCTTAACAAAGATGGGTAAATAGGACACTCATATTTCCAGTTTCCATTATCATACCCAGAAAAGAGCATATGCTGTAATTTTAATCACCGACAAAACTGCAGTTTCATGTAACAAATAACTTGCTGTGTCTGACATTTAAGAGAAAAGGCTTACTTAAGATCCATGCTTCACCAGTTCTATGAATGTGTCACAACTGCCAATAACAGATATAGTAGCATTTCATTTACAGTGAAAAGATGCCAGTTAAAATAAAGCCATGTAGGTATACGTGCTTATATATATATATGCCACATTCACAAAATTTTGAAGCATTGCAATTAAAGAGGATTGTATTTAAAATAACTTACCTTTCGCCCATCACTTGCATGGCAATTCACATTTAGAGGAGTCAGTAAAGCCATTAGTTTTTCTTCATTACCACTCCTATAAAAAGGTAGTAAGTCAATTCCTCTAAAATTACAAAGCTTCTTATGAATATTTATGCATAATTTTTTCACACGAGAGTAAAATATGGGTTTGCTTTGATTTCTTTTACATGGATCACAATAAATCTCTTTTGCAATATTCAATTCAATTAATATATTTCTAATTAATTCCTGTTAATTACCCTATAGTGGTATATCTTAAATAACATAGCTTTCTACATTTTTGTTTTATTTATCTACATAAAGTCATCTTCTTAATTACAAACAAACTTTATTCTGATAAATAGACTAAAACGTTGGAGTTAAAAATACATACAAAATGCTGTAAAGAGCTAATCAATTAAATTATAAACGACCAAGAACACAAAAAAAATAGATGAGGATTTTAACATTTACTTTTTGCTCTTCATTCAAGCTTTGCTAGAAAAATCTTCAGATGAAAATGAAGATATAGGTATTTAAATACTCCAAGAATATCGCTGGAAAAGCTGGGCAACTAGGGTTTACAGGTACCTTAGGAAATGTTCCAAATAAAATTAACCTTATAATCATCACCACATGAAAAGATTTTATTATATACAATAATGATATAAAGTACATAAAGATTTAGTATCTGCATAATTGCATAAAATCCAAGCAAGACAATAACGTTATATTTTTTATAGTCCTCCACCTGCCCTCCTCCTTCTCTTCCTTAATGCATTATATACACTTAAAATGAATGGAATCACTTACCTAGCAGCTTCTAGGAGTTCGTCTTTCTTGTATTCACCTAGATGATTGCAAAATATCATGCTGTTAGCATTTGGCAGAAGACAGATTAAGAAATGCAGTAGGCAGCAAATAGAGAATTAAATAGAGAAGAACAGAAAAAGAGAGTCCACACCCCGCTGGGTGATGGAGCCGTGACGTTAGCCAGCTTGTGAAGGCAGCATCACCAGTGCCTTGGAGACGGGCAGCAAATTGACGCAGCTTCTTGTCCAATCCTCAGATGAAATAGCTTTCTTCAGACAACCAATGAATGCTAAATCTCGTGTCCAGAAACACATTCCCTCTGATAACAGCATGCCAGCTGAAGACAATGTCCCCTCCCCCCTTTTCTCTATTCAGGCTGTCACAGTATACTTGGGAAGCATAATACATTCTGAGACAAAAGCAAAATAATGTGGCTCTTTAAAGGTACAAATTACTAGTCTTCTAAAAACTGAAGTTTTATTGGTAATGACATGGAAAGTTAAAAAAAAAACATTAATTACTATTGTTGAGCTTTATAGCAGTAGAAAATGCAAATATCAGAACCACGAAGGCTTTGACTCGATAGGCAAGGTCTGTAGACTAGAAATACGTGAACTACGTACCAAATGCCATGAACCTCTTGGAGGCGGTGCTCCAAAAACCAAAACAGTGAATACATTCTTAAATGGCAATAATATTCTGACATGCTGTAATCTTAATACTTCATATAAATTCAATACCAATTTTAACATATAATAAATCTTAAAATATTTTTTAAAAGGAGGTTGGGGTCTTTGAGAATGAGCAGATATCTAACTACTGCGACATGGGTAATTTTCCCCCATTCTATTTTATCACAAGATTTTAAAAATATATCAAATGATGAAAATAGAAATATAATTAAAAACCATCCATAATACATTTCTTAGGGTATTCAAGATCTAACAAACAAATTTCTTTTGCAAGCTCAATTGAAGGACAAGGAATGTTAATAATACAGTGTTTGTTCCTTCAGTAAATAAAAAGAACAGCCAGGACTATGATTCAGCTGTAATACACTGACTTAGTTTGCTACATCACTAAAGAAATAATTATACAAAGTATCTCAACAAATAATTACATGAAAGCAAATACTAAGTGCTCATATAATAAAACATTAGACTAAATGAAAATGTTATTCTATTATGAAATAATATTAAGTAACTTTTAAAAAATCTTATGTGTAAATATGGACTTCGCATTTTGTTTTGCTAAAGAATGCAGAATATTGATGCAAATATTACAAAGACATCTCAAGGCTACCAAATACATACTTAAATGCTATAACCCATTATTAGCAAATATTCTTTAGCTTTAATTTTGTCTTGCCTCCTGGATTAAGATTAGGTTAAAATCTGAAAACTATAACCAGGTATTTTCAAAGTAAAAAGTTGTTAAATACCTATTTTCTCTTAAAAGAACTTTGTATACCAATAAAGTTATAAGTTTAAGAATATAAGCTAGAATATATGATTTCATGGTCATAGAGTTGGTCTTTCTAATTTCCCATAAATTGTATTTCAGATTTTTTAGCCAACTGACAGAGTAAAGGTCATTTCATTATATCCTCCATCTATTTAAGTTCCTGCCTTCCCAAAGCCCAAGACCTACCTTTGTTAAACATTTTAGGTAGCAATATGGAAGTTAGAGAGTCAACTTTAAAAGCTCCTTGTGAGGAAAATGGCATAACCCATGCCCCCAAATGTCTACAGAACCAGGATCAAAGTAAATCAAATTACGCAATGTATCTATAAAATGTATTAATTTCGTAGAGTCACATTTCTTCAATAGGCCTGTATGCCAGATTTTAACGCGAAAGACACTATCATCTCTGACCTCAAGGAATATTATTCTATTAAAGGAGACAGACAAATAAATAAATGATTACAGTAAAGAAATTGTATGAAATGTTAGAGAGCTTACCAGCCAGTGTAAATGGGATTAATGATTGGAAGGGTAGTTGGGGGTCAAGGAAGCCTTCCTGGAAGAGGGGAAACTTGAGCAGTTTTGAAGGAAGGACAAGTAATCCTCAGGTGAAGCAGGGTCAGGGAGAAGGAAGCTACCACAGTGAAAGAAAGGAGAAGGGGAATGGTTGTAAGTAGCTCTGTGTATCTGAAGCAAAGGACACTCACAGGGGAATGGGTATGGACGAGACAGAGAAGAAATGGAAACATCATGAATGTCTCTCTAAGCTAAGAAGTTTGAACTTTACTTTGAAAGTAATGAGAAAATACTGCAATATTTTAACAAGGGTAGTGCAAAGTATACTTAAAAAGCTGCAAGTTTTGTGATTACATAAAATACTTCCATACTGTACTTCAGCAAACTTTTGTTGGAGAGGAAGGTGGGCAAAAAAAAAAGTAAATTCTGACAGTCTACATTTTAAAGTATAAATTCCCTGATAGACAGTAAAAACACATTAAAACTGTGAACTTAAAAGTAGCTACTATTGAAATTTAAGTCGTAGTGAAACATGACTCCAATAAGAGTGGTAATAAAACCGCAAAGTATTTAGGAACCTCAAAGTTCAAATCAGTCTCTCCCTACCTGAACTTCTCATCAAGCATAGTTTATTGATGTTTTCACCAAAAGGCACATTTTTGCAAAAATGCTATTCCTTCCCGGATAAGCTGATAATAAACCAAAGCTTTCAAAAGGAAATATATTAAGTGCATCCAACAGAGTCAGACACAGGTATTACAAATGACTTTCTACTCTTCCTGCTAGAGATCCTAGTACTTTAATCAGCTTTTCTGCAATACATTCTAGCATCCACTATCTGGTGCCCAAGGACCACAATCCATAAACAGCTGAAGCGATTTTTCAAACGCTAGCTCCCAGGAACAGCTAACATAATGAATTTAGAGCCCCTCACACTCTGATAACAAATCTGAGCTACTTACTTAACAGCCAAAGCACCAGTTCTCTTTCATCTTAGCTGAGAATCTGAAAATATTCTGGCTGAGACTATGGTGCTCTATGGAGCATTTATATTCTTTAATAACATCCAGATAAAGACTAGTAATAGATCAGCCAGAAAGGAAACTAGGCAATTATAGTCAAGATAATAGCAACCAGGAATGAAGAAAATAGATGGCTTAAAACATTTTCTATTAAAATAAAAGTAAATGGAATTTTTGAAAGTAAGCCAAAAAGTTTACTTTCCAAAATCTAAATTGTTTTTACTGGTAAAATAGTAATGATATGAAAGAAGCAAAGATACATACACACACACAAACACACACACACACACACACACACAGAGAGAGAGAGAGGGAGAAATACGAGGCTTATGTGTTAAAGAGCTATGTTATTAAAACAAAGCTGAAAAATAAAGCTCTTTTTATTTTTCTGGAGTAGTCAGAAACAGCTTCTCTTTCACTTAGTGTAAAGGCAAAATTACTTTTTGAGTAAAAATGAAGAAAACTTAAATCACTAAGGAGAAGTCATGATTACTGACTTATCTCAATTTTAACATTGTAAGTGCTTTTGCCCCTTCAGAAACTGACAGGATGAAGGTAGACTTAGTTTTGTAAAAATAAGTCATTTGGTTTTGTTGAGATGGAATAGCATGGAAAGACTATGAACATAGAACCACAAATTCTTAAAGCAATGAGAGGCTAAAAAAGAATTCTGGGCCAGGCATGGTGGCTCACACCTGTAATCCCAACACACTGGGAGGCCAAAGCAGGTGGATCACCTGAGGTCAGGAGTTCGAGACTAGCCTGGCCAACATGGTGAAACCCCATCTCTACTAAAAACACAAAAAATTAGCCAGGCATGGTGGTGGATGCTGTAATTCCAGCTACTCAGGAGGCTGAGGCAGGAGAATCTCTTGAATCCGGGAGGCAGAGGTTGCAGTGAGCTGAGATTGTGCCATTGCACTCCAGCCTGGGCAACAAGAGAGAAACTCTATCTCAAAAAAAAAAAAAAAAAAAAAAATTCTGACTTTTCTCTTTCAACCATTATGCATGGTATCCAAACCTATCAGTAACACTTTGCATTATATAAAAGTAGAGGAATGTCATTTGAAAGTCACCCTTTCTCCGTGTCACCTCAACCCCAATTTCAGAACCACTCTCCTAAGGGATCATCTGAAATTGGTGTCAAGGCAGTTAAACAGATTGTCTTAGGTTTCACTAAGTATTATCCATTATCTGTCAGGCCCTGCACTAGGCTAAAATGTGAGCACAAACTAACAAATCTGAGTTCTGGAAAAAGACATGTAAGCAAAAGGAGAGAGTAACAAATAGTAATAACAATCAAACAACTTAAAAAATAATGACAATTATTAGCTTTAACTAGGTTAATCACATCAATATAACAAGCAAAAAATGTTCATCAAAACTACTTTAAAGCATTTAAATTTACAGATGAGCTTGCAAGCAAAGGCTATTGGGCCAAGGGAATTTCAGGAATAAAGAAAATTCACTGAGGTCTATTCCAATGATGAATCCATTTTGCATTTTCCATAGCATACCTTAATTTCTGAACTTATCAAGCATCTCAAGGGAAGAAGTATGTAAAGACTTCAGTCTAGAATCTCAATTCTCAGGTTAATGTGGGGACTCTTATATTCCAGAGTGCTAAGTAGTACCATGAATTGATAACACTGATATAGATGTTTTCTCATCAAGGTACCAGCAAATTAAGAGATGAATTGATTCTTGTAGCTAAACTGACAACCTATATGAAGAATAAAATATTAATTTAGGTTATATATTCCATCATGTTTTCACTAGTAGATTTGAAAATTAAAAACCAGCTATGTGGCTGTGGAAGGAATTCAGCTAAAGCACCAGGAAGTAATCTAATCTCAAGAATTAGAGTTAGGTCTTCCTCTCAAAGCAATATTCAGACAGACTGATACTCTGCTATACTTAAACATGGGCTCCAGACACACCTGTATTATTTTGCTCCAGGATCTTTCAAAAATATATTCAGAACAACTGGGGTAAATTACAAAGTTATCACAGCTCTCAATGCCTTCTTTGTACTTTTTAATCCCATCAGATATTTCTACTCATTATGATACTGGCTTCAAAGTCCATACCACCAATTAAGTCTAGAATCATGGCCAATCTAAACACTGAACATCCATTCTAAACACAGTTGTTTGTTGTCCTTAAATTCTAAGTTTGAACAGAGTATTTTCCTGGTAGAGACCCTTTCCTTGTCTCCTGGAACCTTGACCTTTTAAACTAGCTAACATCACTCTGCTTAGTACCAACATAATCTCTACATTGTCCAATATTTTAGCCACTCCCCTCAACACTTACAATTAAATTATATAAAAATAAAAATTCTGTTCATCAGTCACACCAGCCATATTTCAGGTATTCAGTAGGCACAGGTAACTAGCTAGTACCTCTATACTGAACATTGCAGAGAGACCATTCACCAGAAGAGCTGAAACTTCTATTGGACCACGAAACTTTGCAGTGTTTTTAATGAGCATATAAGAAGTTACCTTTTACCCTAATAACCATTTTCCATATTCTTTACTCTTAAAATTATCACTACCAAAACATAAGCTTTTTTTTTCCTTACTGAACACCAAACAACTACTTCATTACCATGAAACATGTGAAATAAAAAATGCTGGACTGAATAACAGATCTAGAATGAGTTCTAGCTCTGCCACTAGTTTACTTGTGTGACCTTGGGTAAACCACTTCATGCTTCACAGAACCTTCATTTTACTGTCATCTGGAAAATGAACAGGTTAAACGATTTCTAAAGTTTCAACTCTTAAACTTCCATCCTGTATTTGATTCTTAGTATTGGTAAGCAGTTTTTCTAAGATGGTTTTAATGTTGCTTTAAACAGACTTAAAACAAAACAAAGTTATTTGAGAAAAAACACTCTACTAAATTGTTATAAAAAGTAGTACCTGAAAATTGTAGAGTAAGCAGTTAAACAATTTTACCCAACCTGTACTATCTACTTGGTTAACAATTCTAAACTTTTGGTAATGTTTTAACTAGAAGGTAAATAAAAACCAGCTCTTTCAAAAGAAAGTTACTTTTTCAATAATTCTAATCTTTATAGACTTGTTACAACATTTTTTTAAAAGAAAAAAAGCTCACCAAAGTATGGAACTAGAGACAAACTACGAAGTTATTATTTGAGAAGCTTTCCAATTCTTTAGGAAAACGGAAATGAACCCCCCGACCCCTGCATAGCAGCTGTGAAAAAAAATTCCAGGCCGGGTGCGGTGGCTCACACCTGTAATCCCAGCGCCTTGGAGGCCCAGAAGGGTGGATCACGAGGTCAGGAGTTCAATACCAGCCTGGTCAAGATGGTGAAACCTCCTCTCTACTAAAAACACAAAAAAATTAGCTGGGCGTGGTGGCACGTGCCTGTAATCCCATCTATTCGGGAGGCTGAGACAGAGAATTTCTTAAACCTGGGAGGCAGAGGTTGCAGTGAGCTGAGATCGCACCACTGCACTCCAGCCTGGGCAACAGAGCAAGACTCCTGCTCAAAAAAAAAAAAAAAAAAAATCCAAAAGGTAAAAGGCCCCAAATACAACTCTATTATCCTATATTAAAATTTTTATGTCATAATTTTATGTCATAAAATTTATATATTATTTTCATGTCTTAAAAATTGTAATATATTAAATGTCAACACAAAAACCTCAATCAATGTCCTAAAACATTTCAAAAACACAATATAACACTCATATAATAAAAGCTTTGTAAAAGCTTTATGCAGGAGGCAGTAATATGACCTCTCTTAGTACGAGTAACATCTAAGATACACATCCCATTTCCTGACACTTAGCAGGGTTTCCAATCATTTGTACTTGTTTCTGATGTGGTGTCAATTGTAGCCATCAATAGGTGTCTCAATAAATACACATCGGCCAAAAAAAGAGGGTATTATCAAATACATACATTCTTTAAATTGGATATTAAAAGGTAAAAGAGGTGTTCCTCTAGAAGCTGTTAACCAGTGGGACTTTCTGCAAAGTGTGCCGGTACTTTAAAAGAAAACAGCCTTTGTGACCACAGTACACATGAAAGAACTTTTTGATATATTAAAAAGAAAACAAAAAAGGAGGAAAGGAAGACGGAAGGAGGGAGGGAACTCTCTAAGCATGGCAGGTTATGATGCTATGTGTTCAGTCTGGGAGCTCAGGACAACCACTATTATTTAAGCCATCAACTATCTGTGTTAATGGCAGCTAGGGGCTGGGGGAAGTGGGATATTAGTTTGTTTTTTTTTTTTTGTGTGTGTGTGTGTGTGTGTGTGTGTGTGTATGTGTTTTTTTTTTTTTTTTTTTTTTACCATCACAGTGTCTGCTGCATAAAAAGTGATTTAAATCAGGAAAAGTAAATTCCCTATTTGATCCAAAACAACTTGGCAATAGTTTTTACATTTTGTTCTATATCACAGGTCCTTTTTCTACAGCCATCAATTCACACTCCCTTGTTTGCAAATCTGAAACCCAAAAAGCTCTAAAAACTCAGATGGCAGCAAAACTTGACCCATTTAGTGTACACAGCTACACAGCACAGCTGTCATATATTTCACTACAAAAATATCACTGTTACATAGTACAGCCCCAGTCTCCACGGGGGGTGTTTTGTAATATATGGTAGATGTACAGTAGCCCCCATTATTCACAGGGGATACATTCCAAGGTCCCCCATTATGTAAGTGGATGCCTAAAACTGCGGACGGTACCTACCCTATATATGTTTTTTCCAATAATACATACCCCTTATAAATTTTAATTTATAAACTAGGCATAGTAAGAGATTAAGAATAATCTCTAATAAAACAGAACAATTGGAACAATATGCCAATATCACTACTCTTGTGCTTCTGGGTCACTATGAGGTAAAGTAAGGATTACTTGCACACAAGTGCTGCAATAGCAGGACGCTGATCTGATCACTGAGATGGCTACGAAGTGCCTAACGGGCAGAGAGTGTAGACAGCATGGATCTATGGACAAAGGGAAGGTTCACGCCCTGGGCAGAATACAGCAGGTCTGTGTGAGATTTCATCACCATACTCAGAGCATCATGCCATATAAAACTTATAAATTGTTTATTTCAGGAATTTTCCACTTAATATTTTGAGAGGCAGTTGACCACAGGTCACTGAAACCTTGAAAAGTGAAACTGTGGATAAGGGGTGACTACTATTAAACTGTGTCTTTTCTTATTCATTTTTCGAAGTATAATTTACATATAGTTAAATTCACCTTTTCAGATGGTTCTGTGGGTTTTGAAAAACTTATACAGCTGTGTGAACACTACACTTCAAGACAGGAAACATTTCTATCACACCAAAAAGTCAGGCCCCTCTGAAATCAATCGCCTACTCCAATCCCCCTCCCTCCATGGTAACCATGGATATGATTTCTGTCCCCAGTTTTATTTTACGGAATGCCATGTAAATGGAATCACAGAATATATAAACTTCTGATTCTAGTATCTTTTACTTAGTATAAATGCTTTTAAGTTTCGTCCATGTTGTTGGACATATCGGTACTTTGATCCTTCTTATTGTTAAGTTATATTCCATTATATGGATGTATCTCAATTTGTTTATCCAATCACCAGCTGCCAGACATTTGGGTTGTTACCAAATGTCTTTGGGTGATTATGAAGAAAGCTACTGGCAACATTTACAGAGAGTATTTTTGTATGGACAAATAACTTCATTTTTCTTGGGTAAATATCTAGCAGTGGGGTTGCTGGGTTATATCATAAGTATCTGTTTAACCTTGTTAAGAAATAGCCAAACCATGTCTTTTTTGAAATCTGAAAAATTCTCATGTCACCTATAGAAAAGAAAAGAAAAAAAAGAGAAAAAGTTAACTACTGAGAACTATGATGGCACTGCCACAATTTCACCACTGCAGATACCAACCTTGCCTCATATAGGGGCAATTCATCTGGCCTGAACTAATTTGCACATCTTTTAACTCTTTCCTTCTCACTTGTTATCTGCATTAAAAACAAAACAAAACAAAACAAAAAACCAGCATTTTCTATCTTAGGTTCAGGGTAATAGGCATTCCATATATATTTAGAAATGATGGTAAACATTTATTATGGACAAATTCTACAATAAAGTTCTGGATAACACATAAACTAAAAACTAACCCTGGAAAAACTATTACCATCAGTGTCTTACATCATAGCAAGGCTTTGTATGCATGAAGTCTGATGTTTATCACAAGTTAATCCAAGCAGCTTTCTAAAAAGCAAGAGGAACAAGTTAGTTCTGAGTTCTCACCTAACAAAAGCTAACACCACCAACTGAAAATTATATATATCTAAAATCTACCCTCTAAGAAGTGGTAACTAGGCAGACAAGTTTATACCAGCACACCCAAAAGAGGAGGAATGACTCCAATTTCATTAATATAACATTGTTTTAGGTAGAAATGTTGATACTCTATTTTACTAGGTATTTAAAATAAGAAGAAACTACACAATAAAGCTGACATTAGGGATGGGATTAAATATATTCAGATAAGAAAATTAATATAAACAGCTGATATGTGGCTTCATGCCCTCTACATACAGGCGAATGGTTTCCCAATAAGATAATTTTAAGATGACCTAAATTTGAACATCTCCACCTTCCATTTCTCCTGCTACTTCGAATAAAAATGTTCTCCTGACTTATATTTAGACAGACTTGAAACAACTTTCTAATGCAAAATACCACAAACTAACTTTTGAAAAAACCACTAACATGCCTTCTTCATTTCCTCAACTTACAAAGTGTCCTCCATATTTTTCTGAAATCATAATAAACATTTTCATACATCTCCTTTTCAACTGAACGAAATGTGGAAAGGAGATCAAGGTAAAATGAAGCAAGTTAAAACCAAAAGCAATCATGACATCACAATAGCCCATAGTATTAACTTTATAATAAGAGACGGTTAATTATGTTTAGTAAGTGAATGTTCAACTGCACTGAGTCACTTTTTTTGAAGCTAATATTACGCTTAGGAGAAAAAGCAAACTGGTTTTCTAGACATTATATCTCAATAGCCCTTTTTATAGCCTTTTAGATATAATATTTAGCAAAATTGCTTTCCTTGGATAATATTTTCTTTAAAACGTCTGAAACTCTTCCTGACCAAATTGCGAACCCTCTTGAAACTGGCTATATAAGAAGTAAAGACTGTTAAATTTTAGCCACTAGATTACTAAATGAACTACATTATTTAATTAGGTTATTCCAAATTAATGAGCATTTCTCTATATGTGAAGTCTGAATCCGTGGTAATATATCCATTAAGTCCAAGCTGAATCAATTGTGACTTCTGCTATAACTATGTTCAGAAAGATTATTGGACAAAGTATTAATCTAAATATAAATGTAAATATTTTTACTTTTACCACTCATTTACAGATATGTAACATGATATCCCTAGTTACACATTAACCTAACACATTAAAATACAGATTCTGCTACATTATAATCCATACAATGCCTTGTCCCTACTTTCTTTTTTCCATTCTTTTTTTTTTTTTTTTTTTTGAGGCGGAGTCTCGCTCTGTCGCGCAGGCCGGACTGCGGACTGCAGTGGCGCAATCTCGGCTCACTGCAAGCTCCGCTTCCCGGGTTCACGCCATTCTCCTGCCTCAGCCTCCCGAGTAGCTGGGACTACAGGCGCCCGCCACCGCGCCCGGCTAATTTTTTGTATTTTTAGTAGAGACGGGGTTTCACCTTGTTAGCCAGGATGGTCTCGATCTCCTGACCTCATGATCCACCCGCCTCGGCCTCCCAAAGTGCTGGGATTACAGGCGTGAGCCACCGCGCCCGGCCCTTTTTTCCATTCTTATTGCTACAATTTATTTATGTACTTTTTCTTTCACCCACCTCCTATAACAGTCCTGTAGCTAATCCCTAAATTACTCCTTAATCCCTTGTCTCTAGCCCTTAATTCAGTTACATTAATTTCTGCTTTAATTAGTTTATTCTCCTATTCAATAATAATAATAATAATCAAAATAGTATAAATGTATGAGTCCCCATACCTGTCTTACAAAATGGTGTTCAACCCTACAGCTGAATAGTCAAAATCCTTTAAAAATATAGACTAAATTTATTCAATTTATTATTCACTGTTCCCTATTCCACCTTACCTTCTCAACACACACTATCAACTCTACATCACTCACTTTTACCCAAATACACCTTGCATTTTCCTGAATGTCTTTGCTCATGTTGACAATGATCTAAGCTCCAATCATTTGCACTTGTTAAAATCTTGCCACAAACATATGGCCAAACTTACACATAACTTCCTTCATGAAATCACTCCACACCATTTCAGTTAAAAACACTGTCAAAGGGCACAGATTCCAGTCCTAGCTTTGACACTACAGTTTTAAAATTTTAGGCAAGTTATTTGCTTATTCTGAGTCTTAATCATAAGGATATCAAACTAGTTTATCTTGTCAAGCCTGTTCTAAGATTATATTTCTAACCATTATGTGTACATCAGAAGTTCTTAACCTCTGGTAATTTCATGGAATTCAAAAATTCTGTAAATACTTGACAACTAGAGGCAAAATTTGAGTGTATGTTCAAATGTGCAATGTATTTTCTCCCTAAGGAGTGGATCTAAAGGTGCTTTTATTAGCTCCTTAAAGTGGTCCATGACCCAAAAAAGGTTAGGAACCATCATTTCTCTGATCTAAATCTTTTATTTACACAGACATAAACTGATACAAACAGCCCTTACATACCAATGGTAAATCTCCGAAAGCTTTAAGAATATAGTGCTTGGCGCTGTTATTTCTTAGAAATGATTCCGAATGATTTTTCCTCAACACACCTGACAGATAATGTTCACACGGGTGATTACTTTCATCAGCAACAGCTGGGCCCTGCAGTCTACTAAATGAACAAGTTGCTGCAGGTTTGGTGCCACTGCTAGCATGCTAGCTCTAAACTCCATCACTTTCTCCAACAATTCAAGATTTCTGTTATCTGTATCAGTGCTGTATTGTGCTTGGCATATTGTAAACAGTGCCTGTATATTTGTTAAATGAAAAAATAAATGACGTGATTCAAAGAGAACTAGTAAATGAATGAGACTCAAAAAAAAAAAAAAAAACCCAGAAGGGCTTAAATGAGAAAGGATATTAATCAGACTTCACTAAAGTCAATGAAATCTAACACAGTAAGAGATTTAGTGATACTTTTGGGAAAATATAAGAAAAAAATAACTGAAGTGTGTGCAGCTGAAGAAGTAAATCACAATTGGTGCTTCTTGAGGAAACCATAATTGCACTCACTACATCTTTCTGAGACGTTTTGTAAATCAATGACAGACTATGAAGGATAAAATGCAATCATACACAATAATCACAACAAAGACAAGACAGTTCTGACATCATTCAAAAAGCAGTCACATGCCTCCACATCAGTCTGCAATTCCTCAGGATGATATGGTTATAAGATGCAGAGGTCAGGCAATCCCTGAATAGGCGACTCCCAAAACTTCAGCCCTCAGTAGGCTTACGCATCCAGGGGCCAAGCATCCCGATAAGAGCAAGGGCTGTAGGAAAGTAATTTTCTTTTCACAGACAATGGCCTGGTTCCTATAAATCACAATACGCTTTGTTCATATATCCTGAGAGTTCTGAGATTGCAGCTACTACATATACAGCAGTTTCTTAAATGAAGAGATCATATTGGCATACTGGTTTAAACAAAAATGAGTTCTTTCTGAAATAATTATTTCAATATAAATACTTCACATAAAAATAATACAAATATTAAGAAGAATCTCTGAAGAAAGTGTTTTTGAGTATTCTGTCGTTTCTATTTGTTGAATGACTTATGTTCCTCCCATAAATTTATCAACTACCCTCATATAAAAATTATCACTTTGTCTTATTAGAATA
The DNA here is from genome assembly GCF_000001405.40 of Homo sapiens. Lineage (NCBI taxonomy): Eukaryota > Metazoa > Chordata > Mammalia > Primates > Hominidae > Homo > Homo sapiens. The sequence goes on along the minus strand of NC_000008.11, from coordinate 9,667,046 downwards.
CTGCTACCATAAAAATCGGAACACTCAAGAACTAAATCATTCCAGATAGCCAAGTTTTTAACATAACTGCTAATTTAGCATTTTAATTTCTCTTTTCTTGATAGAATTTCTTTATGAAATATATTACATACCTCTATACACTGAAAAACAGATCACTCCAAACATAATTTTACTCTTCTTGACAATTCAGGGCCAATTATTATGAACCTCCACCAGCCTTTGGAATAATATAGCAATGCTCTCTGGACTACTGAGATGTGCAGGGACATTTGTACTTACTCAAAACGGTTCAAGATTGCTATGTATTTTACTTTTTTTTTTTTTTTTAGATAGAGTCTCACTCTGTCGCCCAGGCTGGAGCGCAATGCAACCATCTTGGCTCACTGCAAACTCTGCCTCCTGGGTTTCAAGCAATTCTTGTGCCTCATCCTCTCGAGTAGCTGGGACTACAGGCGTGAGCCACCACAGCCAGCTAATTTTTGTATTTTTAGTAGAGACGGGGTTTCACCATGTTGGCCAGGCTGGTCTCGAACTCCTGGCCTCAAGTGATCTGCCAGCCTTGGCCTCCCAAAGTGCGGGGATTACAGGCGTGAGCTACCACACCCAGCCATATTTTACTTTTTAATACGTAATTTATTTCTCTCTTTTCCTTTGCATAAATTAATCTCTTTATATATTTCCTTTTAGTTTAGAATGTTTGAAAAGTGCTGTCCAGTAGAAATATAAGCTTCCTATGTAATTGTAAACTTCCAGTAGCAATGTTTAAAAAAGACATGAGTTTTAATAGCACGTTTTATTTACCCTACTATATCCACAATATTACCATTTCAACGTGTGGCAGCGTGTTCAGCAGCCAGCTGTGACGAGTGGCTTTGTGCTGGACAGTGCACATCTAAAACCATCATGAGCTGGAAGCTTACAACAGTAAAACGGTTGTAATCAGTCAGCAGCAAAAGCTGTTACTACAGTAGGAGCAAATTTGCGCTGAGTAAGATGAGGATTCTCCTAGGTACAAGGAACTTCAGTTTCAGAGCATGACTTTGCACATTTATTTGGAGGACAGAGAGAAAAAAAGAGGAGGGGAGGAAGAAGAGAGAAGAGTAGTAAAAAGAGAGGTAGGAATGAGGTTAGGGAGGGGAAAAGGATCCAATAAAAATATTCTTGAGGTGCGTAGACTCTGAGGAGGCTTAGAGACTCATAAGGCAACATGAGGCCTTTCTTAGTAGTTACTCTAGGGCTTGTAAAGGTGCATGCAATAATAATGGGAATTCACGAGAGTGAATTCATGAGAGTTGAAGAATCCTTGCACCATGCTCCAGTATCCAGAGAAAGAGACCAGTAGAGGTTAACAGTGACTCCTGAAAAGGCAGCACAAGGTTATTATGAGGCTACCTCATTCACATGTATATGCCAAGAGATGACTGAGAGTATGCTTAAGACAACAGGTCAAACACACTACTAATCCCTTTTATGGAATCTTGTAGAGATGCACAACTTTACCATAAGAAATACAGACCATTTCTAGTGACTCTGAAGTCCTGGACAAGGGACCAAAGGCATTGGTGAATTCAGCATTTCTTCCTGCTAACTTAAAAGAAGTGGAAATACGAATAAAAAACAGAAAAAGTAAATCTGGTTTTCAGAATGATGACTCCCTGGCAACTGCTGAAGAGCATCACATGATTGACAAGAACATTTAATCAGGATAAAGGCAATGTCCTGCTATTAGAGCCCTTCTCCCCTCAAAAACAGTCAACTGTTCAAATATGTAAGTGAAGAAAGACTAAAAACTGACTCCAGACTAGCCCCAGTAAAAATATTTTGAAGCTAGTTTGACAGGAAGCTCAAGGAAACCAATGTAACAAATTTCAAAACAGCAAATGGAAACTTACGTCAACAGAATTTTAAAAAGGAGGGGAGGAAAACTTAGTCTAGAGTACAAAAGCTTGAAGTGATAGTAGGTGGTGAGTATAGGAAAGGTCTTGATTAGCATTGTCAGTATTTCAGAGAGGGCTCTCAAAAGGAAAAACATCCTTATACGATGTAGTTCCAAAAAGAAGTTACTATATTTGGCTTAATGCATAGAAGTATTTCTAACCATTTAAGTTACCCAACAATGGACTAATGGCAGACAGCACATAGGGATATGGTATAGAAATGCCGTGTAGTAATATAGTACGGAATCCTTATGGGGTAAAAGGTTAGATTAGCTAACCTCTAAATTTAAGGTCTCTTCTAGAGTCATGAACGTGTGACTTTTATTAACAGTTGTATACTTGTTAATTATATAAAATTGAACTTAAATTACACATGCATGCGTTTTTTATTTTCTGATCTTCATTAGAACCATCTTCAGTTCTCTAAATGCAGTTCATAATTTTATGTACATTACCTGTATATGTACTGTGAGTGATTTATAATAAGAAATATGTATTTGGTCTTCCTTTCCTGGCACATAGCCCCTAAATCTCTTGGAATTTCAGATGAGTGTCTCAGATAAGTGATAAGTACATTTTTATATGTTAACGTGCTACAGTTTGAATGTTTGTGCCTTCCAAATGTATGTTGAAATTGGATGCCCAATGTTGGAGGTGGGACCTAGTAAGAGGTGTCTGAGTCATGGAGGTGGATCCCTCATGAATAATTTAATTTGCGTTGGAAGGTGCACGGGGAGGAAGTGTGAGTGAGTTCTCACTCTATTAGTTCCTTCAATAGTTGGTTGTGAAAAACAGCCTGGCACCTCCCTCTCCATCACTTTGCTTCCTCCCTTGCCATGTCGTCTTTGCACATGCTGACTCCCCCTCACCTTCTGCCAGGAGTGGAAGCAATCTGAAGCCCTCACCAGACATAGATGCTGGCACCATGCTTCTTGTACAGCCTGCAAAACTGTGAGCCAAATAAACCTCTTTTCTTTATAAATTACCCAGCCTCGAGGTATTCCTTACAGCAACACATTAAATGGACTAAGATATAATGAGACGACTGATGGCTGGGGGCTCCTGGATAGTCTCCAGATAGGGGCTGGTACCAGAGGAAACAATCATGTGACTGGATGGGTGGAACTTTCAGCCCCATGCCTGATCTCCAGGGAGGGAATGATATAATCAATTGGCCACAGTGAAGCCTCCAGAGAAACCCCAAGGGACAGGGTTGAAAGTGTTTCTGGGTTACTGAACGTGTGGAGGTGCTAGGAAGGTGGAGCACTGGGAGGGAGTATGGAAGCTCCTTGCCCCTGCCCACTGACCTTGCCCTATGTACCTCCTCATCTGGCCATTCATCTGCAGCCTTTGTAATTCCTTTATAATAAACTGGTAAACATATCTTCCTGAGTTCTGTGGGCACCACTAGCAAATAATTAAACTTGATGAAGAGGTCATGGGAACCCCCAATTGACAGCCAGCAGATAAGAAGTATAGATGACAACCTACTACTAGCGAGTAGCCTCTAAAGTGGGGTGTAGTCTTCTGGGACTGAGCCTTTAACTCACTGGATCTGACGTTAATTCCAAGCAGACAGTGTTAGAACAGAATCAAATTATAGGACACCTAACTGCTGTTGGAAGAGTGCTCATGGTAGGAAAAACTTGCAAATTTTGGTGACCAGAAGTGAAATAAGCAGTAAAACAAAAAAGAGGTTTCTTTTCCTTTACACATACATATACACACACGTGTTTGTATTTGACAAGCACTTTCCTTGAATAAACTCACTTAATCCTCAAATAATGCTCTGAGGTAACTGGGCAACAAAAGGTCAAACACTTCAGATATTAGTTTCCTATTGTTATTGTAACACAATACCAGAAACTAAGTGAATTAAAACACACATTTATTCCCACACAGTTCTGGAGGTCATAAGTCTAAAATGGATGAGCAGGGATGTGTTCCTTCGGAGCCTCTAGGGGAAAACACATTTCCTTGTCTTTTTCAGCTTCCAAAGCCTGCTCACATTCCTTGGCTTGTGGCCATGCATCACTATGACCTCTAATTCTGTCATCAGATCGTCTCTGATTCTGAGCCTCCTTTAAAGAATCCTTGTGATTATACTGGGCCTATCCAGATAACCCAAGATAATCTCTCCATCTCAAGATTAACTTAATCACATCCGCAGTCTTTTTATCCCATAAGGTAACATAGTTACAGGTTCTGGGGATTAGTATGTTGACATCTATGGGGGCTAGTATTCTGCCTACCACAACTAGTAAATGGCAGATTGAGGATTTTTAACAACAGTGAATGATGCCTCTCAAATACTGCTCTTTCATTGAATGAAAAGTACATACTTTTTTTAAAAATTTTATTATTATTATACTTTAGGTTTTAGGGTACATGTGCACAACGTGCAGGTTTGTTACATATGTATACATATGCCATGTTGGCATGCTGCACCCATTAACTCATCATTTAGCATTAGGTGTATCTCCTAATGCTATCCCTTCCCCCTATCCCCACCACACAACTGTCCCCGGTGTGTGATGTTCCCCTTCCTGTGTCCATGTGTTCTCATTGTTCAATACCCACCTATGAGTCAGAACATACGGTGTTTGGTTTTTTGTCCTTGCGATAGTTTGCTGAGAATGATGGTTTCCAGCTTCATCCATGTCCCTACAAAGGACATGAACTCATCCTTTTTTATGGCTGCATAGTATTCCATGGTGTATATGTGCCACATTTTCTTAATCCAGTCTATCGTTGATGGACATTTGGGTTGGTTCCAAGTCTTTGCTATTGTGAATAGTGCCGCAATAAACATACATGTGCATGTGTCTTTATAGCAGCATGATTTATAATCCTTTGGGTATATACCCAGTAATGGGATGGCTGCGTCAAATGGTATTTCTAGTTCTAGATCCCTGAGGAATCGCCACACTGACTTCCACAATGGTTGAACTAGTTTACAGTCCCACCAACAGTGTAAAAGTGTTCCTTCCTATTTCTCCACATCCTCTCCAGCACCTGTTGTTTCCTGACTTCTTAATGATCGCCATTCTAACAGGTGTGTGAGATGGTATCTCATTGTGGTTTTGATTTGCATTTCTCTGATGGCCAGTGATGATGAGCAGCATTTTTTCATGTGTTTTTTGGCTGCATAAATGTCTTCTTTTGAGAAGTGTCTGTTCATACCCTTTGCCCACTTTGTGATGGGGTTGTTTGTTTTTTTCTTGTACATTTGTTTGAGTTCTTTGTAAATTCTGGATATTAGCCCTTTGTCAGATGAGTAGGTTGCAAAAAATTTTCTCCCATTCTGTAGGTAGCCCGTTCACTCTGATGGTAGTTTCTTTTGCTGTGCAGAAGCTCTTGAGTTTAATTAGATCCCATTTGTCAATTTTGACTTTTGTTGCCATTGCTTTTGGTGTTTTAGACATGAAGTCCTTGCCCATGCCTATGTCCCGAATGGTATTGCCTAGGTTTTCTTCTAGGGTTTTTATGGTTTTAGGTCTAACATTTAAGTCTTTAATCCATCTTGAATTAATTTTTGTCTAAGGTGTAAGGAAGGGATCCAGTTTCAGCTTTCTCCATACGGCTAGCCAGTTTTCCCAGCACCATTTATTAAATAGGGAATCCTTTCCCCATTGCTTGTTTTTGTCAGGCTTGTCAAAAATCAGATAGTTGTAGATATGCGGCATTATTTCTGAGGGCTCTGTTCTGTTCCATTGGTCTCTATCTCTGTTTTGGTACCAGTACCATGCTGTTTTGGTTACTGTAGCCTTGTAGTATAGTTTGAAGTCAGGTAACATGATGCCTCCAGCTTTGTTCTTTCAGCTTAGGATTGACTTGGCAATGCAGGCTCTTTTTTGATTCCATATGAACTTTAAAGTAGTTGTTTCCAATTCTGTGAAGAAAGTCATTGGTAGCTTGATGGGGATCGCATTGAATCTAGAAATTACCTTGGGCAGTATGGCCATTTTCACGATATTGATTCTTCCTACCCATGAGCATGGAATGTTCTTCCATTTGTTTGTATCCTCTTTTATTTCATTGAGCAGAGGTTTGTAGTTCTCCTTGAAGAGGTCCTTCACGTCCCTTGTAAGTTGGATTCCTAGGTATTTTATTCTTTTTGAAGCAACTGTGAATGGGAGTTCACTCATGATTTGGCTCTCTGTCTGCTATTGGTGTATAAGAATGCCTGTGATTTTTGCACATTGATTTTGTATCCTGAGACTTTGCTGAAGTTGCTTATCAGCTTAAGGAGATTTTGGGCTGAAACGATGGGGTTTTCTAGATATACAATCATGTCATCTGCAAACAGGGACAATCTGACTTCCTCTTTTCCTAACTGAATGCCCTTTATTTCCTTCTCCTGCCTGATTGCCCTGGCCAGGACTTCCAACACTATGTTGAATAGGACTGGTGAGAGAGGGCAACCCTGTCTTGTGCCAGTGTTTAAAGGGAATGCTTCCAGTTTTTGTCCATTCAGTATGATATTGGCTGTGGGTTTGTCATAGATAGCTCTTATTATTTTGAGATACGTCCCATCAATACCTAATTTAATGAGAGTTTTTAGCATGAAGGTTGTTGAATTTTGTCAAAGGCCTTTTCTGCATCTATTGAGATAATCATGTGGTTTTTGTCTTTGGTTCTCTTTACATGCTGGATTACGTTTATTGATTTTCGTATGTTGAACGAGCCTTGGATCCCAGGGATGAAGCCCACTTGATCATGGTGGATAAGCTTTTTGATGTGTTGCTGGATTCGGTTTGCCAGTATTTTATTGAGGATTTTTGCATCGATGTTCATCAAGGATATTGGTCTAAAATTCTCTTTTTCTGCTGTGTCTCTGCCAGGCTTTGGTATCAGGATGATGCTGGCCTCATAAAATGAGTTAGGGAGGATTCCGTCTTTTTCTATTGATTGGAATAGTTTCAGAAGGAATGGTACCAGCTCCTCCTTGTACCTCTGGTAGAATTCGGCTGTGAATCCATCTGGTCCTGGACTTTTTTTGGTTGGTAAGCTATTAATTATTGCCTCAATTTCAGAGCCTGTTGTTGGTCTATTCAGAGATTCAACTTCTTCCTGGTTCAGTCTTGGGAGGGTGTATGTGTCGAGGAATTTATCCATTTCTTCTAGATTTTCTAGTTTATTTGCATAGAGGTGTTTATAGTATTCTCTGATAGTAATTTGTATTTCTGTGGGATCAGTGGTGGTATCCCCTTTATCATTTTTTATTGCGTCTATTTGATTCGTCTCTCTTTTCTTCTTTATTAGTCTCGCTAGCGGTTTATCAATTTTGTTGATCTTTCCAAAAAACCAGCTCCTGGATTCATTGATTTTTTTGAACGGTTTTTTGTGTCTCTATCTCCTTCAGTTCTGCTCTGATCTTACTTATTTCTTGCCTTCTGCTAGCTTTTGAATGTGTTTGCTGTTGCTTCTCTAGTTCTTTTAATTGTGATGTTAGGGTGTCAATTTTAGATCTTTCCTGCTTTCTCTTGTGGGCATTTAGTGCTATAAATTTCCCTCTACACACTGCTTTGAGTGTGTCCCAGAGATTCTGGTATGTTGTGTCTTTGTTCTCGTTGGTTTCAAAGAACATCTTTATTTCTGCCTTCATTTTGTTAGGTACCCAGTAGTCATTAGGGAGCAGGTTGTTCAGTTTCCATGTAGTTGAGTAGTTTTGAGTGACTTTCTTAATCCTGAGATCTAGTTTGATTGCACTGTGGTCTGAGAGACAGTTTGTTATAATTTCTGTTCTTTTACATTTGCTGAGGAGTGTTTTACTTCCAACTATGTGGTCAATTTTGGAATAGGTGTGGTGTGGTGCTGAAAAGAACGTATATTCTGTTGATTTGGGGTGGAGAGTTCTGTAGATGTCTATTAGGTCCACTTGGTGCAGAGCGGAGTTCAACTCCTGGATATCTTTGTTAACTTTCTGTCTTCTTGATCTGTCTAATGTTGACAGTGGGGTGTTAAAGTCTCCCATTATTATTGTGTGGGAGTCTATGTCTCTTTGTACTTCACTAAGGACTTGCTTTATGAATCTGGGTGCTCCTGTATTGAGTGCATATATATTTATGATAGTTAGTTCTTCTTGTGGAATTGATCCCTTTACCATTATGTAAGGGCCTTCTTTGTCTCTTTTGATCTTGGTTGGTTTAAAGTCTGTTTTATCCAAGACTACGATTGCAACCCCTGCCTTTTTTTATTTTCCATTTGCTTGGTAGATCTTCCTCCATCCCTTTATTTTGAGCCTATGTGTGCCTCTGCACATGAGATGGGTTTCCTGAATACAGCACACTGATGGGTCTTGACTCTTTATCCAATTTGCCAGTCTGTGTCTTTTAATTGGAGCATTTAGCCCATTTATATTTAAGGTTAATACTGTTATGTGTGAATTTGATCCTGTCATTATGATGTTAGCTAGTTATTTTGCTCATTAGTTGATGCAGTTTCTTCCTAGTCTTGAAGGTCTTTACAATTTGGCATGTTTTTGCAGTGGCTGTTACCGGTTGTTCCTTTCCATGTTTAGTGCTTCCTTCAGGAGCTCTTTTAGGGCAGGCCTGGTGGTGACAAAATCTCTCAGCATTTGCTTGTCTGTAAAGGATTTTATTTCTCCTTCACTTATGAAGCTTAGTTTGGCTGGATATGAAATTCTGGGTTGAAAATTCTTTTCTTGGCAGCCGCCGCCGCCCGACCGCCGGGAGGATGGAGTTCAGCGGGCAGCGGAGCTGTCTCAGTCTTTGCCGCCGCGCCGGCGAGCGCCGCCTGGGAGGCAGCGGCTGGAGGAGCGGACGGGCCCCGCGGGGCCCGAGGGCAAGGAGCAGCCGCCTGCCTTGGCCTCCCAAAGTGCCGAGATTGCAGCCTCTGCCCGGCTGCCACCCCGTCTGGGAAGTGAGGAGCGTCTCTGCCTGGCCGCCCATCGTCTGGGATGTGAGGAGCCCCTCTGCCTGGCTGCCCAGTCTGGAAAGTGAGGAGCGTCTCCGCCCGGCCGCCATCCCATCTAGGAAGTGAGGAGCGCCTCTTCCCAGCCGCCATCACATCTAGGAAGTGAGGAGCGTCTCTGCCCGGCCGCCCATCGTCTGAGATGTGGGGAGCGCCTCTGCCCCGCCGCCCCATCTGGGATGTGAGGAGCGCCTCTGCCCGGCCGAGACCCCGTCTGGGAGGTGAGGAGCGTCTCTGCCCGGCCGCCCCGTCTGAGAAGTGAGGAGACCCTCTGCCTGGCAACCACCCCGTCTGAGAAGTGAGGAGCCCCTCCGCCCGGCAGCTGCCCCGTCTGAGAAGTGAGGAGCCTCTCCGCCCGGCAGCCGCCCCATCCGGGAGGGAGGTGGGGGGGTCAGCCCCCTGCCCGGCCAGCCGCCCCGTCCGGGAGGTGAGGGGCGCCTCTGCCCGGCCGCCCCTACTGGGAAGTGAGGAGCCCCTCAGCCCGGCCAGCCACCCCGTCCGGGAGGGAGATGGGGGGGTCAGCCCCCCCACCCGGCCAGCCGCCCCGTCCAGGAGGGAGGTAGGGGGGTCAGCCCTCCGCCCGGCCAGCCGCCCCGTCTGGGAGGTGAGGGGCGCCTCTGCCCAGCCGCCCCTACTGGGAAGTGAGGAGCCCCTCTGCCCGGCCAGCCGCCCCGTCCGGGAGGGAGGTGGGGGGGTCAGCCCCCCGCCCGGCCAGCCGCCCTGTCCGGGAGGGAGGTGGGGGGGTCAGCCCTCCGCCCGGCCAGCCGCCCCGTCTGGGAGGTGAGGGGCGCCTCTGCCCGGCCGCCCCTACTGGGAAGTGAGGAGCCCCTCTGCCCGGCCAGCCGCCCCGTCTGGGAGGGAGGTGGGGGGGTCGGCCCCCCGCCCGGCCAGCCGCCCCGTCCGGGAGGGAGGTGGGGGGGTCGGCCCCCCGCCCGGCCAGCCGCCCCGTCCGGGAGGTGAGGGGCACCTCTGCCCGGCCGCCCCTACTGGGAAGTGAGGAGCCCCTCTGCCCGGCCACCACCCCGTCTGGGAGGTGTGCCCAACAGCTCATTGAGAACGGGCCAGGATGACAATGGCGGCTTTGTGGAATAGAAAGGCGGGAAAGGTGGGGAAAAGATTGAGAAATCGGATGGTTGCCGTGTCTGTGTAGAAAGAAGTAGACATGGGAGACTTTTCATTTTGTTCTGCACTAAGAAAAATTCCTCTGCCTTGGGATCCTGTTGATCTGTGACCTTACCCCCAACCCTGTGCTCTCTGAAACATGTGCTGTGTCCACTCAGGGTTAAATGGATTAAGGGCGGTGCAAGATGTGCTTTGTTAAACAGATGCTTGAAGGCAGCATGCTCGTTAAGAGTCGTCACCACTCCCTAATCTCAAGTACCCAGGGACACAAACACTGCGGAAGGCCGTGGGGTCCTCTGCCTAGGAAAACCAGAGACCTTTGTTCACTTGTTTATCTGCTGACCTTCCCTCCACTATTGTCCCATGACCCTGCCAAATCCCCCTCTGTGAGAAACACCCAAGAATTATCAATAAAAAAATAAATTAAAAAAAAAAAAAAAGAAAATTCTTTTCTTTAAGAATGTTGAATATTGGCCCCCACTCTCTTCTGGCTTGCAGAGTTTCTGCCGAGAGATCAGCTGTTAGTCTGATGGGCTTCCCTTTGTGGGTAACCCGACCTTTCTCTCTGGCTGCCCTTAACATTTTTTCCCTCATTTCAACTTCGGTGAATTTGACAATTAGGTGTCTTGGAGTTGCTCTTCTCGAGGAGTATCTTTGTGGAGTTCTCTGTATTTCCTGAATTTGAATGTTGGCCTGCCTTGCTAGGTTTGGGAAGTTCTCCTGGATAATATCCTGCAGAGTGTTCTCCCACTTGGTTCCATTCTCCCTGTCACTTTCAGGTACACCAATCAGGACGTAGATTTGGTCTTTTCACATAGTTCCATATTTCTTGGAGGCTTTGTTCGTTTCTTTTCTTTTTTCTCTAAACTTCTCTTCTCGCTTCATTTCATTCACTTTGGCTTCCATCGCTGATACTCTTTCTTCCAGTTGATCGCATTGGCTACTGAGGCTTGTGCATTCGTCACATAGTTCTCGTGCCGTGGTTTTCAGCTCCATCAGCTCTTTTAAGGACTTCTCTGCATTGGTTATTCTAGTTAGCCATTTGTCTAATTTTTTTTCAAGGTTTTTAACTTCTTTGCCATCGGTTCAAACCTCCTCCTTTAGCTCGGAATAGTTTGATCTTCTGAAGCCTTCTTCTCTCAACTCATCAAGGCCATTCTCCGTCCAGCTTTGTTCTGTTGCTGGTGAGGAGCTGCGTTCCTTTGGAGGACGAGAGGCGCTTTGATTTTTAGAGTTTCTGGTTTTTCTGCTTTGGTTTTTCCCCATCTTGGTGGTTTTATCTACCTTTGGTCTTTGATGATGGTGACGTACAGATGGGTTTTTGGTGTGGATGTCCTTTCTGTTTGTTAGTTTTCCTTCTAACAGTCAGGACCCTCAGCTGCAGGCCTGTTGGAGTTTGCTGGAGGTCCACTCCAGACCCTGTTTGTCTGGGTATCAGGCAGCAGTGGCTGCAGAACAGCGGATATTGGTGAACCGCAAATGCTGCTGTCTAATCGTTCTTCTGGAGGTTTTGTCTCAGAGGAGTACCCAGCCGTGTGAAGTGTCAGTGCGCCCCTACTGGGGGGTGCCTCCCAGTTAGGCTACTCGGGGGTCAGGGACCCACTTGAGGAGGCAGTCTGCCCGTTCTCGGATCTCAAGCTGCGTGCTGGGAGAACCACTACTCTCTTCAAAGCTGTCAGACAGGGACATTTAAGTCTGCAGGGGTTTCTGCTGCCTTTTGTTTGTCTGTGCCCTGCCCCCAGAGGTGGAGCCTACAGAGGCAGGCAGGCCTCCTTGAGCTGCGGTGGGCTCCACCCAGTTCGAGTTTCCGGGCTGCTTTGTTTACCTACTCAAGCCTGGGCAATGGTGGGCGCCCCTCCCCCAGCCTCGCTGCTGCCTTGCAGTTTGATCTCAGACTGCTGGGCTAGCAATGAGTGAGGCTCCATGGGCGTAGGATCCTCCAAGCCAGGTGCAGGATATAATCTCCTGGTGTGCCATTAAGCCCGTTGGAAAAGTGCAGTTTTAGGGTGGGAGTGACCCGATTTTCCAGGTGCCGTCTGTCACCCCTTTCTTTGACTAGGAAAGGGAATTCCCTGACCCCTTGCGCTTCCCAGGTGAGGCGATGCCTCACCCTGCTTCGGCTCACGCATGGTGCGTTGCACCCACTGTCCTGCACCCACTGTCCGGCACTCCCCAGTGAGATGAATCCGGTACCTCAGTTGGAAATGCAGAAATCGCCCGTCTTCTGTGTCGCTCACGCTGGGAGCTGTAGACTGGAGATGTTCCTATTCGGCCATCTTGGCTCCACCCCCAAGTAGATACTTTTTAAGGTATTCCCTACAAGTTGCTAGGAACACAGGAATCTAAGAACACAGAAATCTAATTCTAAGATACATGAAATCTATCATCTAGAGGTACAGCTTGCAAAGCAACAAATAGAATTTTACCTGACATAGACTTTCTTTTGAAAAAGAAGCTGTTTGAACAATATATGATGAACATCTAAAGTAAAACAACTACTCTTCTTTTTGGTTAAGTTTGCAATGAAGTGAAAAACATTCTTTAACCAATAAAAACATGTTTGTGTATTCTGAAACTTAAACATTAATGCTGAAATTCTGAATATCCTCATTTATATCTCCTTTCAGTTGCAAAGGTATTAAAATTTAATTTTTTTTTGTAAAAGCATGTTTTTTTTAACACAAGAAACACTCGATTTTTAGTTAGCAGTACTAGTAGGTTAAGAATAAACTATAGAAAATATAAATCTAAATAGAAAAGCACAGTAGGCATGTTATTTTTATCTGCCAAATGCCTGTTAGAATCTTCCAGTGATCTCTCAAGTATGATTTGGGGAATTGCTCTCCTCTATTGAGATCTTGTGATTCTGGTGCAGTTCCCAATCACAGCACCTTGCTCCACTTCTGGCTAATCATCACACTCTATCTGCAGAACAGTGACTAATGCAGGTATAGATATTTGGCTGAAACAGCTCAGAATTGTTCCTTGAAATTTTTTACTGCACAACTGGGAAAGACCTCTGCAGCTAAAGGGCTGTGGTCCCAGAGCTGCTAATGGCCATATTCCTCAAACCATGAAGAGCCTAAGGAAACAAAAACCATGCAGATGCAGACAGGAAATGGAGACACAGAGGCTGAAGTCATCTGGTAGCAGGGAAAGGACTAGAGGGAGCACAGAAGGGAAGGAGAAAGAATAGGAGAGAAAGATCAGAAAGGGAAAGGAACAAGAGTGAGGGGAGCCAGCAGAAAGAAAGGGCAGAGAATGAAGCAGAAAGAAGGTGGGTAGTTGTTATGGGCTGGATGTGGTTTGTCTCCACCAAAATTTATGCTGAAATTTAGTTGGCAATATAATGATGCTGAGAAGTGGGGCCTTTAAGAGGTGATGATGTTGTGAGAGTGATTAGTGCCTTTCTCATTGGAGTAGAAGTGAGTTCTCCCTCATGGGACTGAATTTGCTACCACGAGAGTGAGTTGTTATAAAGTGTGGTTGCCTCTCATGCTTGGCGTCTTTGCTTGTGCCCACTTCCCCTTCTTCTTCTCTGCTGGGTTAAGACCCAGTACGAGGCCCTCACCAGAAGCTGATCAAATGCAGCTGCCCAATCTTGGACCTCCTGGTCTCCAGAACTGTGGGCTAAATAAACCTCTCTCCCTTATAAATTACCCAGTCTTGATTATTCACTTATAGCAATAGAAGGCAGAATAAGACAATGTTTTACAGAAACAGAGACAGTCAGATGCATGATACAGTTTGAGTCCCCAGATCCAGCAGACCCTGAAGTCAAACCTATCTTTGCTTGATGTGGTTAGTTCATTAAGCAACAAACACTGTCAGCATAAACAACAGTAATTTGATTCATGCATGTTTAAAATGTGCTTTGTGTCCTTCCTTTTAATTTCTTTCTCCCTCATTACTTCACTATAGCAGTCTTTAATCTTTCTTCCCTTCCCCTAACTTTATGACTTTCATCCTAAACATGGGCAGGTGAACATGTCCATGGAAACTGCATGAAACCCTCTAGCAACGTCTTTGGAGGTGTGGCCTGTGCCTGGCTAGGGAATCACTGGTGAGTTCTAACAAGGAGGATAACCTCTAGGGCTAGACATTTTAAATGAATCCTGGCTCTGCCATTATCTAACCATGTAAGTTTGACCAAATCATGTAACCTTCCTCTGAGTTTCATGTTTCTCATTTTTAAAAAGAGAAGATAATATTTATCTTCTGTGGTCGCTCTGAGGGTCAGGGATAATGGAAATAAAACACTCAATGTTTGACTCACAGAAAAACTCTAACACAAGATGATAGTGATGATGATGATAATAATGTGATTCAAATCTTAAAGTATTTGATTTACTAACAATTGTTTCTTATTTCTCTCTGTGAATCACCAGGAAGACAGGACCTCCTTTTCATTAATGTCAGTGAAAAAAATTTTGATGAAAAGAATTAATATTTAAATAAGCTGAGAAAACAGATTTCTCCACACTCCACTAACTTTATAAGAAAACATATTTTATTTAAACAAAAAGGAGAGGTATTTTTTATCTTACTATCCTAAATATTTTCCTGCATCCCTAGAAAGTTATAATCCCAATGTGAGAAGCTACAGAAATTGATTTACCACATTAATAAAACAGTGGCTAAAAAAAGACAGGGCCTTAAATAATTTCCAAGAAAAAGTGAAATGTATTCAAACGAAGATAATTAGAAAAATCATGCAGATCAACTTTCCTTTCTCCTCTATACCAAAAAAGATAGAACCTTATTGAGATCGATAAAACCTTACCAGGAGTAAATATCCACTTCCTCATTACAGAGAAGAACCTCACTCCAAAAGAAAGAATATTGGTAATAAGTTCCTGTCATACAAATATCTATCTGATAGTTCTTAATATTCTAGCTGGTGACCTATTGACTTCTAACAGCTTCAAGTATATCCATATGTCAGTAATTATAAAAAGCTATGATGAAAGTAAAGATTTGTTTCTATATTTAATACATGTCATTTTTCATTAATTTTAAACTTCACATTTACTTTAAATTATGCATACAATGACTGCATGAAACGCATATTGATTGTGGCATATTTTTATGCCATAGAAATGTACCAACCCTGCAGTGTAATAATCCTTATGAAACTCGAGTGAAGGATAATATGTACATTAGTATTTTGAAGTATGAAGTTTGGGATAAATTAAAAAATTAACCTAGGATCAGCAGTATGTTAAATATTGAGGAACTACCAATTTGCCTGGCTGATAATGACTATTTCCAACAGGATATGGAACAAGCCCACATAAAAGAATGTTCTTATGCAAGCCCATACCACAGCTAGAAAAGTGGCCAACAATCTTTTCCTCCTAGTGACTTGCTTTCTGACTAATGACATCACCAGCCTGGCTTCATTCCTCCTGCCTCCCGAACAGATATTTCTGAACTACTGAATTGCACTATTTCTTGAGAGTATCCAATCTGGAACTGATCCCAGCTTCCCAAATCCCTTTTAGAAATATTTAGTACAAGTCTAGACCCTACAAGAAGCCCCTTCTAAGTCCTCCTCTAAATTCTCTCAAAGCTCTTCTGGGTGTGTCCTCCCTTGAGGCAACAAGCGAAATAAATTTAACTTTGTTAATCACAGATATGTTTCTGGTGGTCTTTGACCGATGGCATTCAACAAAAGACATATGCATATGTCAATCACTTTCCTATATTTTCTATCCTTATATTAAAGTAAAAGTTATTATGCTGGTTGAATACATAAACATAAACTTTAGCTGCTATTTTTATATATATTACACAATTAAAGATTAAAAAAACCAACAGAAGTGAGCCCCACTTCATTTATTTTTATTTAAAATTTTGTACTACTCCAAATAAAAGACAATTAGTTGGAACAGAAGAGAGGACCCAGAAAGAAACCCAAGTACTCACAGCCAACTGATCTTCAACAAAGCAAACAAAAACATACGGTGAAGAAAGGACACCGTAGTTAACAAATGGTGTTGGTATAATTGGCAAGGCACATGTAAAGAATGAAACTGGATCCTCATCTCTCACTTTATATAAAATTCAATTCCAGATGGATCAAAGACTTAAATCGAAGACCTGAAACAACAGAAATTCTAGAAAATAACATCAGAAAAACTCTTCTAGACATTAGCTTAGGCAAAGAATTCACAACCAACAACACAAAAGCAAATGCAACTAAAACAAAAATAAATAAATGAGACCTAATTAAACTAAAAATCTTCTGCACAGCAAAAGAAATCATCAGCAGAGTAAACAGACAAACCACAGAGCAGGAGAAGATCTTTGCAAACTATGCATCTGACAAAGATGACTAACTAACATCTAGAATCTACAAGGAACTCAAACAAAGCAAGAAAAAAAACCAACCCCATCAAAAAGTGGGCAAAGGACATGAATAGATAATTCTCAAAAGAAGATACACAAGTGGCCAACAAACATATGAAAAAATGCTCAACATTACTATCAGGGAAATGCAAATTAAAACCACAATGAGATACCATCTTACTTCTGCAAGTATGGCCATAATTAAGAAATAAAAAAATAACAGATGTTGGTGTGGATATGGTGAAAAGGGAACAATTTTACACTACTGGTGGGAATGCAAACTAGTAAAACCACTACGGAAGAAAGTGTGGAGACTAAAAGAAGTAAAAACACAACTACCATTTGATCCAGCAATCCCATTACTGGGTATCTACCCAGAGGAAAGTAAGTCATTATACGAAAAAGATACTTGCACCCATGTTTACAGCAGCACAATTTGCAACTGCAAAAAATATGGAACCAGCCCAAATGCCCATCAATCGACAAGCAGATAAAGAAACTGTGGTATAGGCTGGGCACAGTAGCTCACCCCTGTAATCCCAGCACTTTGGGAGGATGAGGTGGGTGGATCACCTGAGGTCAGGAATTTGAAACCAGCCTGGGCAACATGGTGAAACCCTGTCTCTACCAAAAATACAAAATTAGCCAGGCATGGTGGCACATGCCTGTAATCCCAGCTACTTGGGAGGCTGAGGAAGGAGAACTGCTTGAACCCAGGAGGTGGAGGCTGCAGCGGTGAGCCAAGATCATGCCACTGCACTCCAGCCTGGACAACAGAGTGAGGCTCCATCTCAAAAAAAAAAAAAAAAAAAAAAAAAAAAAGAAAAGAAAAGAAAGAAAGAACTGTGGTATATATATACACCATGGAATACTAGTACTCAGCCATAAAAAGGAATGAAATAATGGCATTTGTAGCAACTTGGATGGAACTGGAGACCATTATTCTAAGTGAAGTAACTCAGGAATGGAAAACCAAATATCGTGTATTCTCACTAATAAGTAGTAGCTAAGCTATATGGATGCAAAGGCATAAGAATGACATAATGGACTTTGGGGACTTGGGGGGAAGGGTGAGAGGGGGATGAGGGATAAAAGACTACACACTGGGTACACTGTACACTGCTCGGGTAACAGGTGCACGAAAATCTCAGAAATTACCACTAAAGAACTTTTCCGTGTAACCAACCACCACCTGTCCCCCAAAAACAATTGAAAAAAAAATTAAAAAATTAAAGACCATTAGTTATTATTCATTTCTTCTTCAGTGTAACTTACTTTATATTCTACTAGTGAAGTGTATTAAATAGCCTGGATATGATCTTTAAAAACGTGAAAACTCCTTGCCTCATCTTATTCGCCATGTATAATTTGTCCAGTATTCTCTGGAGAAACAAGAAAATAAGTTATTTGCTTAGCACAAACGGCTACATATTTGATTGGTTGACTGACTGCTGTCAAAACTTTTTCTTCTTCCTATGGTAGTTCAAGTAGCTCTGTGCTCAAAACTATCTGCCTTGCTTTCAGGGATAAGAAACATGTTTTTAAAATCTAACAAGTATAGCACACCAAACTTTGTAATGAAAAGTATGTTTATATGTATATGATTATAATAATTTCTTCACTGAATTAGTAGCATAACAATTTCATTCAGCAATTTCAAATAGCCACACCAAAACTGTGTTTACTAATCCTGTTTATGTATGACACTACTTTCTAAGTCTATACCCTAAACCTATCCCACTGTTTTTTTTTTTTTCTCCCAGGAATTTCCTATACAATCCTGTAATAACTTTCATTCTTAGTTCTAAGCCTAGATATAACAGACCCCTCTGTCATCGCAATGGTGTTTTCCCCAAGATGAGACATTCTTTTTAAGGTATGTGACTCTAAGAATGGGAAAGTGAGGGGAACAGGTACAGTCATGTGCCACATAATGACGTTTTGGTCAATAAGAGACCACATATACAACAGTAGTCCCATAACATTAATAACACAAAGCTGAAAAATTTCTATCACCTAGTAATGTCACAGTGGGAGCATTACTCACGTTTGTAGTGATGCTGGTGTAAACAAACCTGCACAGCCAGTTGTATAAAAGTATTGCACATACAATACATGAAATACATAATACTTGAAAATGATAACAAATGAATATGTTAGTGGTTTATTGTCCACGAAGACCTTTCAGTGGGACGGCATGGGGAGGGGAAAGCCAGTGATAATGACGATCCTAACCCTCCACAGGCCTAGACTAACATGTGTTTTTGTGTCTTAATGTTTAACAAAAAAAGTTTAAAAAGTTTTAAAATCAGAAAAAGTTTATAGAATAAGCATATGTAAAGAATATTTTTGTACAGCTGTACAATGTGTTTTATGCTAAGTGTTATCATAACAGTCAAAAAGTTAAAAAAAATGAAACTTTTACAAAGTGAAAAAAGTTACAGGAAGCTAAGGTTAATTCATCGTTGAAGAAAAAAAATTTTTTTAAATAAATCTAATGTAGCCTAAGCATACAGTGTTTATGAAGTCTATAGTAGTGTACAATAATGCTCTAGGCCTTCGCATTCTCTCACCACTCACTCACGGACTCACCCAGTGAGTCAACTTCCAGTCCCGCAAGCTCCATTTATGGTAAGTGCCCTACAGAAGACATACTGTCTCTCATATTTTATACCATATTTTTACTGTACCTTTTCTATGTTTAGATAAACAAATGCTTACCACTGTGTTATAACTGCCTACAGTATTCAGTGGAGTAACATGCTGTACAGGTTTGTACTCTAGGAGCAACAGGCTATACCATATAGCTTATGTGTGTAGTACGCTATACCATCTAGGTTTGTGTAAGTATATTCTATGATGTTCACACAATGACAACTACCTAATGACGCATTTCATAGAACTTATGTCGTTCATTAAGTGATGCATGACTATATTCTGCTGTATTCAATAAAACGCAGAGCATTCCCAGAAATATAATGAATATAAGATATGGCCCCTGACTTCAAGGGGCACAAGTCACACAAGAAGACAGACCCACAAATGATTTTCTTAATATAATGTCTGAAGTGTTATGGAGCACACAGGAAGAAGCAATTAGTTCTCTGCAGAAATTACTAAAGCTATGAACTCAGCAGTTACTGCCTCTGGGTTGTTCTCTAGCCTCTTAAAAGGCTTGGTATTTTCTAACATTTGTGTATTTTTCCATTTAGAGTATTTTACTTTTCCGTATTTTTGCTCAACAGTGGCAAAAGCATATGGCCTAGACTAAAACCAAATGATCTTATTCAATTTCACTCTCTAGTTACTGCTGGGTCATGTAAGAGCTTGGTGCAAAATAAATGCAATGAACAAACTAAACAAAAAGGGGCAAAATCCAACTGTTCTATCCCTTGTACTCAGCAACAATAGTATCATTTGACCAAACAGATACCAAATAGAGGCACTGAATGATCAGAATCATTACGCAAAAAGTGAACAAAGGTAAGTATTGTCTAGACTGAGGGTAGAAGTGTGCTTGCATGTGTGTGTCTGTTTCTATGCGTGTTTGCGGGTTGTTGCTTTTTAAAGTTATACCTTTAACAAAGCTGGAGGTTTTTTCTGGAGACAGTAATAGATAGCAAGTGCTCTTTTCTTTAATTTTCCTATGATATTGGCTAGAAAATGGAGTTTTGCAAATCTGATCCACGTTTTAGTTTAGCCATCTTTGCTCTGCTACCTCTCTGCCATCATCTACTAAGGGATATAAAATTTCCCAAATTTTTCTTTTTCTAAAGACAGTTATAAAAGAGTTTTAAAGTCGCATAATAGTGCTCTTCAAATACTTGATGAACTGCCAGAGTACAAAAGGATTAGGTTTACTCATAGGACCCCAAAGGATAAAATTAGGACTAACGGGGAAAGAGACCTAACAAAGCACCAAAACCTAGAAGCTGGACTAAACTGACTTGGAAAAGAAAAAACCTATGTAAGCATGAATGAGAGAATTACTTGATAATGGTACTGAAATATCCATGCACTGTATGATTATTTGGACTAAATGGCCTTCAAGGTCCCATTTAACCTTGAGATTCCATGAGTTTCTGATAATAAACCTTAATACATGTCATTTAATATTGATTCCACTTAAAAGGGAACATGTTATGAGATTAGGGAAGTCACCAATCACACAATGTGACTTCAAAAAAATTAGAAACTTCTCTGTATAAAAATGAGAAAATCTCAAATATTTAGAAACCAAAAAAATGAGAATGAAATCAGATGTGAAACAGATTTCTATTTGCAATAATACAAGCTAGAAAATGAAGAATAATAACTACAGATCACTGAAGGTCGAATTTAAAAAGGTGAATAAAAAAGTTATATTTAATATATTGCAGGTAAGGCATTATTCGTTTGGAGGCCAAAGAAAGACATGCAAGAACTAAGCGAAAAAAATAACATTCATATATTCTATCTGAAAAAAACAAGGAAATCTTTTTAAAATACTATAAAAAAAGAAATCTCAAGAGCAAGAGAAGACCAAGAATGCAAGCAATGTAAGTAAGCAAGCAAGCAATAAATGTTTGCAATATACAAGTAAGCCCAAATGGATAATGATAATGCAGAAGGAAATTATGTGTTAAGCAGGAATTTCTAAAATGAAGAGATATAATATACTACTAGTCTAGAACTAAAATCCTCAACTATGAGAAATTGAAGAACTGAGAAGGGTTGAGGGTAGGGCAATGGAGAAATAGTAAGTAAACGTCTTGGGAACACAGTTATTTTATTTTGTCAAATCAGAGAAACAATGTGAATTTAAATATGGCTGTTAAAGAAAAGATAACTATGAGTCAAAACTGTATTTTCAAAAACAGAACTTTCAGGAAGGGAAAACACAAGAAAGAAACTTGTTTAAATCATCAAAGTAAGTTTCAAAAAATACTAAAGAAAAAGTTAAAATGACAGGAATAAGATCAAACACAGAGGATCCTCAACTTATGATGGGGCTATGTCCTAATAATCTCATTGTAAACTGGAAATATTTTAAGTTGAAAATACATTTAGACCATGATGCCTGTTTCCCCTCTACCTAGATTAAGTATGTGCCTCATAGTCCCCCAGCACTAATATACCTGGAATCTGAGGTCCCTGCAAATCTTTTAAAATCCTCGCCTCACTCTCTCCACCCAGGTAAATTTAGACGTCAGAGTGAGAGTATGGGGCTCGTGTCTCTTTCTGTTAAAATTGTTCTGAGGTTCGTCCTGTTTGTGTGTCTTTATCCCTTCAGACTATGCAGACAACTCCTTTCCTGCCTTTTCCTTGCATAAAACTGTTTACTAACATCTCTGTGCAGCATGGTCTTTGAAAACTCTGACCACTGTGGTGAATTCACACCATTCCAGTATGAATGGGCTTCTCTTCATAGGTAGCCACAATCCTGGAGAGACCATGTCTTCTCCCTGATCTTGGGATTCTACAAACCCCACCCTGCTCCCAACCCATCCCCCACCCTTGTCCTCCTTAGACCAGATCCTTCTGCTTACCCGTCCTCCCCTTTGCATTCACCACTTCTCCTGATCTTAAGATGGGGTAGGTGACTTACGCCTGTCTTGTGACATCCAACTTTCTGCAACCACAGAACCAGTCCCATCTGGTTTAACTTTGTGTAATAAAATGGTGAAGAAAAAACATATATTTAATACACCAAACCCATGATACATCATAGCTTAGCCTAGTCTACCTTTACATGCTCAGAAGACTTACATTGGCCTATAGTGGGGCAAAATCATCTCACACAAAGCCTATTTTATAATAAACTGCTGAAGATCTTCTGTAATTTATTGAATACTGTACTAAAAATGAAAAACAGAATGGTTGTATGGGCATCTGAAGAATGGTCTCCACTGAATGTGTATCACTTTTGCACCATCATATAGTAAAAAAAACCAAGGTCAAACTAACATAAGTCGAGGACTGTCTGTATATAATTTCATATTTAATTGCTAAAGGAACAACGCACAAAGCAAATTAGCTCCTGAAGGTGCTGTTGTGGGTTGAATGGTGGTACGCCAAAAGAAATGCCACCCAATTTGTTTAAATTATGCCAGCCACTAGAAACTAAAACAGGTTCCAAACAACATGGGAGACAAGCCTTCAGTAAAAAGTCCAAGAAATGGAAGCACTTGATAAGAAAAAGTTCTAGTGGGAAACGTTAAAATTTCTCTTTCAGATATTTGACCAATGAAGTAGTGAAAATATAGGTTCAAGCAAGTAGCAGCATGCAAATATCAAATGAATATAACTAAACTATAATGATAACAGAGTCTTCTCAAATTGGAAAGAGCCAATTGCCACTTTACCCAATAGAATAAAAAATCTAACCAGAAGGATGAAAAAATGTTCATTTTATTTATTTATGGCATCACCTCAGCCACTACCAGAGCCTCACCCAAATTTATCACCTTAACCACTTTTAAGTACACAGTGGCATTAAGCATACTCACACTGTTGTGCTACCATCACCAAGATCCATTCACAGCACTCTTCAACTGACAAGGCTGAAAATGTACCTATTAAACACTAATTCCCCATTCCCCCCTCTCTTCAGGCCCTGGCAACCACTAGTTTACTTTCTGTCTCTGAGTTTGGCTATTCTAAGTAACTCCATAAGTGGAATCCACATTATCTGTCCTTTTGTGACTGTCTTATTCCATTTAGCAAAATGTGTTCAAGGTTCATCCATGCTATGCATGTGTCAGATTCCCTTCCTCTGTTTAAGGCTGATTAATACTCCATTGTATTCCATACCACATTTTATTTATCGGTTTATCTCTTGATGGACACCTGGGTTGCTTTTACCTACTGGTTACTGCAAATGCTGCTGCTATCAACATGAGTGTACAAATATCACTTCAAGCCCCTGCTTCCAGTTCTTTTGAGCATATACCCAGAAGCAGAATTGCCGGGTCATATGGGAATTCTATTTTTAATTTTTTGAGGAGTCTCCATACTGTTTTCCATAGTGCTTACACCATTTTACAATCCCACCAACAGTGCTCAAGGGGCCCAATTTCACCTCATCCTTGCCAATACTTATTTTCTATGGTGGTGGTGGTGGTTGTTGTTTTTAATAGTAGCTGCTATGGATTGAATGTGTCCCTCCAAGTTTGTATGTTGGAAACTTAATCCCCAATGCAATAGTTTTGAGAGGCGGGACCTTTAAGAGGTGATTAGGTCCTGAGGGCTCCACCCTCATGAATGGATTAATGCTATTATCGCAGAAGCCATTTAGTTATCACGATAGTGAGCTTCTTATAAAAAGCAAATTCAGTCCCTTCTTGCTCTCCTGCTCTTCTGCCTTCCACCATGGGATGACACAGCAAACAGGCCCTAACCAGACACGGGTCCCTCAACCTTGGACTTCTCAGCTTCTAGAACTGAAAAAAATAAACTTCTTTTCTTTATAAATCACCCAGTCTGTGTTATACTATTAATAGCAGCACAAAATGGACTAAGGCAATAGCCATCCTAATGGGTGCAAGGTGGCACTGCCGAAGTTCTTATGTATTTCTTTCCAAGATTATGTCTAATGAGTAAATTTTTAATAAAAATGGACTTCTCAAGCTTTTATAAATGAGTGAAAAACACGGGCAACCCCATCTCAGTAATTTCTCATATTCAATTATATTCAATAAAGTAGATTAGGGTTTTCCTTCCACTGACTTAAAAAAGTATATAAAAATTAGGTAAAATATTAATCTCTCCTTACTATTATGGGGGTAGAGTATAATCAGTTACTTTATAACAATAGTACATAAAGAAATACAGTACTTACATACTTTTAGTCAAGCTGTTATTATGATATTAGTTCTCCAACAGAGGTAAAATAATTTTCTACATTTTGAGTTTACATGAACTTTTATGAGATTCTGAAGTATGTACATTTATTAAAAGAGGTGTCATGTTTTTACTAAACGTCCAATTACTCACTTTAAGAGAATTAAAGTATCTACAGCAAAGATCTGATGAGAATTTAGGGCTAAAAAAAGAAAAATGATGTTCAATATTCTAAACTGCAGTATATTAAACTAAAATCTTATTTCAAGAACACTGAAAGATTTACTTTAAAACATTATGAAAAAGTCTAACAAATTATGTAACTAAATGGTTCATGACTGATCACGTTTATGAAGGATGACATCATTCTGCTTTATCTTGTACCATTTCAAATTATTTGTCCTCAGCCCACATAGTATTTAGACAGAAATAAAATTTAAATATGTGGAAATCCTAGTGTGACAAAAGTAGAAAACTGTTTCAAATAAATTGACATTTCTAATTTGTGACTATGTAAAAACAGTCATATATTTAAGAGAATACAATAATTAAGGAAAACTAGCACCGTTCAAATACTAAAAACTATTCTCTCTTTACATAATTTCTCATTCTGTGCTAGCAAAAGAAACGACACATTCATTTTGAGTAAATGTGGTTTAATTGATAGAATCAGCCATTTGTATAATGGCGTCTGCAAATAATTACCTAGGAATGGTAGCAAAGACTACCTAAGCGGTTTGCAGTTGGTACAAAATTTCACCAGGCTATTTTCAGATTCTTTAGACGCTAAAGTTTTCTCATCTTGATAAACTTAAAAGATTTAAGCCAAACACTTCTACATCAAGCTTGTAAAGAAGCAACTGTTGTAGTTCAGAAGTGCAAAAAATTGAAATTCGAGGTGTCCAATGATTTGCCTTGGAAGACAAGGCTTTGTGAGGTTACTTTCTAAAAAGCAAAACTAAGAAACACTTCATTCTCTCAGAAGTAATTCATTCTTTGCTTTGTGTGAGATCTACAGTTTCATATCTTACAGAAAACGACTTGTGCAGATAGATATATTGTAGGGCAGATGATGAAACTAACAGTAATTCCAGAAATTCTTTTACAAAACGCACATAATATATCATCATAACTGGCCATCAGGTGGTTCTATGTAAATCATTATTATTGAGTTGCAAAGTAAATGTCTCTGTGTGTCTCTATTCCTCTAACACACACACATAAAAAAAAAATACATTCTCAGAAAAATGTTTTTCTGAAAAATAATGTTAGAAATACTCAATGGCACTAGAGTTTTTGTGAATAAATTCCAAAAACACAAGTTCTGTCAATGTATTAGGCAATGGTAAGTAGAATTCCATATCCTATACAAAATTAAGAAATTCTCAAGTATTTTTATTGACTCTTATTAAAATATACTAAAATGAGTCCAGTGTATGAAGCAGAGATATTTATAAATAAATCAGACTCATTTTTATTATCACTTGGAAATATCTCAATTACCCAGTTTGAAATTTCCTAGCAGGCCTTTTTTATCCTTATATACTGAACAACTATCAAAGTGCCTGATAGTCAAGTGGTAAAAAAAAAAAAAAAATTCTGAATTGAGCATATGCATATATAAAAAGTTAACAACACATTCAACTCCTAAATGCTGGGGATGAAATTTGCACCTTAAGAAATATCTTTAAGGAAACTGTTAATGTTCTCCAGCCAAAGGCCATACTTGTAACTGAACAGGAACACACCTGTAACTGAATAAATTGGGTGCATTACTTAATGCAGTGAGGGAGAACACACACCATGGAGAACAGTGGGGCATCTTATTAAATGGGTGTTAGAAATAATCTATTAAAGCGTTTGGGCTTTGGTTGGGAGATTTAGGGAGACGGGCTAAGGAGGTAGATGTTTGTTCTGGATTGGATGCTATTAGAAAATGAGGGGCAATGTATGACTGGGCAAAAAAGTAGCTGTCATTCACATTAGCCAGGTGAGAAGGATGTTGGGTATGTTGTGAGTTACACAGTGACCTTGTTTAGGTCTGTGCTTAGATAAAATTGTGAAGTGATCTTGTTTCATATCACTTAATCATGGTCTCAGGTGACCTGATCTGATTATTTATATTCCATGAAATTGTTCAGATCCAACCAGAGAACAACATGACCTAGCTATGTCAGGCCAGCTCCTACATTAGGTGCTATTTTCTTTCTCAAAAGGAATTTAATTGATAAAAATGATGAACCTGTCTTCAGAGTACTCTTGCTATGTCAAATTTAATTCTTAATCATTACCGTGCATATAACTTAAGGCAGGTTCTTGAATATAATGGATCCAGTCAGATAGTTATTTACTTCCCTATTCAGTAGACACATTATAGTCTGACTAAAAATGCTCTGGGTAAACAATTACCCATTAAGTGACTCAAATAGTATAGCTTTATGATATGGTTTGAATGTATCCCCCAAAGTTCATATGTTAAAAATCCCCAGTGCAACAGTATTGAGAGGGAGGAACTTTAAGAGGTGATTAGGTCATGAGGGCTCCGCTCTCATGAATGGATTAATGCCATTTTTCTGTCTTGCCGTCTGCCGTGGAATAACACAGTAAGAAGGCCCTGGCCAGATGCTGGCTCCTTGATATTGGACTTCCCAGCCTCCAAATTTGTGAGAAATTGTGAGAAATAAAAATTCTTTTCTTTATAAATCACCCAGTCTATGGTATACTGTTACAGCAACACAAAATGGATTTCCTTATTTAAGGAAACCCTAACTTTGGTATAATCAAGATATGAGACTATCAAAATTGCCAGAAAGACCCCTTGATATATTCCCTGTATAGGCACTTTTTAGCTAAAGAGTTCACACATAGTGGAAAAGATTTATAGCAGCCCACGATGCTTTTCTACAATTATCCTTCGTTGAGTAAGTAAAAGCACAATTCCCACTGTTCTTGAACCGTCCCGATTAGTCTTTTGGAACATAAGCTTCACACAATTTACTGGAAGATATATGTAGAAATATATGTGTTTTAAAGGAAAGTGAATGAAAGAGTCTAATAGAGCTGCAAATACTCAAAGAAGCCCTTTTGCTTCCCCACACTTTTCAACTAACCCTTTCACCCTAATACACTTATAGCACAAACCAGAATCCCCTAAGATAACAAGAACTCATCACAGTTGCTGAGGAATAGCCTCAGTAGTTAAAATTAAGTTTATTTAATTAAGTCAGGGATAAATACAAAAGTTACTGAACTACAATAAATATCTAAAACATAGTAAATATATTTTACAGTCTCTTACATAATGAAAAGATACAAGATTGAAAGCTACTCAGGAAAAACCAGAAAGCCAAAAAAAAAAAAGGCTTAGATAAACAAGATTATATAGTGAAAACAAAATTATCTATGTATACATTTTAAAGTGACCATATTTATTTTTTCATTTCAATAAAAAATAAATGTTTCATTTTTTAGCCCACAGAGAAATGAGTGGTCAAAATCAAAAGAAAGCCACTCTTACATCCTGGCAATAAACTGTTCATAAGCTACTCTCCTTATGTTTAAACAACTGACAGTTTGTAAATGTGCATTCCTTCAAAGCTTAATTGGTTTTCATTCCAATTAAAGATAGGTCTACTTTAAAAAATAAACGAGTTTTCCTGAATTCTTAAGCTTCAAGAATTTACAAGGTAGTACTGTTATTTGCTCTGAATAACATAGAAAATATTCAGATTCAATTATATCACACTACTGGACAATAGCAAACCTATTGGCAGAGTATGATGATAAAAGTCTAAATACTTTTCAAGTCAAGGTTCACAGGAAGAAAGTTAATTTAATAACAGAAGTAGGTTAGACAATAATTTGTTTTGAGGGAAAACTCTGTTAATACAATTTTCAAGACACCCCCATCCTCACTTCCATCGCTTTTTAATTAAGGTATAGAAAGTTCTTGGAATCATTCACTCTTTTAGGTTCTTTTGCCCTGTCATTTGGGCACCAATTTGAAAAATAGATATACACTCAGTTCTCCTGTAGAGCTTTGTATTCATCCTCATCCTATTTTTTTTCCATTATAAATAAGATACCAGTCTCCTTTTGGATCTTATGGCTTTTCACACATTTAAAATAATTTTCTACCTCACATTTTTCAAAAATTTCTTAAGGGAAACTATCTTTACTTCCACTCTTTGGTTAAATTATGTTTTAAAATATCATTTCAACTTTTTCCTAATCATTTTTGTCTGAAAAGAATGACATAAATATTTAAAGCAAAATAAACTTAGAATAATTTCTCCTATTCTCTTTTCTTTCAGAAACAAAGTATATAAACTGTCATTCAAGATTATCTCCTTGGATCTAGAAAAAAAGTAGGTAAAATGTATGTATACACATGTAGGTATATATGGATGCAGCTGCATGGGCATAGCTGTTTTCTTCTCCAGAAAACAGAAGATTTTTAGTTCCAAAACCAGCCATAATTCAAAGTAGCATTCACAACATTTCACCATAACATTTGGCCCAAGGTATACTTTAACTAATGAGAAAGTAAGTAACATTGACATGGAAGCCATGATTAAGGCAAACACAGGGAAATATAAGAATTTAGGCTGGAGGCAGCACCTTGTATCTGTAATCCCAACGCTTTAGGAGGCTGCGGTGATAGGATCTCTTAAAGCCAGGAGTTTGAGACTAGCTTAAGCAACATAGCAAGACCCTAGCTCTACAAAGAATAAAAAAGTTAGCTAGTTATAGTGGCGTACGCCCATAGTCTTAGCTACTTGGGTTTGGGAGGCTGAGGTGGGAGGATACCTTGGGCCCAGAAGTTTGAGGCTGCAGTGAGCTATGATCATGCCGGTACACTCCAGCCTGGGCAACAAAGCGAGATCCCATCTCTAGAAAATGTATAAGTAAATAATAATAATAAAAAGAGTTCAAATATTCAGAAGGGCACACATTAAAGTATAACCTTAAGAAAAAGGAGTAAATAAAATCACAAACTTTTGGTGATAGTAGTACATATAAAGTGGTTTAAACATTGCTTGCATTCTTAATTGAGTTTCTTTCCCTTCTTTATTCCTGGCTAGATTTCTCTCCTATAAAGCATCATTAATATTTCTACTTCATGTGTTTTTGTTTTTCTTTTACAAAGAGTATAAGCAAATGAGCATTTTACTTTCCCTTATTAGGTTTTTAAAATAAGAAGACTTATTTTGTAAACAAATTCACAAAATTTGTTGCTCTCCTGGAGAAAAGGATACTGTCCCATTGCTGTCTGTCATTGCCACTGGCATTCTAATAACTTCTTCAAAACAAGAGTCATTTTTATGTCCCATCATAAGCAATTTATCATTCACTCTCAGTGCATTAAAAGGGTAATAGAATAATAAAAAACAACAACATATGGAAAGATTATAACACCAATAGAGAAAAAAGAGTATTTTTTATTCACCTGGGGCCCATTTTCAAATACTGGAGCCAAATATATATAACTAGAATTATAAAGAGCAATGTTTCCCCACAAAGAAAGAACCTGAAGGAAGGAACGGAAACCAAAACTGGTACACAGAACCAGTCTGTATCGTCAGAAAGAAAAACAACATGATACTCACAGGCAATAACAAAGTTCTGATAATCCACAAATCAATGGACAGTCTACACTTGAAAAGCATTCCTTATCTAGGACTGATTTCCTGTCTAATTAATTTCCCAAATATTACTTCTTTTAAGAGAAATTCCCATATCTAGAACGATAACTCATAGTCATTTGAGATAATTATGCAGTTTCCACTTTCATTCAAAAAAATTTGAGCATATTCTTCACTGTATTCTTCTGCATGTCCACTCAAGCTGTCAATTCAGATGATTTCCAACATCCACATCAATAAAGGTCTAGCAATTTTAAAACTGTCAAGAGGCTAATGATCAAACATACAATATTAAGGTACTCTAAATTACTGACATTCTAAGTAGGCCTGATGTTTTCCCAAAGAAGAGAAAGTAGTGATTACTTACATATTGCAGTCATATATACAAAGCTAAGAAGGCTAATTTGGCTAATAAGCTTTCTGGGAACTAGTTAGTACTCATCTGGTGTCCATCTAACGTAACGTATTCTCAAAGAGTGAAGTGAAAGCACTCTTGACCAATTAGGAACACTGAATCTATTGTCATCTTATGGAAAAGGCAAGACAAAATGACACAGATATCATTTGCTTCAAAACAACCTCACTGGATGTAATGCCCAAGAGTTTTCTTCAGAACAAGATAGAAAGCAAGGAGAGTTAACAATTATAACAATGCCCATAAAATGCTCTGATCTGAAATGAGGCCTGGGAACTTTTAACTTTATTCATAGAAAAAAAGACATTTAATTTTGAAACAATAATCAATAGAAAAGACCATCAATGCAGTTAGAAGTAAAATGTAAAGAAAAAGAAAAAAAAAGTCTTGAGCTCTTTATAAACACTAATAATTCAAAAAAGAGGCTGTCTAAGGTCAGAAAACCAGAAAAGCTAGTATAGATGGCATGACCACATAACTTATTAACATCAATCAGTTTTCCTTTTTCTTTCTTATGCCCAGCATGATCACTTTGAATAACATTTTACTTGAAATAACTTCAAACAGAAAATTTGCAAAATTAGTACAAGGGGCTCCTCCATATCCTCCATCTCACCTACTTATAATCATCTGCCCATGTGCTTTATATCCTCTCGCTTATGTTTATGCACATAGGTATATGTAACAACCAATTTTTTATCCATTTGAGAAGGCTGCAATACATCGATACATTATTTCTCCTTGCGTTTAGTACTTCAGTGCCTATTTTTTAAAAACAATACTTTTTTCATGTAACCACAGTACAGTAATTAAATTCAAGTAACACTGGTACAATACTTTTCATCTAATATACAGTATGTGCTCCAATTTTGTCAGTCATTCCTATTATAGCCTTTATAGCATTTTTCTCCTCTAGTCCAGGATCATATATTTTGCATTTAGTTGTCATGTCTCTTTAGTTTCCTTTGATTTGGAGTAATTCCTCAGCCTTTGTCTTTCAAGACACTGACATTTTTTAAAAATACAGGCTATTTCGTAGAATGAACCTAAATTGGAATTTGTTTAATGTTTTCTCATGAGATTTAGTCATGCCTCCCTAGCCAGAATACAACATAAGAAATGTTGTGACCTTCTCAGGTATTACATCTGCCAGCACACAGGCTTAATTCATTCTCATTAGTGATGTTAATTTTGATATCCAAAAAAAGTATTGTCAGATTTTGTCAATGTATAGTTTCTCCCAAGTAATTATCAATCTATGAGCAATCATGCTGAGAATCATATAATTATACAGCTGCTCATCAAACTTTGCCCCTGAGATTTGGCATCCACTAACGATTGTTGTCCTAACCAGTCTTTACTATCATGGTTGCAAATGGTGATTTTCCAATTCCAACAGTCCCTCCACATTGATTAGTAGGCATTCTACAGTAAGAAAGTGTCCCTCCCCATTCGTTCATGTATTACCACTGAAGAATTCCTATTTCATACAATGGGCTATACAATCCATCACTATTATGATACACTTTGATAGTCAAACTATCCCGGATATGTTCATTGGGAGCCCCTTCAGGATGGTTCCTATGTTCTTTTCATGTGTCTCCATTATTTCTTTGAGCAGTTCATTACTTTTTTTTTTTTTTTTTCCCCGAGACGGAGTCTCGCTCTGTCGTCCAGGCTGGAGTGCAGTGGCGCGGTCTCGGCTCACTGCAAGCTCCGCCTCCCGGGTTTACGCCAGTCTCCGGCCTCAGCCTCCCGAGTGGCCGCGCCTACAGGCGCCTGCCACCGCGCCCGGCTAATATTTTTTTTTGTATTTTTAGTAGAGACGGGGTTTCACCGTGGTCTCGATCTCCTGACCTCGTGATCCACCAGCCTCAGCCTCCCAAAGTGCCGGGATTACAGGAGTGAGCCACCGCGCCCGGCCGAGCAGTTCATTACTTTCTAGCACAGAAGATGTTCCAGGCTCCTTTTACACCTTCCCCGACCTAGCTTTGAAATCAGTCATTTTTTTTTCAAAGTTTTGGTGTCTTTTAATAAACGGCATGTAGAAACCAAGCTCTTGGAAGCAGGTGTGCTCCACTGCTATTGGGGTCTCACTGCTTCTAGGTCTTTTCTGTAGCAGAAATAGAGGTTTGTTTCCCGCAGTGATTCTGATGCCTACAACTTCAATCCAAATCCACAAGTTTCTCCTCTGTCTTCCCCCTTCCACATTTGTATCTTCTTCTTCTACAGTAAGAGCCCTTGCTCCCAACACATTTACTTATTTGCTTAATCCTACAACATACATAAAATAGTTGCAGAATTACTACACCACACACTGCAAAAAACAAAGAACAACAAACTTAATAAGAAGTCAAAGTTGGTTTGAAATTCCCTTTTCTTTCCTCCTACACCAAGAATATGAAGTCAAAGAATTACGTTCAAAAGTTACTTAGATTAGTTCTTTACTTTCTTCAGTGTGGTTGTTTGAAATATAGGTGGCTCATTTATTTCTGCTTACATTCAAATTTTAGGTGTTTTTCCCCCATCTTCAATTTAATTTTATTTTTTAATATGTAGCACATTAACATGCCTCCAGAAATTAAAATTATACCAAAATGGCATGGTCTACTTAATGTCTTATCTACCCTCTGTTCTCACGTTCTTATAGGTAATCAATTTCAATGTTTTCTGGTTTATCCTTCTTGTGCTTATTTTTGGAAAAAAAATATATATACATATATATATATATATATATATGCAGTTAAATGAGTTTTTTTTCCTTAATTCCTATAGTGTATTAGTAATCTATTTCTGCCTAGCAAATTACATCTGGAAATGACAACTTAAAAGAATGAATGTTATTTCACATAGTTTCTGAGGGTCAGGAATCTGGGAATGGTTAGCTGGATGATTCTGACTCAGCATTTCCAACAAGGTTGCTGCCAAGCTATACATGGGGACTATCATATCTCATCTCAAGGCTTAAATGCGGCTGGAAAATCTGCTTCCAAGAATCTTCATGTGGTTATTGACAAGCCTCAGTTTCTCACTGGCTACTGGCCAGAGACTTCAGTACCTCCCCAAATGGGCTTGTCTATAAGGCAGTTTACAATATGGCAGTTTGCTGCTTCCGGAGCAAGTGATCCAAGTGAATGAGAAAAACAGCCCAACATAAAAGCCATAGTTTTTATGACCATCTTGAAAATGGCTTATCATCAGCTCTGCCATATGCTAGTGGTCACACAGAAAAACTCTTCTACAATGTGGGAGGGGACTATACAAACGTGAATACTAGGAGACAGGTTGATTGGGCACCTTCTTGGAGGCTGGTTATCACTTATTGTTTCTGACAAAAAGGATGGCATATTGTAAACAATCTTTTGTACTTTGTTTCACTAAACAATGTATCTTAGAAAGTAATCCATCAGTAGTTCTAGAGAACTTCACTATTGTACAGATGTAAAATACTCTATTGTGTATTTGTACAGATTATTCAACCAGTCTCCTATATTTGGGCACTTAGGCAGGCTCCAATATTTTGCAATTACAAACAATGAATAACCTATTACTTATATATTTTTATTGTTGAAAATCGTAAACTTAGAAAATCCAGTTCCGGATCACCTATGAATTAAACTCCTCTGAGAAGGTTAGTAGTACATTTTTGGAAGGAAGAGTAAAAAATCTTAATTTAACTTTTAAAACACTTTCACCATGCATTTCTTCAGTGCCTAATGTAAGCAGTAATGTACCATTTTCCATAATGCCAAAACTTGTATTCAACTATCTCTGCAAAGAACAACATAGAGGGCCGGGTGCGGTGGCTCATGCCTGTAATTCCAGCACTTTGGGTGGCCGAGGCGGGCAGATCACGAGGTCAGGAGATTGAGACCATCCTGGCTAACATGGTGAAACCCCATCTCTACTAAAAATACAAAAAATTAGCCGGGCGTGGTGGCAGGCGCCTGTAGTCCCAGCTACTCGGGAGGCTGAGGCAGGAGAATGGTATGAACCCGGGAGGCGGAGCTTGCAGCGAGCTGAGATCACGCCACTGCACTCCAGCCTGGGCGACAGAGTGAGACTCCATCTCAAAAAAGGAAAGAACAATATAGAGTAGTAACATCATTAAACCAAAAGTAAAAGAAGTAAAAGAAAACAAGCAAATGTTTCAGTAGATATTGAAATGCACCTGTAGAAAAGAGGTGACAGCTAAGTAGAGGTGAAATGCTATACCAATTTCTAAGTGTCTCTGATAGGGTTCAAGCAGCTCAAAAGCAGCTGAAAGAAAGAGTTACCTAGTATTGATGGGAAAGGTCAAAAGCGAAGAAATTTTTCATGAAACGGTAAGAAGATGAATTGTCCAATAAATAGTAGTATTGTATTAATGCTTAATTGCTGAGAAGAAAAAATATATAGAGGGAAAAGAATAAGAAATACACCCTGAAATACGTTAATAATTGGTGAATCTATGCGAGAGTATACAGGTATTCATCTTAGTATTTTTTAAAACTTTCCTGTAAGTTGGAAATTTTTCAAAATACAAATAATAAAAATTTGGAGAAACAGTCGTAGGGAAGCTTGACATTAGCAATGACATATGACTCATAAAATTCAAATAGCTCAACTGACTTAGTGGTTTAAAGTACAACTTTGAGGCAAAAACTGCAGTTGAATTTGAATTAAACAGAAGTAAAAACTTCTTTGTATTTTAATACATGAAGTCTGGCATCTTTCTACTTATCAAAGGTCTAATTATAAGTTTCAGCTTTTAATATCATTAAGCTTTCAGGGAATACAAACAACAATAACAAATAAAACTGCCATTAATACTCTGCTGAAAGCTTTGTCAAAGGTTTTAATGAAGAATTTGATTTTAATGAAGAATCTGATTACTTTTGAAGATACCAGCCAATGTTAATCTCCTCTTTCCCCATACGGTTTGTAAATGAGTAAACCATTAAAGCATGTATCACTGCCATCTCAGCTGCCATTTCTTAGCTATATCTGCATTCTGTTGCTGGATTCATGTTGAAATTCTTAAAAACTTGACACTTTTTCTTGAAAAAAAAAAAAAATCAACCAACCATGTCAGATTTTGTTGCAGCGTTATTTTGGAAAAGACTTACGACTGAAGAAATAAGATGGAAAGTCAAAAAAAGAGTTGGAAAAATTAAACACAAATAGGCTCACAAATATAAAACTTAAAATTCTGTAGACTAGAATGAATGAGATGATCTCCCTATATTCTAAAGCAGAAGACAAATTTGATTGTGATAACTAAGTCTACCAAATAGAGACAAGAGTGTTTATCAAAATGATAGAATGCCAAATTAGTTTAGTTTTTAGTAAATTTTCTTCTACTACACTAGATAACTTATTTTATAGAATAATTACCAATGGCTTCTTTTTCATCAGTACATTTTATGACTTATAAGCATGATGTGAAAGTATACTCACAAAAATCATAACTCAATGGAGCAGGATTATTCTAAGACTTAGATAGTTCTTAATCTGTTGTCCAGCCTACACACCCTAAAATGGCTCATGATTGACATGGCTGGGTA
The DNA here is from genome assembly GCF_000001405.40 of Homo sapiens. Lineage (NCBI taxonomy): Eukaryota > Metazoa > Chordata > Mammalia > Primates > Hominidae > Homo > Homo sapiens. Next base: position 9,631,273 of record NC_000008.11, on the reverse strand, counting down.
CGTGAGAAGATCACATCCCTTTTGATGTCCTTCAGAAGCACAGGAGGATTCTAGCTATGTAAAGATTTGGGGTATTATAATCATAATGTTATAAAAACTACTTTATGAACTAGTTAACGGTTAGATGAGATATTTGAAATCAGTACATTTGTAGATATGAGGCTTCTAATACTTAGCCAAGAATATCTAGTTTAAAAAAGCAGCCTTGTGAGAGAATTGAGACTTGTTTTGTTTAAAACTAAGCAAATTAATAAAGGTATTCTATAAATGAATGAAGATTTTAGAAAAGGTCATGAAAATGTATGTACTGCTTCGTCAAGGAGAAAATACAGTAAAAAGGAGGCTTTACATTAGATATAGTAAAGAATTTCTGGATAAAATTATTTAATTTTTTTAAAGATCTGAGAATGTTTCTAGAGCATAAGGCAATCAATAAATGTCAATTGAATAGAAAAGTTTTAGAATCTCTTTCTTGATATGTTATTTCATTCATTTACGATGATTCTGCCTAGACTACAGAAACCTAATGACAATTCTGAATGCAGTCTGCAAACAAGTGATTCTCTGTAATTTTTCTTCAATAACAAAGGCTATTATTGGAGTACTAGTATGGGCCAGACATTGCATACTCTATTATAGGAAATTTTATATAGCATGAATTTATAAATAAGAAGTGTTTTCCCCCCATTAATGTGATGGGGATTTGCTGGGGTTTTTTGTAACTATCTAATTATTTGAAGAGTAAGTCTGTTAGTTTATTTAAGAGCAGCTGAAAGTAGAACTTGCAGATTCTGAGACCCACAGACCAACACAGATTTAACAAACAAACCAACCACCAGACAAGACAACTTATCAAAGGTCCCTTTTCAAATCTTCTCATTGTCAATTCCAGCTTGCCTCCCTAATATTTCTTGTACATTTTATACTGCTGGTATGCTGTTTTGATTTTACCATGTTGTGCTGCTATAATATAACAGTGCTAGTCTATGAAGCACCCACTGGCGGAATGATCATTCATTTAACAAATATTTATTGAGTGCGGGAACCATAACAATGAACAAAGGAGAAAAAAATCGACTTGTTATGAAGCCAGTACTGAAAGTCAGGGGTGGGAATCAGGCCATGAATAAACAAAACAGTAAGTAAATGAAATCACTGCAGACAGTGGGAGACACGGGATATACAGGGTGACTGGTGGCTGGACTAGATACTAGCCCATTTGAGAGGTCAGGAAGAGCTTATTAGCAGTGGTGATTTTTAGGCTGAGACCTAAATATTAAGAGAAAGTAGTTGGCCGGACACGGTGGCTCATGTCTGTAATCCCAGCACTTTGGGAGGCCGAGGCGGGCGGATCACAAGGTCAGGAGATCGAGACCATCCTGGCTAACACGGTGAAACCCCGTCTCTACTAAAAATACAAAAAATTAGCCAGGCATGGTGGTGGGTGCCTGTAGTCCCAGCTACTCAGGAGGCTGAGGCAGGAGAATGGCATGAACCGGGGAGGCGGAGGTTGCAGTGAGCCGAGATGACACCACTGCACTCCAGCCTGGGCGACAGAGCGAGACTTCGTCTCAAAAAACAAACAAGCAAACAAACAAAACCAAAAAGAGAAAGTAGTTAAGCAAAAATTTGAGGAAAAGAACATTTCAAACAAAGCAACCAGCAAACTGGGAAGAGAAGAAAGGTAGAAAAAGAACCCAAGAGAGAAACCAACTTGAGTAACAGCAAGGAGGCAACTATGGCTGGAATACAGGAGCAACAGGAAAAGCACTAACCATTGCAGTCAGACAGGTAGATAGGGGCCAGATTAAAAGTCTGAATGTTTTTCCAAGTGAAAAGATTTTTAAGGGGGTGAATGAAATAAACTAGTTAACATTTTTAAAAAGTTTCTGTCTGCTATGTAGAGAACAGACTTAAGGAAGCCTGACGTACAGCAGTCAGAGGGCTATCAGCTATTAGTCTACAGCTGGGCTGCAATGTCACTCCTCGGCAAGATTAGGAGTCTGCATCAGAATGTACTGCTTTTTCAACAAGGAAGTCTTGCTATTAGAAAAAGAAGTCAAGTAAACTAAAGGTGTGCTTAGTGATACCATTGATTTATATTCTAGTGCCAGCCCCTTACCTCATTGCAGGCCAGAAACAAACAGGTCATTGAAACCAGCCTACAGACTACACGTTGGTGAGACCTAGTATAAATCAGAATGTTTGCTGGCAGTTACAACAACTAAGAAAAATGGATTTGGAATAGATTTTGGAGGTAAAACCAACAAAACTGGATGATGAACTGAACACAAGGTAAGACAACAAGAGAAGAATAAAGTCCGACTTGTAGGTTTTTGGCTGGAGCAACCGGGTAGCTTGTGGTAATATTTCCCGAGAGGGAAAGAATGGGGTTCAAGTTTGGTGGGCATGGCAATAGGGTTGGATAGGGAGATAAAGAATTCTGTGTTGGCCATGTTAAGGTTGAGACATCCAGACAACTCATTTGGAAATGTCAAGTAGGTAGTAGGATATGTACCTCTGAAGAGGGCAGAGCAACACTAGAGCTATAAACTGGAAGGTAGGAGGTCTGAACGAGAGGGGTCTTTAGCACATAGATGCCATTTAAAATGGACTCGATGAAATCACCCCAAAGTTAGATGGGGAGGAGTAAAAATCCTAGGACTTAACCTGGGCCTTTCTCATAGCTGGATGTGGAGCAGAAGAGAAAGAATCATCATGAGAAAGATCTATCGATGAAATGAGAGAAAAAAAAAAGCAGGAGGAATTTGTACCTTGCAAGTCATTAGAAGACCATTTAAAAAAGGAAGTTGTAATAAATTTTGTTGAATGCTGCTGAGAGGCTCCACGAGAAAGTGGCCAACGGATATGCAAGACAGAGTTTCTTAAAAAACTCAGGGAGAAAAAAACAAACAATAACAACAGCAAAAAGGCATTTTAGTACAGTCGTTAGGGATGAAAACAGTACCAGGTGAGTTTAGTTCAGACTAAAAAGTAAGAAAGTAGTGAGCAACCATGGGCAGTTCCGTATACTCTAAAGGGAAGCAGAAAAACAAGTGACTAAAGAGTGGTGTAAGAATTGACACAAAAGAATGTTTTTTTTTTTATTTTATTGTTGTAAAAGATGTGAGCTACCAGAATTCAATACATATGAGCAGATGGATATAAACCAGTAAGCAGAGCATAGCTGCAGGAAACAAATTCCTGAGAAGGTGAGATGGAATGAAATCCAGAGCAAAAAGTAGACGAGAGGTGGCCTTAGAAAGAAGCAGGATGTTTCTCCATTGAATGAAGAAGGAAAGCATTGTACACGAGTGCAGCTGCAGCTAAGTTGGTAGAATTGGTGATAGCAATAAGTTCTTTTTGATGGCATCTATTTTTTCAATGAAATATGAAAAAAGTAATAAGCTGAGAGGAAAAAATTAAATGTGTAAAAAGAAATGGCTGAGGCAAGGATAAAAACACACTTGAGATTTATGGTTATGATTATAAAGTGAAATCTGACAATTACACATGTATTTTTCTTTTTTCCGGCTACATTCATTTCTTGATTACGGCAACAAAATAGGCCAAACAGTGAGTGGAAAAACACAAACAAACAGTTTTGCCTCTGCTCTGGCACCACCACAATCAACACAGAAGATTTCTGTGACTGAATGTGTGGGGAGTTTTCCCCAAACACCAAGCAAGCAAGCAAGCAAGCAAGCAAGCAAGCAAGCAAGCAAGCAAGCAATTTTGCCACAGGCAACAGCAGGATGGCCTCCAAATCAGTCCTGACACTACCTGGAGACAGCATTAGATGCCACAAGTTGAGGGCTCAGTCCCACAAAGACTACCTGCCATTTCTGATGCCAATTACACATCCCAAGTTGTTTTACCTGTGCTTCTGACTGACCAGCTATAAATTGGGGTTCCCATGACCTCCTCTTTGGGTTTAATTTATTTGCTAGAGTGGCTCACAGAAATCAGAAAAACACTTACTTACTTACATTTACTGGTTTATTATAAAGCATTTATAAAGAATACAGATAAAGAGATGCATATGGCAAGGGATGGGAAGGGGGAGAGGCGCTTCCATGCCATCCCTGGAGCACCAGCTGCCAGGAACCTCCACATGTTCAGCTCTCTGGAAGCTCTCCAAACTCTGTGAGTCTTCATGGAGGCTTCATTACATAGGCACAACTGATTAAACTACTGGCCACTGGTGATCAACTTAACCTTCAGCCTCTCTCCCTTCCTCAGTGGTTGGGCTGAAAGTCCAACCCTCTAATTATGCTCTGGTCTATCCAATGACCAGCCTCCATCCTGAAGCTACCTGGAGACTGCCAGGCATCAGTAAACTCATTAGCATACAAAAAGACATGACTTCGAAGATTCTAAATATTTTTAGGAATTGTATGCCAGGAAACTGGTTGAAGACCAAAAACACATTTTATAGTATAGCCATTGCGATTAATAAATACTATAGCATTCCCAAGCAAGTACACTGACAGGAGAGGCAGCAATAATTAAAAACTCCCTCATGGGTGTCAAAAGTGACCAGATAGGGAACCTAGACTTCTACCCACAACTGACTGTAAGGTGGCAGTGTCCTTCCCCAACCCCCACAATTCTCCTGCATGAGTGCGTCAAATTAAGCCAGCTAAAACAAATTCACGTAAGATCCAGGGTCTTACAGCATAATACTCAACATGCCTAGGTTTCAACAGAAAATCACTTGTCATACCAAGAACTATGAAGATCTCAAACTGAATAAAAAAGACAACCAATAGATACTGTACTAGTTTCCTATTGCTACTGCAATAAATTATCATAAACTTAGTAGCTAAAACAACACACATTTATTACCTTACAGTTCTAGACGTGAGGAATTTGCCATAAATCTCACAGCGCCTAAGTATACCAATTCAAAAACAAATTGTCAGCATGGATGAGAAAAAATGACTCAACTAATATGCCATCTAAAAGGAATTCAGTTCAAATATAATGATATTGGCAGGTTGAAAGTAAAAGAATCGAAAAATCTGTGTCACACAAATCTCAATTTTAAAAAGGCAGGAGTGGCTATGTTAACATCATATAAAGTGGAATTTAGAGCAAAGAAAATTATGAAAGAGTTTTTATAAAATGAAGAAAGGGTCAATCACATTTATAACAATCCTAAATGTGTATGCAACAAAGCTACAAACAACAAAGCTACAAAATATATGAAACAAAAACTGATAGAAGTTAAAGGAGAAATAATTAAATCTACAATTATAGTTAGAAACTTCACTACTCAACAACTGATAGAACAACCAGACAGAAAATCAGCAAGGATATAGAACTCAATGATACCATCAACCAACAGAATCTATTAATAACAGGCATTTATAGAACACTCCATCCAAAAACATCAGAAAATACATTCTCTTCACATGCCCATGGAACATTTACAAAAATAGTCCATGTCCTGAGCCATGAACTTTGTCCTACCTTTGTCCAAATAAAGATTTAAAAATCAAAAAAATTGAAATCATACAGAGTATTGTTCAAGCACAATGGAATCAAACTAGAAAGTAACATGAGAAAGGTAGCAGAAAAATCTCCAAACAGAATCTAAACAACCATACTCTAAATAGTCTGTGGGTTAAAGACGAAATCTCAAGAGAAATTTAAAAACATACAAAATTTAACTGAATGAACATGAAAATGGAACAAATCAAAATGTGCGAATCACAGCAAAAGCAGTACTTAAAAGAAAAATTATAACATTAAATACATACATTAGGAAAAAGGGGAAAAAAGGTCAATTTTCTAAGCTCCTACCTCAAAAACCCAGAAAAAGAGCAAAATGAGCCCAAAATAAGCAGAAAAAAGGAAATAATAAAAAACAAAAATCAACAATATTGAAAACAGAAAAAGAATTTGAATAATGAAATAAAGAAATGGTTATTTGAAAAGATCAATAAAATTGACAAAGAAAAGGAGAAAACACAAATTACCAATATCAGGAATGAAACGGGATTATTACTACAGACCCTGCAGGCACCAAATATCTGATAAAAAGAAACTAAAAACAACTCTATGCACAAATTTGACAACTTAGATGAAATTGACCAATTCCTTGAAAGACATAAATAACTAAGACTCACACAAGAAGAAATAAATAACCCAATTAGTTTCAGACCTACTTAAAATTGAATCAAATAATAATAATAATGAAATGATTAGGCCCAAATGGTTTCACTAGTGAATTCTACCAAACATTTAAGGAGAAATACAGTTGGCCCTATGTATCTGTGGGTTCTGCATTTATGGATTCAAGCAACTACAGATTTAAATAGCAATAATAATAATACAAATAAAATATAGTATAACAAAACTACTTATACAGCACTGACTTGGTATTAGTTATTATAACTAAAGCTGATTTAAAGTATACGGGAGGATATGCCTCCATAGGTTATACTATGTAACTTTTTATAAGGGATTTGAACATCTGCATCTTCAGGGGATCCTGGAACCAGTACCCCTGAGGACACCTAGGGCCGAATGTATTACTAACACATTACAGTCTCTTCCAGAAAATAAAAGGAAAACTAACTCATTCTATAAGGCCAGGTTTACCCTAATTAAAAAAACTAGTTAAAGGTATTATAAGTAGAGAAAAGTACAAAACAGTATGTATGTATTTCTATGACAGAAATGTCCCATATCTTGACTGCATCAATGTCAATATCCTGGCTGTGATGTTACACTACAGTTCTGCAAGGTGTTACCACTAGGGGAAACTAGGAAAAGGGTACAAGGGACTTCTTTTTATTACTTCTAACAATTGCATGGGAACTTACAATTATGTCAAAATAAAAGTTTAATAAAAATCTTGAAGAACAGAGCTAGTAACCATTACAATAGCAAAGCATTAATGAATTCTAATGTTACATGTGCTACTTTAAGAAAGCAAATATTAACAGTAATTTATTATATTTTAAAGAACCATTTAAAATACCAATTTGGTTGTAGCTGAAGTTCTAATCCAAATTGCAATACAAATGTTACAGAGTTGCTATAATTTACTAGGGAAAATGACAGCTGCTCTCAGAGTATACACTAACAAGTTATCATGCTTCACAAATATGTCACTTTTTTTAATGATGTAAGCCTGGTGGCTTTAATTACACAAAAAGATTCATTGGAAGGACTTGAAGTACTAGAGTGGTGAGATTATCCAAACAGAAAGTTAGTTGTTTTTTGTTGTTGTTGTTGTTGTTGTTTTTCCTTTTTTCTTGAGACGATGTCTCTTGCTCTGTCACCCAGACTGGAGTACAGTGGCATGATCTCGGTTCACTGCAACTTCTGCCTCCCGGGTTCAAGCAATTCTCCAGCCTCACCCTCCGGAGTGGCTGGGATTACAGGCGCCCACCACCACGCCCAGCTAAATTTTGTATTTTTGGTAGAGACGGGGTTTCACCATGTTGGCCAGGCTGGTCTTGAACTCCTGGCCTCAAGTGATCTGCCTGCCTTGGCCTCCCAAAGTGCTGAGATTACAGGCATGAGCCACAGCACCCAGCCCAGAAAGTTAGTTTCTATTCCCTCCCACTCCATAAACAACATACCTCATTTTATTGCACTTTGCAGATATACATTTTTTACAAATTGAAGGTTTGTGGCAACCTTGCATCCAGCAAGTCTATTGGCACCATTTTTCTAACAGCATGTGCTCACTTCGTTAGCATTTCTTAGCAATAAAGTATTTTTAATTAAGGTAGTACTTTTTTTAGACATAATGCTACTGCACACTATATAGTACGAACACAACTTTCAAAAGCACTAGGAAACCAAAAAAAAAAAAAAAAAGTGTGTTTCACTTTATGGCAATATTTGCTTCTTCATAGTGGTCTGAAACCGAATCTGCACTAACTCTGAGGTATGCCTGTACACAGGTTAGTATCTATAACTAACTTAAGGTCTATTGACATTATTTGATCTACCTCTTACCTATCAATAGATCAAACACCTTAAATACTACATCTTTCCATACAGAGTCTAGTTGTTTTAGGTTTCAAATGAATGTTCATCAACCCTAGTGACTAGAGAGCAAAGACTGAAGAAGATCGTTTATGATATTCCCCATTATCTGCAGTTTCCCTTTCTGTGGTTTCAGTTACCCCCGGTCAACCACAGTCTGAAAATAGGTGAATACAGTACAATTAGATATTGTGAGACACAGAGAGAGACCACATTGACATAACTCTCATTACAGTTCATCATTATAACTGTTCTATTTTATTATTGGTATGGTTGTTAATCTCTTACTGTGCCTAATTTATGAATTAAACTTTATTACAGGTATGTACATATAGGAAAAACCATAGTCTGTACAGGGTTCAGTACTATCTGTGGTTTCAGGTATCCACTGGGGGTCTTGGAACGTATCCCCACAGATAAGGGAAGGTTACTATGCAAAGTTCAAAGAATCAATTTATTACCAAGTTAATCCATTTTATTATAATAATATGATGATGAGTCTTACTGGCAATATTAGGTAACTTGTCTTTCAAAAGGAATAATCTTTAATCTAAAAAAGAACATTATATTAACAGACTAGATTTAAGCCCTGGAGTTTATATTTAGGGGCCACTCTAATTTTATTTTTGTTTTAGGCCATGCCATGTCCTTCCAAATGAACAAACAGGTAAAAAGTCTGATTCTGCACATATAAGAGCACTCATTGATCCTGGAGCCAAACTGCTTGAATTCAAATTCCTGTAATTTCCCTTGATGGTTCTGTGAACTTAGAAGTAACTTAACCTCTCCATCTGTAAAAATGAGTACAATAACAATATCTACTTCACAGCTTCATTGTGAGGATTCAGCGCCCTTGAAATAGCACCTGGATCAAAGGAGGATTCAGGCGGTGTCAGCTATTATTATTGTCACTGTATTTTATGTAACGCTAAGTTGTTTGCTTGCTGCAAGAATCTAAACATTCAGTATGAACTATGAAACAAATACCTGCTGCTAATAAAAGAAAAAAGAAAGAAACTAGCTTAGCTGTTCCTTCACGGTGCAAACAACACTTGAAAATTGAAATTAATCTCTTACGTCAGATATAATCTTTTTTAAAAGGTGTGAGTTTTACATTCTTCTCCTAAATTGTCTTCATATTTTAAAAATTTCAAAAAAGTCTTTCAACCACGTTTAATATAAAACTTTAAATTTTCCTGCTCATGTCCAAAATTATACAAGATTAAACTATTCGTATAATTTTCTTAGTCAAGAAATTAACTTTTTAACATATATTTAAAATGAGTATTCACATTGCTTTGTTTCAGCAGTAACGCCTTTTAACTTCCTTTGCTGTAATACTAAAGGCAATCTTTTAAAATCAGAAATTCATCTTATTATAAAAATAACTTCCCCTAATAAAATTCATATAGATAAATATACAACTTTTCTTAATAAGTAAGGTAAGATTTATTTCTGCTTGTAGTTTATTTTCTAGGATGCAGTCTGTATAATTAGACTTTCTAATAACTGATAAGTAATTCTTTAAGTTCAGATTAACAGCATGAGAAAAATAATCATATAGTCTGACAGTAAAACATGTATTACACATGGTATGCAATATGCCAGGTTATAGTATAGCTAACGTGCAAAACAGCAAACTAACAGAACAATGGCCAAAAGAAAAAAACAAAAATAAGCCTGTAATTCCAGCACTTACGGAGGCTGAGGTGGGTGGATCACCTGAGGTCAGGAGTTCGAGACTAGCCTGACCAACATAGTGAAACCCCATCTCTACTAAAAATACAAAATTAGCTGAGCGTGGTGGCACATGCCTGTAATCCCAGCTACTTGGGAGACTGAGAGGCAGGAGAATCGCTTGAACCCAGGAGGTGGAGGTTGCAGTGAGCCGAGACTGCACCATTGTACTCCAGCCTGGGCAACAAGAGTGAAACTCCGTCTCAAAAAAAAAAAAAAGCAAAAATAAGGCCTCGGTTTGACATCTGGATGTCTGATGTGACAGCTGCAGGCAGCTTCATCTTTCCAGAATTGGAATGTTCTCAATCATAAGAGCCATCTGAGAAATCTGTTGATAAAAACTCAGTAAACCTCATCCATCTTACCAATTAAAACATTTTTAAAATGCACTTATGTTTTAAGAAATGTATAGGACTATATGCAATTCAAAACTATTTTTAGGAAGCTAAAAATTTATTAAAACTATTGGCATAAAATGTCAAATAATTAATGGTTAATGAGTATTTATATGACCTGGAAAATATGCTGCCCCCAATTATCAGTAATCGGACCTTAGACATATTTATTTGATTGATCATTTTATGTATTCTTTTGAGTCCTGGGGATAAAGAAGTAAACAAGACAGACAAAAGTCCAAACCCTTATGATGCTTTCATTCTACTGGGACAAATAACAACAACACAATGCAATGCCAGATACCAATAAATCCATGAAGGAAATCAAATAGGCTGATGGCACCAGGGACAAGAAGCCGTCTTTGAGGAGCAGACGTTTGAACTAGAGATTTAACTGATGAACTGGGGAAGTGTTCCAGTTTCAGTAAATAGCTTATGTTAGCCCAGACACAGAATAAGGTTTCATCTGCTTGAGGGGCAGCAAACAGCCAGCTGTAGCTGAAGCAAAGAGACCAAGAGAGAATACAGTAGAAGACAAGATCAGATAAATGCAAGGCAGGAGCCAGATCAGGACAGGCCACTGTTAAAGAATCTGAATTTTATTCAGAGGCTGTGGGAATATACTAAAGAATTTTCTGATTATAGAGCTGATTTATGCTTTAGTAAGACCATTCTAGCTGCAGTGAAGAGAACTGAGCGAAGTTTAAGTAGTGGCAGAGAGATCCATTATGAGGCTACTGCTGTCGTGAAACAGAGGATGAAGGTGTGGCCCAGGGCTAAAGCAGTGAGGATGGTAAGAAACGGTCAGATTGGGAATTTGAAAGTACGGTAGACCTGAATTACTGATAGGTTGGATACAAAGTGTGAGGCAAAGAAAGGAGTCCCGGCCGGGCACGGTGGCTCACACCTGTAATCCCGGCACTTTGGGAGGCCAAGGCAGCGGATCACGAGGTCAGGAGATCGAGACCATCCTGGCCAAAGTGGTGAAAGTCCATCTATACTAAAAATACAAAAATTAGCTGGGCGTGGTGGCGCCTGCCTATAGTCCCAGCTACTTGGCAGGCTGAGGCAGGAGAATCGCTTAAACCCGGGAGGCGGAGGTTGCAGTGAGCCAAGATAGCGCCACTGCACTCCAACCTGGCGACAGAGTGAGACTCCGTCGCAAAAAAAAAAAATAAATAAAAATAAGGAAAGAGTTCCAAATTTTGGTTTCAGCAAAATCTAGTAGTCAAAGCTAGGTGGTCAGGGTACAGAGCATTTAAGTCCTCACTGGTTATGCTAAAGATGTTGGTCTTATCTGAAGGGCAGCAGGAGGCAGTTAGCAGGAAAAAAAAAAAAAAAAAGCAAAGGATTTCGGATACATTTTGCTGACTTACTAAGCCAGTCTCAGCAAGAACACACCAGACACCTCAATATTGCCGGTGGCCTGAGCCACAGCTGATTCCTTATAGAGAGACTGGGGGCTACCCATCAAATCATAGATTTGGATTTCCACAGAAGTGCAATGAATCCAGGTTAAAGCTAATTTATTCTTGAGACACCTGAATGCAAACATATCCTCCTTCCACATCCCCTTAACCCTAAATACACTAGGAAAACACTAGGATCAACCATCTTAGCAATGCTGTGACCATCTAAACTCACTCACTTTACATCCCCATCATCCTTGGTCCTGACAACGACAAACATTCCTTTGGTTATCTATCCTTTTCCAAACTCTCAGGCTCAATCTGCTCTTACCTCTTTCTTTGATTCAATTTTCCACTGCTCCCTCTATCCTTTCCACTCTGCCCAGAGAATCTCCTTCACATAATTAACAAAGACCCTACTTTCTAGCCCTTTTCAACAAACATTCCCTTTGTCAACCACCTTTAACTTAAATGTGGCTCTCCCATAATACCACATGCAGCGCAGCCTTTTTAAAAAAGAAAGCTCCTCATTTTCCAAAGCTTCCTTACTTCAAAGTCAAGAACAGAGGTATCTACCATGTCCATGGATGCTAAGACTGAATGTGATGAAGCACACTTCCAACAGAATTGATTAAATGACTCTAAATTCACAGGGAAGAATAAAGACTGAAAACAACCTACCTAAATGTGAAACACTAGGGAATTCGCTCAAAAAACCAAAATATACTCATAGAAGGGTACTGTGAAGTTGTTATAAACTCAGGTTGTAGAAAAGTACTTAATGTCTTTGGGAACATTTATGTAACTAAATTACAAAAATATGTACTATTAAGCAGTTTATAACACATTAGGCTGATTTGATTAAAGAGAAATAAGACAGTGGGATGCTCACAGAAGAAAAGGTTATAAATAAAGTACACCAAAATGTTATCTCTAAGTAGCAAAATTACAAATGATTTTTCTTTTTCATCCTTTTCCTGTTTCTCTCAATTTCCAAATGAATGTATTTCTTTTACAATCAGAAAGAAAAGGCCAAAAGTATGTTACTTTAAAAAATTTATAATCAAAACACACAAAAACTGCTCTTCAATAACATTTACATAGGCTGTTTTTGACTTTTCATACCCCTATTTAAAACAAAAAATGAACAAACGAAAAATCTAAATACCTCCAAGTCCTTCAGTTTATTGACCAGAACTTCAGTCATTAGCAGAAAAACAAAAGAAAGCCCTCAAGATTTCTTCTAAGTCTACCATTCACTTACACAATAATTCAGCAAAGAGGATGATGAGTCTCTCTGAGTAAGTCTTCTCATTTAAATATCCAAGTGTGCTATCCAAAACCAATGGCCATGTGCTAGGGTCCCTTAATTGCAAAATTAAGGGTACACTGTTGCTTTGTATAGCTTTATTAAAAAACATGCATTCTTATGTATAAGATGGTATTAGTCACATATTTGTAAATGTTCTATAAAAAGAGACTGTCAGGCAGACAGGTCACCTGAGGTCAGGAGTTCGAGATCAGCCTGGCCAGCATGGTGAAACCCCGTCTCTACTAAAAATACAAAAATTAGCCAGGCGTGGCGGCACATGCCTGTAGTCCCAGCTACTCGGGAGGCTGAGGCAGAAGAATCGCTTGAACCCGGGAGACGGAGGTTGCAGTGAGCTGAGATCGTTCCACTGAACTCTAGCCTGGGCAACAGAGCAAAACTCCATCTCAAAAAAAAAAAAAAAAAAAACCAAAAAAGAGATTGTCACTTTATTAATTGCCTTTAAGGAAAACACATAAATACTTGTACACAGTTTAGACTAATGCACAAAAGTAATAACATAAAACGATGAGATACTGGAAAGACATTTGCAGCAAGTAAATTCCTAAAGAAAAAATATTTAAGAAGGAAAATTTCACTCTCAAGGTAAGTAAGGGTACTACAATTGCATCTGGCATAAAAATAAAGAATGACATATTACTCAGAATGATCTCTAATAACTCTAAGGCATTCCTTTCAAAAGAAACCCTTTTAAAAAAATTAATGTTTAATCTTTTAAATTTAGCTCTGGAAATAATTCTTTCACCATAATTCCACTGGAAAGAATTACTTATTAGAGAACCTGTATGGGCAGAAAAACATTTTGGAATACATTTCACCTAAGTGTTATTTCACTGCATTATATAGCATGAATGTAGAAACAGAACTGGTTTATATTCCAACAAAATTAACCATATTACTAGACTTTTCCTTTTAAATCACATCTGAAAAGCTGTAGATCATTTCCAAAAAAGTAGATATTCTTGAAAAGAACAATTAACTCTAAATGACTCTAGAGATATTCTTGAAAAGAACAAATGACTCTAAATCAGTATTATGACCAAGAATTTCGTATATTCCTATCTAAGCAAAGTACAGTGTTAGATGGCTTTAAAGTCAATTTTAGTAGATGTGATATCTGTCCTCCAGGAATCTTGTGTCTCCACAAGTGATTGTTCCAAAGCTCTTTCCCAAACTAACAACATCCAATATAATCTCCCCTGAAATTCATTACAAATTAGGATATAGTTTCTTGTTAATAACTTATATTAAATTTTGCCTTTTAAAAAAGTGAAAGTAGATCTAAAAGCGTTGTTGCATTAAATGTATCTAACAAATGGACAAAGCGGGTGTTGAGAGTTGGAGAGAAGGAAACGTCAGAGGGAGGACATTTAGATATACAAAGAGTCTTGCTCAGCATTTATAACCTACCCCTGTTACTATGCACTGTATTTCTCCTTTGGTCAGAGACCACTCTAAAGCTGCTATTGTTGCCCAGGGCTTTGTTAAGAGACTGAAAGGCTGTAGAATCTGAGCAGGCCCGAGGCTATGTATTTTAATTTCACTACTTAAAATTATATATTTATACTTAAATTTCTTATCTACACTAATTTAAGTAGGTTTATTACTCTAGTGTATGTTACTGTTATCCAGCAACTAAATACACTAATCTTTGATTGAGAAAAGTCATATTACTCTGAGCAATAATTATATTGATTTTAGCACAGTGCAAAGTTGTTTTTCTATGCAGAGTAATTAAGCAAAATTCCATAGATTTTCAAAGCTTTCTGTACATAAACGTTTTCCCTTCGCCTCAGTATTTTTGCTAAATTTTCACACCATGGACTCTAAACTTAAACAAGAACAAAATATTTATTTTCTTCGACCATGGGCAAATTTAAAAGGTAGTTAAAAGTCATTTACTTTCACATAACCTAAAACAATACTGTTAGCACTGCAGTGACAGAGGCTCATTACGAAGGTCAGTTAAGTAAAAGAGGGCAAAGGCAGCAGGACTCAGATGCTAAGAATAAAAACAAAAATAGATCCAATGCAGCATTTTGAGAATGCAGATCAATGAAAACACTTAGAGCACTATTTTCTATATTGTTATGAGAGACCTTTTCCATTCTAGCATTTCCTCTTTGCTGGTTCTTGGCATTTGCTTTAATAAAACTAATATTTAAGCCACAAATTTGCATTATCTGAAGTAAAAAGATAATAAACGCCTCAGTTAAAAATAACTTAGCTATCATGGTAAAAGTGAAAACATATGATTAAAGTATAAACGGGGTGGCAAGGGAGAGGCAGCGGCATATTTTATTTGACTATCGATCCAAGAAATAAGGCAGCAGGCAGCAGGTTGTCTTTCCAATCAAAACTACTTTTATAGTAATATAAATGCCCTTGCTTGCTCAACAGTAAAGGTCTTAAACAACTGAGAGGATGAGATACAGAAAAATTATGATATAAACCATAAAAATGACTAAAATACGAGTGAAAGATGTTATGATTTAATGCTATCATTCTAAGTAGACCAACAATCTTACTGCTTATGCTTACGACAGCATAGCAATTAATGAGACAGATATCAAATCAATAATAAAGTAGTAGATAATGGCAGATATATTTGCTTAGCTTCATCAGTGAAAAGAAAAATTCAGCATAACAAGATTTTATAAAATCAAGTAAGGAGTTACACAGATATAATCATTCGGTAGCTCTCTGTCTTCTTACCTGTAAGGACAGCTTTTGCTGAAGGATCTGCCAGGTCCAGGGCTGATTTCCCATCAGTGTTCCGAATGTTTGGGTCAGCTCCGTGCTGCAGCAGCACTGTGCAGGGAAAGCAGAAACAGTATCTTACCTCGGGGATACAGAGATTATTTACTGGTAAGTGTCGTCTCGGCATGGTGTAGGCATAAACATACATTGCACAAATTTTTTCTCTTTCAAGAAAAAAAAAGAAAAAAAGCAAAAAAGCACTGCAGCAAAGGAGCCTCTCTAGAGTGAAATGAAGTTGGCAACTTATGGTACAATATTATCACATGACTTAACATCATAAACATGAAACTAGAAAAATCTTGCAATGTAGAGTTTTGGTTTGCCTCCTTCAAGCAGCAGTATGGGAAGCTATGTGCTCGCTGGCTCACACTGTGAAATATGCTAACTGTGAACCTGCCCTCTCTTTACTACCACTGTGGCTGCTTGTTGCTGTCGCTGCTTTACTGCTGAATTTCCAAATGCCTCCTCTCCTCAGAATAGTTATAATACTGTGCAAGCCTTTTAGTGGCTCACCACTTGCACATGAAACTCACCATAACATACTGGATGGCTTCCAAGAAGTTTAACAGACATAGTAATGTGTGTAACCCTGGTCCCCTGGCGTGGAGCTGCAAAAAGGAACTGCCTCTTATACTCATTCTTTCCATCAAAAATGTTTAGAAACAGAAACTCAATCACTATAATATATCCTAAGGCACGAATGTAATGCCTGCCATATTGGGTAAAAAGTAGCTACTGGGAATTCTTAAATATGGAGGTTCCTACAAAAGAAAAAATCACTGTTTAAGTAAAATCCAGATATATTAATCCAAAGCATTTATCAGCCACATCTGGTATGTGGTGTGTATACGTAGGGAGGGTGGAGAGGGCAGGAGAGGAGGAGACTGTTGCTGTAATACTACCCAAACAATGATTAAATCAATGAATGTATTAAAAAGTTGTTCCAGTAAGTAAAATTCAATTGTAAGTTATGAGGCACTACCGTTGATGAGTCCCAAATTTTCATTCATTCATGACAGTTCCATGCTAAAGCACATACATTCTTTAGCAATATTTGGAAGGTAATACTCACACATTACCAAGCCGTAAGTCCTTCTGTTTACAAAGCTCTTCCTTTTCCTTTAATGTATTAGCCATAAAATCAATGGCTTTGTTATAATGGACAAACAACAGCCTTATCCAGAACTAGGACACAGCTGCCAGGAAGGTGAGCCTGTACATCTCATACATTACATTTTGGGGAGTTTCAGACTTGGGACAATAAAAACCAGCTATGGCTTGAGAAGATGCAGTGAGATCTTACAAAGCCTTTCTGTGTTATTTCCTATGTGAATGCAAACAATGAACATTATTGTTTTCCAGATGTTTATAAACTGATTCAAGAGTCAGTAGAATAAAATGGCGAGTGCCACAATATCAAAGTGTAGTTACTCTTTCATCATAATGGGTACAGCTATTGTAACAACATGTTTTTTTAATACCAGGAAGAAATTCTAACGTGAAGATTTGGCTTATAAAAGGTCTTTATCATAAAGCAGACTCAAGTATCAAATGCAAGCTGATAACTATCTCTAACTTTATTTAGTTGCTGAGTGATCACATGCAAAGGGGAAGAAAACAGAAGAAATAATAGCTACCATGAAAAGCAGAGTTTAACTGCATACTTCAGGAACTGCAGAACCTGCTTTAAACAAGAAGTAAATGAATATTTTTATCTGAGTTTGACAGTTAAATGATGGGAGCTTTCATTTTGTAGTTTTTAATGAGTGCTAGAAGTAAAATAGTGAAAGTCTGACTGTTTCTCCAAAGTCACCTAAAACCTCAATCCTTCTTGTTTTAACCCGTATTTTAACTACTATATGTTGCCCATTTTGCAATAGAAATGTGCCATTACAGTTTAGTTGTAGTTTTGTTGTACTTTAGGTGACATTAAAAGAAGTAAACATTTACTTGAAATAGATGTTTTCTAAATATGTTTGGGCCATGCCTACCTCTTTAATTAGACCTGAACACAGACACATCTACAGCAAAGTAATGTAGCAACAGGAAAGAAGCAGCTGAACTTTCTAAACCAGATGCTGATAACAAAATTCACATTAGAAAATATTTAACCATATTTCATTCATCACATATGAATTAAAAATTAAAAACTCAGTAAAGTTAAGACTTTTAGGAGAAGGTATCTAACCCCTCATTAGATCAGCAGGGGTCTAAACTTATCCAGCTTTCATACAAGATTACAAGATTGCCAGGAGGACTGAATTAGAACATAAAGTGACAAGCAAAGGTGCTGGTCAGGGAGCATGACAATCCCCATCAGCTCACCATAATATTTAAAGCACATGTTAAAATGTGTACTCTCAACTCTACCAGTGACGACTAATTCCATGCTTTGCTCTAGGGCAGGGGTCAGCTAACTCTTTCTGTAGTAGGCCTGATAGTAAATATTTTAGTCTTTACGGACTATTTGGTCTCTGTCTCAACTGTAGCTGACAATAACACAAGTTTGAACTGCATCAGTCCACATATATGCAGATTTTTTTCAGTAAAAGTTACACTGAGTGTGCCTGTCTCTGCCACCCCTGAGACAGCAAGAACAACCACTCCTCACCCTCCTTCTCAGCCCACTCAATGGGAAGACGATGAGGATGAAGATCTTTATGGAGATCCACTTCCACTTAATGAATAGTAAATACATTTTATCTTCCTTAAAAATGTTTTCTTTTCTCTAGCTTGCTTTACTATAAGAATACAATATATAATACATATAACATACAAAATAAGTGTTGACTGTTTATGTTATCGAAAAGGCTTCTGGTCAATAGTAGGCTATTAATTTTGTGGGAGAAAGTTACATTCGAATTTTAAACTGCACGTTGTTCAACGGTCCTAACCCCTGCATTGTTCAAGGGTCCTCATCCCTCCCTCGACTCTACCATTATAGTGTGAAAGCAGCCACAGATAATATTTAAATGAATGAGCATGGCTGCATTCCAATAAAATCTTACTTAAGGACTTTGAAACTTAAATTTTATAAAATTTATAAAATATTCTTCTTCTGATTTTTTAAAAAACCATTAAAAATATATAAACAATTCTTAGCTTGCAAGCCATACGAAAACAAGAGATAGGCTGGGTTTGGCCTACGGACCATTTTGCTGACCCCTGACCCTGGGCAGTGCTATATAAATGTGGTCTGTGCTATACAAAGCATATTATACAAAGTTCCATTCCCAGGTCTATGCTATACAAAGCATATTATATAAAATTCGATTCCCAGAACTGTTTACAATCCATCTACATTGAGATAAGAACTGAAACTGAAGGTATTTAGAACTATGTCTGTTGTTTCAAAATTACCTTCTCCAGTACTTCTTTTTATTTATATTTTACAAAATTATTGATCTGTCATGCATTGGGGAAAAAAGAAAACCCAGTTCTCTACCATAGACAATTTGAGAAGCACTGAGCCAGGGCACACAAGAAATTCTCTGGGCCTCAGTTCTCATGACTTTTAAAATAAAGGGGCTAAACTTGATAAGGTGATCTCTACATATTTTAGGAGCGGTCTCAAATCTCTGATAATGCTTTTAAAGTTATAGCCAAAGACCTGAAGCATTACGATCTAAAATATTCAAAAAATAAAAATAAAAAACAGCTGCTTCAAATAGAATCTCTTCTTCTCCCACCCTCTGAATCAAAATGAAAAAAATAATAACAGAAAGGTTTTCATTTATCTTAACTCTTTAAAAAGAACAAACAAAACTAAAAGTTGAGACCAGGAGCACTGAAGGTTATCAGACACATTCTTAAATGTCCCAAACTACAATATTCCCCAAGCAATTTCTCAAATAGAATTTCATCCTAAAGTGCCTTCAAATCTGATCCTTCACACTGTTCTCTATGGGGATTTATGTGGGACTATTTTCTAATACCAGAAGAATGGCACATACATGAGGCAAAGGTAACAATAGTTTTCAAGAATGCCACACTGTACTCAAAGTGGTGTCATCTAAGACTCAATTCTGGATGCTTCAAAATTTGTTTTCAACATTCTGAGCCATTAAAAAGAAAAATAAAATGTGACTATTAACACAAAATAAAATTAGAAATTTATCTTGTAAAATCAATACGCATTGATAGCACACTAATATAAAACAGATTTTTCTGAAAAAGTACCACATTGCTTGATGATACAGTGTCATATTATTTTTAAAAAGTAGCACAAATACCTGAAGCAAAGTTCCCAAAATACACCAACAATGTACAAAGTAAGGTTTGAAAGAAAAAGAAGGAAACTAAAATCTGAGTAACATTCAGTACATAAATTCAAGGGTACTATGGCCATTCACAAAGCCCCCTATACTATCTTTAACCACTGGGACATTATTAAACCTCAAATTCCAGAGAGTAAGTGATTTCTAATTGTTTTACTAATGCGTCTCAGCTCTATTCATCTCCTTTCGAGGTAAGACGGGCGGAGAAAATGTAGCAGCTGGCATAACAAGACAGTTAAAATTAAGGTAGGGTCACAAAATTCAAACACCATTTTCAAATGAGCTATGTCAAGAAGGACACACGATTTTCCCATTTCTGGTACAGGCATTCAGCCACAGGGAGCCAAATTCAGCAGGTATTACTTTAGCTATGTTGTTTCATTTCATCCTTTAAAACTATTCAAGTTAAGCATTTGCATAATTATTGCAAATAAAAACAAAATATTTCTACATTCATACAAAGACTCATTCTGTTAAATTCCTAGAAAATTACAAAGTGCTATTATAATAAATTGTGTTTAACTGCAGGCATTATTAACTAATTTTAAAAGACACAAGACATAGAAACAATGTGAATTTTCCAAGCTAAAAATGTAGCAAGCTTTTTAGAGTAAATTATCAGAAGATGTTTTAGGAAGTTTTTACTTTAAAATTATAAGCATCTAATGCTTTAAGAATAAAGAGATATACATTTATTAGACTGAGTTTCAAAAATAGGATTACATAAAGGACCAAGTTCGTTGAATTTTTTAAGCAAAGAAAATTTTTAATTTTATAGAAAAATATCAAAGGACTAAACTTTCACTACAGTACAGCCTTCAATGTATAAGATTCTTTACCAATACACATGAGCTTTAAGAGACAAACTATTTTTATAAACTGAAACACGATAGATCCTTGCGTTTATGCACTATTTCTTCTACACAAACATGTATATTAAAATGGTATAATATTATATAATGGCATAAACTATGCCATTATATTATACAGTATACATTATATCATATATAGTATGCTACAGTATATATTATACCGTAATAATACAGTATATATATATTATAGATTTTTTAAAAACTCTTTTATCTTTTCATCCAAAATACACATTACTTATTATAGCATAAAAGTAGTCAAGCTAATGTATTTTATTTTTCAAATTATCTGAAGTTGATTTACCACTAACAGTAACTATGAAAATTCAAGGCCGGGCGCAGTAGCTCATGTCTGTAATCTCAGCACTTTGGAAGGCTGAGGTGAGCATATCACGAAGTCAGGAGATCAAGACCACCCTGGCTAACAAGGTGAAACCCCATCTCTATTAAAAATACAAAAAATTAGCCAGGCGTGGTGGCGGGCGCCTGTAGTCCCAGCTACTCGGGAGGCTGAGGCAGGAGAATGGCGTGAACCCGGGAGGTGGAGCTTGCAGTGAGCTGAGATTGTGCCACTGCACTCCAGCCTGGCCGACAGAGCGAGACTCCACTTCAAAAAGAAAAAAAAGAAAAAAAGAAAATTCAAGTAACCAGTGCTATCCCTATATAGGATGGCTTACTGAATTTAAATTAGAATTCAAATGGCACAATTTTCTGTTTTCAGTAACGGCAGAGTAGCTTATTTAAATCTACCCTTAGGCTGTAAACAATGAACAGAACTAGATTTAAAACAAAAACAAAAACACAACTTCTAAAATCATCTATGAGCTAACAAGACAGTTAAAGAATTACCAGCTGAAAACTGAAGAGCAAAGGAAATCTAGAGGGTAAACGTGTATGGAAGCTGTCATTGTTCTGAAGGCAATTACTGATCAAGAAAAATAAAATCTGTCATTTCAATGTCTCATGGAATCAGGGGAAGAGCAATAAAAGCCCACAGGCCCCCAAAAGTAAGGACTATTACGAGACTGTTCCCCACACAACAAGGGTGATACCTCAGGATGAGGATAAAATAGATGTGAACTGGTCCTAGTACAGAATTACAGCTCTGGTTGGAAACTTTGGGTGTCTACGATATCTAAAGCCTAGAATTTGATTTAAGGTGGCCCCAGATTGGCAGTAACTCCTATAAATAAACAGTTGGTAAAATGTCCAGTGCACAGCCAAGATAATGAGGCACATAAATAATCTAAAATGCAAAACCTGCAACGAGCAGAAATAGACAACTCAAGAACAGACCCATAAAAACTTCAGATATCAGAGGTACAAGACATGTATTACAAAAAGAACCATGCTTATTGTGTTTAATAAAATAAAATACAAGCTGAAAGATCTAAAAAAGATGAAACTATAAAAAATAATAGGGCAAATGTATAAAAGAATTAAACAGAACTTTTAGAAATAAAAATATAACGAAAAAATTTTAAATAAAACTTTAGTTTCCAGCCATAATGGAGTAACTGGTATCAGACTAGCTTTCCCTCTCTGACATAACCGATTATGAAATTGGAGAAAATAGATGAAGCAACTAACTGCAGGCAGTAGCCAGCTGCAGTTGTAAACAGTGATCCCTGAAAGAAGAGAAACTCACAAGATGGGTACCATAATCACCCAACTCTCTGCCTAACACAATTTGCCAACCACATAAACACAACAAGAGTCAAAGCAGAACATGGTGGTTACACTGAACTGAGAAGACAGAAATCCAAACTCAAGGCAGAAGAATTGGCTGGAGTCTGCAGGATGGGAAACTAGAGAAGAAGGATCTGTGCAGAGAGCAGGCCCCAGATGTCTGTGAAGGAGTCCCCAGGGATCACATGGCTGGGCTGGGCTGTACCTGTGCAGGACAAAACCCCTGAGGCTTATTTGGCAATAGCTGCTAGGGACTGAGAGCACAACAAAGTGAGTAGAGGTCGCAAGGTGCTAGAGAAAGAGCAGTGCTGAAAGAAATTGCAATTCTAGCCTTGAGAAAGTAAAGAGAACCTAAAAAAAAAAATCGCCTTGTTAACACACCTGACGCACCTTAGCATCAACGTTAGTTATGAATAAGCAGCATGACCTAGAACAGAGAGCCAGGATCTACAAAGTCAAAACTATTTTTATGATAACATTAAGATATTATTCCTTTGTTTCATTATATTAACATTTGCACTGATGATGCAACAGAGGAAAAAACTACTGATAACACAAGCTGAGCATGGTGTCTCATGCCTATATTCCCAGCACTTTGGGAGGCTGAGGTGGAAGAATTGCTTAAGCCTAGGAGTTTAAGACCAGCCTGGGCAACATAGGGAGACCTGGACTTTTCAAAAAGTAAAAAAATGAGCCAGGCGTGATGGCACGCACCTGTGGTCCCAGCTATTCGTGGGGCTCAGGTGGGAGGATCGCTTGAGCCTCAGGAGGTGAAGGCTGCAGTGAGCCATGATCGCACCACTGCACTCCAACTTGAATGACAATGTGAAACCCTGTCTTAAAACTAAAATAACACAAATCAAGGCGGTGTCATCAACATCTATTAGTGATTATTACATTCTTCACTATAAAACATATATGCAGTCAAAAAAAAGGAGTGTTTCACATTAGAATGCCCCTGACAAAGCAGTAAAATTACTGCATTTTATTAAATATTGACCATTAGATTTCTTTAAAATATTCTCTGTGAAGAATTAGAAAGTACTTATAAAGGGCTCCCAAATTCATAGACTTTTCTGCTGACATGGATATAAAATAACAAATGTAATTATTTTATATAGTATAATACAACATGTTAACAAGTTAGGCCTCACTTAGGAAACGAGTATTTTTGATACGACAAATGGAAATCATTACAAAATCATACATAGGTACATAGGCAAAGATGCTTTGCAAGTGTAAGACGACCAGTGGATTGTGATGTTACAGAGTGCAAAAGGTTTTCTGACATGACATGGTTTCAGATTCCACATTGCAGCTAACCACTAAGAAACTACCATTTGTCCAGTTTGCATGTGGAATCAAAGAAGAATATCCACAATTATTGGAAAGGTTATTGATATACTCTTCCCTTTTCTAACTATAAATGTAGATCTTCTTCAGATATTTCAACCCCAAAAAGCCTATCAGAAAAGACTGCATACACAAGCAGAAAAGAGAATCCTGCTGTCTTCAATTAAGTCAAATATGAATAACATTTGCATAAATGTAAAATGATTCCACTCTTAGGATTATTTTTTGTTTTGGAAAACAATTTTTCAAAAAATGTTACTCATGCTAACATGCAGTAAGCTTGCTATTTGCTAAATGAAATAATTTTTTAAACTTCTTTTTTTAATATCTAATACAATATGCATGACCCCCATAAAAGCTCTGTGGAACGCTCAATAATTTTTAAGAATGCAAAAAGAGACTAAACATTTGAGAACTTGTCCCCTAGAATAAGCCCTAGTCTAGACACATAATACTAATAAAGCCCAAAACCGAGGCAAAACAAGGTCTGCAGAAGAGACAATCTTAAAGAAACATGGGAAACACCTTGGGCTTTCCACAGATCTGCACTAACAAAGCTTAAAACCAAACCTCCATAAGTTAAGGGTGATTTTAAACCAGCAATAAGGTGATCTGCTAAAACAAGAATAAAAATTCTTCAGAGGAAGATAATAAACATCACAGAGTGACTACCATGTCCACTACTGAATAAAAAATTATTAAACATATAGAGAGAAAGAAAAATGTGATCTGGTCAAGAAAAAACACTAAAAATCATACCCAGCATATCCCAGATGTGTTAGGGTTAGTTAGCAAAGACCTCAAAGCATCAATTATAAAAAATTTCAAAGACTTAAAGAAAATAAATTCCAAGAATTAAAGGAAAGTATGGTCTTAAGAAGTGAAACATAGACATACTCTGATAATCAAGTGGGAAACTGTGGAACTAAAAAGTTGAAGGACTCACACTACCTAATTTCAAGATTTATCATAAAGCTCTAGTAATCAAGACAGTGCAGTACTAGAATAAGAATACATATAGATATAATAGGACTTCTGCAATTATTGGAGTTGCAAGTTAAACTAGCTACTTTGTGTTATGAAGCATAACTTCCAATTGAAAAACTATGTTATTCAGACTTGGGTATGTAAACCAACAGAACAGAAGACAGCTCATAAATAAAGCAACATATAGGGAGTCAACTGACTTTTCAACAAAGGAAGCACAGTAATTCAACGGTGGAAAAATAGCCTATTCAACAAATCATGCTGAAACAACGGATTCTCTATATAGAAAAGAAAAAAAAAAAACACAAAATAACTCTTACCGCACACCACACAAACACATTAACTCAAACTGGACTACAGACTTGACATAAAAGACTTAACATAAAAAAGACTTAATAAAATCTGTTAAAGAAAACATGAAAGAAAAATCTTCATGACCTCGGGATGCAAAGATTTCTTAGGAGAAAAAGAAACTAAGCCTTAAAAGAAAATACCAATAAACTGTGTTTTATCAAAATTAAGAACTTCTGTTCTTCAAAAGTCACCATTAAGAACATGAAAAGGCAAAACACAATCTAGAAGAAAATATTTGCAACACATATGTAAGACAAAAAACTCTTCTAGATTAGAGAAAGAACTTCTACAAATCAATCATTAAAAGGCAAACAATACAACTTGAAAAATGAGCAAGAGACTAGGGCATTTCACAGAAGAAGATATATAAATTACTAGTAAGTCCATGAAAAGATGCTCAACATTATTAGTCAACAGAAAAATACAAACTAAAAAGACTGGCAATACCAAGTGTTAATGAGGAGATTCTAAACTGGAACTCTAACACATTACTTGTGGGCATTACAAATGAATGGTTTAACCATTTTGGAAATCAGTTTAGCAGTTCCTTATATAGCTAAATATACACTACTGTATGTCCTAGCATACATACTTAGTCTTAAGTATTTACTCAAAAGGAAACAAACCAAAAACCCATGTGTCCACACAAAAGACTTGCATGTGAATGATCATATGTTTATTTATAATAGTCAAACATTGAAAAAAAATCTGAAGCAAACTATAGCTCAGTCATACAACAGAATACTACTCAGCAATAAAAAGAAACAAACTTTCGTTTCATACAACAGGGATGAAATCTCCAAAACTTCAAAACATGATGAGCAAAAGAAGCCAGACACACAAGAACATATTTCTAGAAGGGAAAATTAATCTATAATGTCAGAAAATAGATCATTGTTGACTGGGGATGGCTGACAAGAAGAAAAATTGACTGCAGATGGGCACCAGACAACTTTTTGGAGTAAACAAAACTGTTGTATTATTTTGATTAGAGTGGTAGTTATATGGGTATACACATTTGTCAAACCTCATTAAAATGTATACTCAAAATATATTCATTTTATTTCATTACTTCAAACTTGATAAAGTTGATTTTTATGTTATACAAAACTAATATTTTAAAAGCTTTATAGAGGGTCTGACTGTGATTAGAAACAGCTAAAGAGAAAATTGCTGAACTGGAAAATATGACAACCAGTATTTCCAAGACTGAAGTACTGAAGTATACAGAGGAAAAAGAGAGTAGGATGGATAAAAGATGGAAACTAAAAGGCCTAACATGCTGCAATTAGTCTTAGAAGAAAAGAAAAAATAAAAATAAAAATAAAATATATATATACATACACACATACATATGTATGTATTTACAGAGCTAATGCCACAGATTTTCCTAGAACTAATAGAAGACCCCAATCTACAGGTTCAAGAAGCACCAACAGGATAAATTCATTAATCATTTAGAAAAAGTTTTTCACACATAAATTAGGAACAACAACTATAAGAAGGTAGCTAACTCAAGAGAAAGCATGCAAGTTAAGAAATTAATAGTACATAAACTACACTGAAGAAAGAAAATTTTAGTGAGCCTAGCTTAATATACGTTATATATGTTAGGCAGATACTTAATTACAATTCCATTTCCATTGAATTCTATTTAATTCTACTACCAACTTGCAAAAAGCAATTATTTTGCAGCTGTAAAAACCCCATATTCCTATTCTTGGAATAGATTGAAGTTTGGTGATATCAATTAAATTATGTTACACTGTTTAAAATATTTTAAATAAATGGCAAGAGTAAAGTAGATACACTCAAAGGTTTTGTACATACAGTAGTATATGTACAAAAGGTAATAAAACAGGGATGAAATCTCCAAAACTTCAAAACATGATGAGCTCAATGTACAGTGAACATAATATATCTACACTGAGGTAATGTGCCTATAATGCATATATAGTATCCTGCAACTAAGGCATAATCTATGTCTGATTAGCCAAATCAGAGAAACAAAAACAAATCAAAACTCTTTGATATAAATGTAGTACTTATTTTCATTTGCAAAATTTCGCATTTTTAAAGAATTTTACTTCCTCTTTTTATTTCTTTTTAGAATCCTCTTCAATTATTAACATCTTTGTTTTTTTAACAGAAGAGTTTCACCTCTGAATAAACTACTCATTGAAGTTCTTTGACTTCTACCATTCAAAGAAAATAATCACTGACTCTGTATACCAGATTAAATTTGAGACACAAAAAGAGTGATGAGTTCTGTTCTCTCTTAATATCCTCGTGCTATTATGTTTCTCTTGAGAACATAAGATAAACATTTCTTTGATGCACAATGGTATCTTCAGCACTGAATGAGCGGTGACATTCACTTAATAAACCAGGGTTCTTCTTTCAACTTAATTAATATCCTTTGGAGGAACCTATGAGAACCTCATCATATCATGTACAGCCTATTGTGCCTTACTCATAAAGCTCTTCTAAAATAGAGATTTAAGAACAGGTATTCTAGTACAATGAACAGGGAACTGAACTGGGTGTCAGGAGAAAAGTTTAGAAGTAATGGTTGTGTGGTCTTAGCCTGTTCTCTTTAGCAATAAAATGGTTAGTAACTTCCCAGTGTTCTAGAGTTATGCTGCCCAATATGGTAGCTACTAGCCACATGTGAGTATCGCATTCTTGAAACGTGACTAGAGAAACTGATAATCTGAATTTTTAGTTGCATTTTAAAAATCATAGTTAAGGTCAGGCGTGGTGGCTCATGCCTGTAATCCCAGCACTTTGGGAGGCCAAGGCGGGCGGATCACTTCAGGTCAGGAGTCCTCAAGCCCAGCCTGGTCAACATGGTGAAAACCTGTCTCTACCCAAAATAAAAAAAGTAGCTGGGTGTGGTGGCGTGCACCTGTAATCCCAGCTACTTGGGAGCCTGAGGCAGGAGAATGGCCTGAAACTGGGAGATGGAGGTTGCAGTGAGCCAAGATCGCGCCACTGTACTCCAGCCTGGGCGATAAAGCGAGACTCCATCTCAAAAAAAAAAAGTCATAGTTAAATTTAAAAATTGATAGTTGATTCAGTTATTGGTAAATGTTTAATATATTTAGGACACCTTGTGTATGTAAACCTAGTTTCTCAACTACAAATTTTATGAAACCCAAATATAGATCAAGTATTGATCATGAAAACGTTGTTTCAATTGAGATATGCTTTAAGTATAAAATATACAACAGATAGCAGAGATTTAGCTGGAAATAATGTTAAAAATCTCACTATTGTTTTAGACACATTACATGTTGAAATAATACTTGAGATACATTGAGTTAAATGAAACATTATTAAGTTGGTATCACATTTCTTTTCTATGTGGCTAATAGAAAATGTTAAATTACATATATGTGTGGCATTACATTGCTAATGAACAGTGCTACTCTAAAATATAGAGTCTCCATTTGAACTACTGACATTCTTGACCAGCTAATTCTTTGCTGGGCGTGTAGGTGTAGGCTACTGGCTCCACCAGGTGCTCTGGAGACTCCGCTAGTATCCTCACAGGCTACAATGATAAAGACATGAACCTCAGTTAATCTGAGTGGTGGCTCAATGCCTTGTGATACCCTGGGAACAAGAGAGGATGGGAAGCTGTCATGAGGCAGTATCTCATCACTTCCCATTTGTGAGGAGGCGTGGGCTTTCTGCCTCTCTCTCTTCTACTGGCTCTTCCAAAACAGGGTATTCCACAACTCTCAGTGCAGTCCTTTGGCCCTTTTCCTTTCAGTGTCATCCTGCGATACGTAGACCATGGGGAGCTGGTACTTTTAGCTTCCCCTTCTTTTTGCTGTCTACGTAAGTAATCAACTAGCTAAACCTACAAGTGGCTTGTTGCATCTTTAACAGCCTAAGTAGTCAGGCTCGGGCTTTTGCCACGGCTTGTCTGTTGAATGCACTTAACGGCGGGGAGCTGTCCTGTGTGTTATGTTTAACAGCACCCCTTACCTCTACCCACTGGATGCCATTAACACTCCCCAACTGTGATAACCAAACATGTCCCCAGATATAGCTAAATATGCCCTCTAAGGGGTAAAACTGTCCCTGCTTGAGAACGTCTACTCTTTAGGTTCCTATGGACCCGTCCCCACCTCCTCATACACATGCAAGGCTTCTCCCGGGCCTCTGAACGCTTTTATATATTGGGCTACTGCATTATATTTCATTTGAAGAAAGATTTATGTGGTTTCTAAACATAAGAAATAAGTAAAGCAATAAAGTAAAACTGTAAATAAGTAGAAAAGATAATAGTAGTAAATAGTAAAGATGATCTCTAAGTATCCTTCTAAATTTAAGGTGCTGTGGTCTATAAATATATCTTTGAGTACTGACTTTATCAAATAGAGCTTTTTTATCACAAAGGATAAAAAACTACTTCAGCTACCTTAATAACAGGAAAATTTATTAAAGAATAGAGGTATTCCATTGAACGCAAAGGCAAAAATGTGCCTCAAAATTCAGGTGTTGCTGTCTTTCTCTGTCTCCCAGACATTCCCCTGAGATACAAACACATACGCCTGTATTATCTCAATCTTAGTTCCAAATTATCATGAAAGAGAATTTGGTCCAGCTTGGCTCAGCATCTGGTTCTGGACTTAAAAAGTTTGGCCAAGGAACTAGAAGAGGCAATACAAACAATGATGATGGGGAAAGAGGCATTGGTTCTCAGCAAAGAGTACTTGTGCAGATATCTCAATGAGTAGCTACTGCAATAATACATGTTAAATTCAAAGTTTTAACACGTGTTAAATTTAAAGTTCATGTTTTAAAAATATGTAAATAGATTTATATGTGCAAATGGGTTCATAACAGAGATAAAAAAACTACTTCAGCTACCTTAACAACAGGAATATTTAGTGTTATATCTGAAAGTGAAATAAACGGGATTTCCACTTTCTATTTTATACATTTCTACACTGTTTTAGTATTTATTACATATATGTGTTATTTTTATAATGGGATATTGATCCTCAGACAAAAATGATCTTTATGCATGCTGTTTAATATGTGTGCAAAACAATGCTTTTTAAAAGCTCTTGCTTACAGAAATTACTTTGTAACGAATAAAGAAAAATTGGATCATTCTTCCTATCAAATGACTAACATTAAATATGGTAACAGCAATGGATAAGACAAATGTGAAATAAATCTATTAATTTAGATTCTGTAATAATGCTGACTGTAGAAACAAATTGAGTAAAATAGTGAAGGGATTATTTCAAAAATTCCAGGGTTTTAGTCATACTTTCATATATGAAAGTCTTTGTCTTTCATATAAAAGTGACCCAAAATTCAGAATTCTGTCAACATCTGGGACTAGCATACTTGGAACAAATTAATTTCACCCCAGTGAACTATGTGTCTCATTACATGTAACTTTTTTTTCCAAGTACGTCAGTGGGAAAAAATAAAAACTGCATTTCTTTTTTAAAAAAAAGTTCAGCCAGGCGCAGTGGCTCATGCCTCTGAAATCCTACCATTTTGGGAGGCCGAGACCAACAGATCGCTTGAGCCCAGGAGTTCAAGACCATCCCGGTCAACATGGCGAGACCTGTCTCTACAAAAAATACAAAAATTAGCTAAGCATGATGGTGTGCACCTGTACTCCCAGCTACTTGGGAAGCTGAAGTGGGAGGATCACCTGAGTCAAGGAGGTCGAGGCTGCAGTGAGCCATGATCACACCACTGGACTCTATCCTGACTGACAGAGTGAGACCCCATCTCAAAAAACCCCACAACTTTTAATTAAAATTCTTAAAAGTTCAAAAAAATAAAGTTCACTACAAAGTCTGCCATGGCAATATGCCATAGTTAGAGTTAAGAACACAGCTGTACTTCAGAGGCTGGCTTCTGGGGCCAAACTGCACAGGCTAGAATACCAGTTCTGCTGCCATTACTTGTGGGACCCTAGCAATTCCTTTACCTCTCTCAGCTTCCATTTCCTTGCCTGTAAATCAGGAGATAATATTAGAGTACCTATCTCATAGGGCTGTTAGGACAAAACAAGCCTATGCACATAATTTTTAGAGATATTAAAAAATATTTAATTACCCACTCAAAAATTCATCCATGTGAATAAAATTACTGAGTTTTACATGGGAGAGGTCTTCTATATATGACTTAATGAGTTAAATGCATCTCCTTCAATCTTTATGGACAAACTCTGGCATGAAATTTTACAATAATAAAAGAATCTTCCAATTCAATTTTGCGCCTGTTGTCAAGTTTACTTATAAATATAGAAAATCAAGACTTTTTTTTTTTAAAAAGGCACATCACATCTGCAGTAACTTAGGTATAGATTATTCTGTACATATACATAGCAGATTTTTATATCCCAGATCAATTTTATCCTTTTTGCAATGAACAAAGTTAATCCAGGACACAATACATTTGTAAAATCAGAATTATCTGCTCACATAACAATTTATTACAAGATAAGGCAGATACTGGAATAAATGTAAGATTGAGTGTAACAAAGTATCTCTCTTTCTACCTGGAAACTCAATAGAGAATAATGACTGAAAGTTCTGTCCCAGGAATCAGATAAACCTCAGTTTTAGAATACTGCTCAATCCTTAGTAACTGTCTGACCTTGGGCAAGTTACTTCACCACTGCCAATCTTAATTTCCTCTTTCATAAAACACTACCTAACACAGTGAATTGCTGTTACAATTAAATGTGACAATATATACAAACTCGGCTTGGCTCTTTGCACATAACAAGAACTCAATAAACACTCTCTCGTATCCCAATGAGAATCTTTTCATCTGTCTTTCAAAAATAGATATACAGTGCTAACAGAAGATCTGCTGGATTGAAATAAAGGTAAACTGATAATAGCCCTAGGAACAATGAATTCATTTGTGCCACACCTAACTGCTATATTATGCTTCTTTTTATTTAGGGGTAGATTACTTTTTCTAAACTTGACTAGATTCAACTAAATGAAATGTCCATAAGGAATAAAGCAAGTATCTCTACAATCTGACCAGGGAAATTTATAATAGGATCATAAAGCTTGCACAACTCTAAGGGACAATGACCACATGTAAAAGGTGCTTCCCAATCTGTTTATGAGACAGAAGAAGGGATAAACATGAGAAACACTTCATCAGTGTTTGTGAATCTTTCCCTAAACTGCTAACTCTACTTCCTCTCTCTCAAGGCCTCACGGACTTACTAGCATTCCAGATAAATTTCTTATGTGTGTAAAACATGAAGACCAATTCATTCATATATATATATATATATATATATATATATATATATATATATATATATATATACACACACACATATACATATATACACACACAGACACACACACACACACACACACACACACATATTTTAGACAAGGTCTTGCTCTGTGGCCCAGGCTAGACTGCAGTGGCATGGTGCAATCTCAGCTCACTGCAACCTCCGCATCACTGGCTCAGTTGATCCTCCCACCTCAGCCTCCCGAGTAGCTAGGACTACAGGCATGCACCACCATGCCCAGCTAATTTTTCTGTTTTTAGTAAAGATGGAGTTTCTCCATGTTGCCCAGCCTGGCAATTAATATTTTTATCACTAGTTACAAGGTTTAAACTTACATATTTAAAACATCCTCCCTCCCAAGGAAAACAGGATTAAACCTGTACCATAATAGTAATAATTTGATTCTGCTTTCAATTTTAGTCTCCTAAGAAAGTATATCATTACTGGCCGGGCGCGGTGGCTCACACCTGTAATCCCAGCACTTTGGGACGCCGAGGCAGGCGGATCACGAGGTCAGGAGATCAAGACCATCCTGGCTAACACGGTGAAACCCCGTCTCTACTAAAAAAATATAAAAAATTAGCCGGGCATGGTGGCAGGCACCTGTAGTCCCAGCTACTCAGGAGGCTGAGGCAGGAGAATGGCGTGAACCCTGGAGGAGAAAGTATATCATAAATATATCATTACTATTATTTTCCTATGCCTCTGACAACTGATTCAACAGACTGAAATGCCAACATTCTGCTGTACTTTCAATCTAAAGGACATAAAGAATATAACTTAAAGAATTCTCATTCCTTAGGAAAGTTATTTAGCTAAAAGCAAATAATTAAAAAAATAAACTGAGTTTTGTGTTTCCATGGGATTTGACACATTATCCTATTATCAATTGTTCTGAATGATAGTATTGAATCACATATTTCACTTCCCACCTCAACTTTTCCCCCACATTGAGGAAAAGACCACCTTTTTCTTTTAACATAATTCCTCATCTGTCCTTTTCCTTGTCTCATTCCTAGTGGGTTACAATTTTCAGAAACAGCAACTGTGATGTCTCTTGGCTTGAAAGAGAGCTGCTTACTCATGAGTAATCTGCTTTAAAAAATATTAACCAATTATTTCATACACTTAATATTTGGTTACAGCAAACCACGATACCCCTGCTATTGAAATATTTGTGGGGAAAATGTTTAAGTTACATTAACGATTCTCCATAATCCTATATGCAATATCTCCACTCACTAGGTTAAAAGAATCTAAATTACAATGAGGAAAAAAGAGCTTCATGTCTTATCAAATCACAACTCAAGTTTACAAAATTACAAAGGATACTAAACAAAGAATGTAACACAAATTCACGCTGATGGTAACAAAGAGCAGCTTATGGGAATGTCAGCCCTTCACTGAGCTTTGATTGAGTGTCCGCTTTGTGTCAGAATACAAAAATAGTCTTGTGTGGCAACCTTACTGTTGCATACAAGAAGAAAGCAAGTGGAAAGAAACAAGTATTTACTGAGACTCTACTTGCTTTCTCTATATTCTTTCATTTAACTTCCCATAAAAATTTTATGCAGTAGAGCCAACGTCCGTTTTATAATTAAGAAACTGAAGCTCAAAGCAAATGTGTAAAATCAGTCTGTATGTGATACATTGCAATTCATACTTAATTGTAAAGCCAAGCACTTATTTGCTATCTTAAATTCCATATAAATGCAAGCTAAGATTATCCCAGAACAATACTCAAGCTTTCTTCCCCAGAAGTAAATTCTAAAAGGCATATCTACATATTTGTCCTTAATACCTCGTATACCACTCCTATATTCAATGTCCTCTTCCTAATAAGCCCATCACAGTTCCCCTGTGGGAACGCTTGAAAAATACCTATGACAGTGAGAGTTCCATTTTAGGGGACCCACTAGAACATTTCCTGGCCTGGTTCCCTCAATCCTCAGAACTCAAGTTTATTCTTTCAAAAGACCAGCACTCAAACCTGTGTCATAAACAGGCAAAACAAAAGATGTGCCCTCTATCTCTAGCCATGATTATGTGTACCACAGTAAATTTAGAAATTTTCAGGCTTGACACAAAAGTCTGAAAGAGTTATTCAGATTTCAGATGTATTGATCCAAAATAAATGTATCTTTGGCTACACAGTGGGAATGCTTGGTAAGTCTTATTTATATGGTCATATCAGGGAGTAGAATATGAAATAACTCACAGTAAGGTTAACATTCTTAATCTTGGATTCTGCTTACATATGAAAAATCTAATACCCACCATATTTTTAAAAAGATAATTAGCAGATTTAAATAATACAAGACACTACGTTTTTTAAAAGTAAAGTACAAATGTAAAGCCTATAAATACAATTATTATACTTAATAGTTTTCTAGCTTGGTCAGTTGAGAATGAGAAGTAAGAAGGACTCCCTACATCTTTATCTCAAATATGGACCTACCTCCACATTTCAGTATTAAAACTGTACAAAGGGAAGCCATACTTCTAATAATATATGAGTTTCAGATAACATGATAAAGATGCAAAGCAAAATCTGCCTGGTTACACAACCCATTTGTCTCAAATACCATTTTCATACAACCCCAAACTTAAGCCATGTATCTCACTGAAAACTACAGTATGTATGTGTGTATGTACGTATGTATGTATGTATATATGTATTTTGAGACAGGGTCCCCTCTGTCACCCAGACTGGAGTCCCATGAAGTGATTATGGCTCACTGCAACCTGTACCTCCCCACTCAAGTGATCCTTCTGCCTCAGCCTTCCAAGTAGCTAGGACCACAGGTGTGTGCCACCACCCCCAGCTAATTTTTAAATTTTTTGTAGAGACAGGATCTCACTTTATTGCTCAGGCTGGTCTCAAACTCTGAACTCAAGCAATCCTCCCACTTTGGCCTCCCAAAGTGCCAAGATTAGAGGTATGAGTCACTGCACCTAACCTAACCCATAGATTGTTTTGAACAATTGAAGTGAGTCTAAAAGTAAATGCAAATGTGTAATGCTTTTATTAGACAGACAGACCTGGGCATTAAGTAAAGCCTTGCATCACTGTAAAAAAGTATATGAAAATTTTTTTTCTAGTTTTTTGCTTTTTCCACCTAATTTAAGCATCTTCAATGTATTTCTTAAGGCCTTGGAAGAGTGAAAGCTTCCATACGGGTGCTTTTCCTGGAATTCTAATAAAACACAATTAATAAGTACATAACATATATATATGTTATGTGTATATCTACCACTATTGTACAGAATAACTGTTAAAACAGTCCCAATTTTATCAGGTAAATGCACACTACTCTAACCTTCCTGAAAGCAGTTGGAACACAAGCAGACAAGTCATCAACGTTAAGAGTACTCAGTGTCAGCGGAGATTATTTCCAAAGGCACAATGACTCTCATTCTGGGCCTCTCTTCTCTGTTTTAAGGATACAAGTATGGAATTTTGTCATCTTTGTTTTTTATGAAAATGCTACACTGAGACTTGTTTAAAAGATCCCAATTCAAGGGTGCCTGTAATCCTAGCTACTCAGGAGGCTGAGCCAGGAGAATTGCTTGAACCTGGGAGGCAGAGGTTGCAGTGAGCCGAGATCACACATTGCACTCCAGCCTGGACAACACAGCAAGACTCCGTCTCAAAAAAAAAAAAATACCAATTCAGGTTTTATATGGACAACTAATGGTAAAAATGCAGAAGGGAAGTATTCTGGCAGGAAAAGGAAAGACATTAATGAAACAAAACCAAGTGAATCAGATTTTCAAGGCTTCACTGAATTTTCAACTAATTTTTGCAAACAGTAAAGAAGGTGTGAGAAATGACTTTTCTTAACCTAGCTCATTTATAAATGATATATAAATAGACAGTGTGACAAACTAAATCAAGAGGTCCAGTGAAGTTCTCCAGTAGCTAAAACTTCTTTGGTCCTTATTAAGAAGCTGTGGCTTTCCAGGAATTTATCCTAAAGCAATTAAGATTTATACATATATGTAATGAAAAGGATATTCTTTATACTACTGTTTATAAAATGGTACAAAAATAGCCTAAATGGCCTACAACAGGTGACTGATTTTAAAAAATGATGATTTCTATATAAATAATTCTTAGAAGCCTTTAAAATGAGATTATATAAAAATAT
The DNA here is from genome assembly GCF_000001405.40 of Homo sapiens. Lineage (NCBI taxonomy): Eukaryota > Metazoa > Chordata > Mammalia > Primates > Hominidae > Homo > Homo sapiens. The sequence continues at coordinate 9,594,640 of NC_000008.11, read as the reverse complement.
TCACTGACAATAAAATATGTTACTACATAAAGTAGAAAAATAAATAAATAATATGGTGGAATGATCTCATTTTACGTAAAATGGATTGTATACACAGGTTCACTGGGTCTAACAGCACTGTCCAACAGAACTTTCTGTGATAACAAAAATTTCTATGTCTACACTCTCCATTACGATAACCGATAGCCAGATACGGTCATTAAGCATTTAAAACACGGCTAGTGCAACTGAGAAACTAAATTTTTAATTTTTAAAACTGTAATTGATTTTAATTTAATGGCTATCACACTGGACCATGCAAGTCTAAATAGACAAAAAACAAGGTGTGAGAGTTATCATCAGTATATTTTCTCATTTTTCTTTAATGGGCAACTATCACTTCTAATAATGCTGTTAAGAAAAAACCCAGAAAGTTGTTAACCTTCAAAATACTATACTTAAAATAACAGGAGATAGCCGGGCGCAGTGGCTCATGCCTGTAATCCTAGCACTTTGGGAGGCCGAGGCAGGTGGACCGCCTGAGGTCAGGAGTCTGAGACCAGCCCGGCCAAAATGGCGAAACCCCATCTCTACTAAAAATACAAAACATAGCCATGCGTGGTGGCGGGTTCCTACAGTCCCAGCTATTCGGGAGGCTGAGGCAGCAGAATTGCTTGAACCCAGGAGGCAAAGGTTCCAGTGAGCTGAGATCGTGCCATTGCACTCCAGCCTGGGTGACAGAGTGAGACTCCGTCTCAAAAAATAATAATAATAATAATAATAAATAAATAAATAAATATCAAGGGATAAGAATGTACCAAAGGCAGTTGAACACTCATTCCACATTTCTTTCCCCCATCCCCAATCCCGTGCCATTCCAAGTTCCAGGATGTTAACTTCATCAAAGGACAAGTAACCATGGAAGTGGTCAGATAATTTTTTAAACTAAAAGACTTTGTAAAAGGAAATGAAACATATCTTTCTAAATAGCAGACACACAAAAGGAAGTTATAAGGAAATTAACAGAGAGGTATTACTTTAGGAGTAAGTTACACTTGGTTTAAATTTTTGTAGACAGGTTAGTTTTTTGGTTTGGGGGGAAGGGGGTTTGGTGAAGATTATTTTCCACCTTAAGTTTGCTAAATATGATACGGTTTTAAAAGCTAAGCTAAAAATAATTTAAAAGAATTAATTTGGCAGACTTACAGAATGAAATTAACCTTTTATATGTATGATGTATTCTTAAATGAAGCCCACTGTGTGAACAGAACCTTCATTTCTCAATTAAGAAAACATTTCCATTATAACAACTTTCTATCAGCTCTACAGACTGTGGCAAAGTAACAACTTTCTCCTTCTTCACTGGTAAACTGGTAGGTAATCTGAATCATCTGCCTCACACACAGGACACAAATATTAGTGACACTGCTTGGCTAAGTCCTTTGAGAGGCCTCGAGGGAAAACCCTTTACAATATTACGTATCAACTATCCACAGCAACTTTTATAAATTTACCACCATCACCTTATTTTTTCTTATCCCTCCCTACCTCAACTCCTCAGCTCCCAAGAGGGGCAATTCATGGGTTTAATCTGTAAGTTAACAAGAAAAAATGTTTTACTATCCTTTGTGGAAAACCCATTATAACCAAAAGTTAATGCATGATCAGAATCAATATTCAACTGCCCATCCTAATGAAGAATAAGCAGTTACTTGACAAATGGAAGATAATCTAAACATAATTTGCATATGACTATAAAATGTGTTTTATATTTGTATATGAATATTGAAGTGTCTGACATACTGCAAGTTCACATTGCTTTAAAATAAAGGAATCTCAAGATATCACCTAATCAAGAAGTAGAAAATTACTCAGCTTCCTTATCCATGTAACACAGAGTAATATAAAAAAAAGTCAGACAGAATCAAGCCTTCTTCCAGTGAACTGCTTTGTCACTTCACACACGTTTCTTGAATATAATTAGACATCAGTGATAGACAATAAGAATACGTATGAAAGTGGACAAGATTATTGTTAGTTCCTACCACAGAGAACGTGGTACATGCTTAACTTCACACCTTACCTGATTCAGTTTAAGAATCTGGCACCTCATCCTGTGGCTGTGTTAGAAAGTAAACATACTCAGTGCACAGAGAACTACTCTACTTCTAGACGCCAAGAAGAACAGGAAGTTTACAATATACTAGAACTATAAAGACCAGTCTTTGAGTCTTTAATCTGTTTGTATTTCCTGTCTCCTAATACCGGGAATATGAAAAGTATGAGAATTCTACTAAAGCCAGTAAGATGAAGAAATAGCTAAAAGAACATCTGTGAGTCTTTTGATCCTTGAAAAGCAGATAATGTTCACAATGCTAACAGAACACATTAAAGGAAAACACAAACCAAAAAAAATTTAAGTATTGGGAATTAATAAGTCTTCGTTTGTGGAAAGATTTCAGGCAACAAGCTATTAAAAACAGCCTATTTCCCTAAATTTTGGAAATATACTTGCCAATAGTAGGCAAACAATGTCATCTCAGAAATAACTGTGCATATTTTAGATAATTATTTTCTAATTAGTTAAAGTCCACCTGGCTTTTACTGTTAAATCTTAAAAATGAGTCCTATAATATATTCAAGTTTTCACATGAAATAGCTGATTCTTTCATTTTAATCTTTAAAAATATATCCTAAGCAAGTTGTTAGAAAGCATTTGAAGCAGCAGCCCTCAGACCGGAAACTGCTTTCCTGAATTTCCACAGTGTAATTAAAACGATAATGTTATTTCTCTATATACTGCTTTTAACCTAAGAATAATTGTCAAGCAGAAATCTTATTATTCCAACGCTGATGAAACACCAAATACTTTGCTATTTTAACTGATAAATCAGACTTCACCAAACTTAAAAACCTTTGCCTGTATACAGATACCATTAAGAAAACGAAAAGCAAAGCAAAGATTGGGAAATAGCATTCACAATACACACATCCAACTAAGACCCATTGTTACAGCACAAAAAGAATTCTCAAAAATCAGTAACAGCAAAAAATAAAAATAAAACCAAAGATGGCCAAAAGATATGCACACTTCACAAAAAATATACATGAATGACCACTGTACATAAAAATATTCTCAACATGCTCAGCCATTAGGGCAACGCAGCTTCTTTTACAGTCCAATGTGCACTTAGCATTCCACCCAGCAATCCCACTCTCAGGGATCCATCCAAGAGAAGTGAAAAAACATGTCCACGCTGAGACATACATCCAGCGTTATAACAGCTACAAACTGCAAACAAGCTAAACAACCACCAACTGTGCTACATCCATACAATGAAACACCATACAACAACAAAAAAACTAACGATATGCACACACAATATAAACTCACAAACATTTAGCCAAATGGACCTAGGGAAAAAATAAAAGACAACTCTATTAACTAGAATCATACACGAAAGGGAGTAAATTATTACTAAGCTTACAGAAATAAAAGATTATAAAGGAATATTATGAACAACTAAATGAGAAAACTGGATAGCCACATGCAAAGGCATGACGTTGGACCCTTCACCTCACATCATCTCCAAACATCAATTCCAAATGCATCAGACCTAAATACATTTCAGTTACAACTCCTAGATGACAACAGAGTTAAATCATGATCTAGGGTTCGACAATGGATTCTCAGATAAGATACCAAAGCACAAGCAACGAAAGCAGAAACAGACTTTTTAATGTTAACCATTAATCAAATCACCAAAATGTAAAACTTCTGTGCTTCAAAGGACAATATCACGAAAATGAAAAGACAACACAAAGAATGGGAGAAAGTATTTGCAAATCATTTTTCTAGTAAGAAACTTTTATCTATCATAACTCAATAATGAAAAGACAGCCAATTTAATAACGGACAAAGATAGGAATAGACATTTCCCCAAAGAATACATACAAATGGCAAACACGCACATGAAAAGATGCTCAACATCATTACTTATCAGGCAAATGCAATTAAAACCACACTGAGGTTCTGGCACAGAGTAGGCATTTTACTCGGAGCAAGCACAGAGCTTTATTATGCCAGGGATGTGGTGCAAAGTAAGGCAGAGTAGGTTCCTGTGTTTATATTAAGGCACAAAGTTGGGAAGAGTACACAGATGGCAAACAAACAAGTAAATGTATGATTAAATAAGGATATAATTCCAGGTAATAAGTGCTATGGTGTAAAATAAAACATGATAAAAGAGTAATCAAACAAACAGGGCAGGGCAAGAAATTATGACAGCTTTGTCAGGGCACAACTCAGATGAATTAACATTATTAGTGAAAAATCTGGGGAAAGAGTACCGCAGGCAGAACAAGTTTGGTGCATTAGAGAGACAAAAAGGCCATTGTAGCTGGAAGGTGGAGAGAAAGGGAGGGAATTACAGGGACATGAGGATGAAGTCCATGATGTAGACGGGAGCCAGACCAAGGAGGGCCCTGAAGATGAGTCCGGGTGTTACTTAAGTACACCTGGAATTATGTGGAGCATTTTTAAACACGCACATACTGTGATCTAATCATGGGCAGCTTCGCGAACACACAAGCTGTGCAGTTGCACAGGGCCCCAATGCTCTGCTGTCACCACCTGAAATTCTTAGCAATCTTATCTCTTAGCTTGTATTTTGTACGTAACATTCAACGGGACAATGAATGGAGCATGCACATGAACAGAGGAGACGTGTTGGGTGGCAGTATATGCATATAGAATTAATTCAGAAGAGTTTGTGGACAGCTATAGAAACATATTATCAGAAGACTTCTTTCACAAAGAGTATTAAGATCTTCGTTGAAGGCATGAGATGGTTCAAAGAATATTAACAGTAATCAATTTTCGAAGGGATCCAAAATCAAAATCAAGCTCATTTTTACTTTCTTCTCTTCCTCACCCACGTGGCTCCCAGCCCCGCTATATCAATTTACTCTCAGTTGTAGATTCCTATGTATAGTGGTGAGGCCCGAGGGGCCAAGTCCACACTAGGAAACGTCTCTGAGACTAAAGCTAACTGATTAAGGGTCAACATCTAACTCAAAGTGGGGCATCAGATTCTTTGCATCTCAGGTTTAGCAACAAGAGTGGACTTGAAGCCAAGACCTCACAGCAACTTTAAGGGAGGATTCTAATGAGAAGGCTGACATACCTCTGCTGCTAAAGTTCTTGGAGCTGGCTTGGTTGTTTACTTCAAAATTCTTGGTTTTCCTGACTGGTGTGTTTCTGTCTCCAACTTTACATGCAGTTATTTACTATAACTTCAAATATTTATCTGATGCTTTACAAGAGACCTCTAGTTTATAAACAATACCTTTCATTAGCTAACTCCACTACTAGGTTCTAGAACCTCCTAGTCAAGCTGATCCTGCTGCTACCCTTGGCCCAGAATGTATGTCCTGCTTCTAGTATCCTACTTTCTGATTACATTTATTCAAGTGAAAGTAGATTATTGTTTCATTAATACAGGTTTCAAGGCTTCTCACTGAGCAAAATCTCTAGCTATAGATTTTTTCTCATGTCAATAGGTTCAGTGGGAGCAGGGAAATAATCCCGTTTTCAGTCACAAACACTAATGAGGACAAATTCCCATACCAATCGAGTTTGTCATATATTCAATTATCTATGACAATAATATCCATGATGTGCTGAATGCTGTCATCTTTCCCCACTCCGATTAACCCATTAACCTATCCCTCTCAACTTGGATAAGCTTCTTCTTCCTAGTCTAATTTGAAATAAGGCTATGGGGTTTCAATATCACTTTTCCTTTGTTTTCCTGGTCACTAAAAGAACCATAGGCCAAGCAGCTCATTAGAGATGGAACAGTCTGAAAGCACTTCACACAGTAAACCTTTATAAATGGCCACGTGTTTCAGAAACAGACTCACCAGAAGCACAGACCTTATAATCTGCCCAAAGTCACAGGAATTAAAAGGTAGAAAAGAAAGAAATATTGGGGCCCTAGTCTTCAGTTCAACCTAAAATGTTTAATCATGCCTCATATTGCAGACAATAAAATTCCCCTTTTTAGATAAAAGAAACAATTTGGGGCCGGGCGCGGCAGCTCACGCCTATAATCCCAGCACTTTGGAACGCCGAGGTGGGCGGATCACGAGGTCAGGAGATAGAGACCATCCTGGCTAACATGGTGAAATCCTGTATCTACTAAAAATACATAAAAAATTAGCTGGGCGTGGTGGCGGGTGCCTGTAGTCCCAGCTACTCGGGAGGCTGAGGCAAGAGCATGGCGTGAACCTGGGAGGCAGAGCTTGCAGTGAGCCTAGATCCCGCCATTGTACTCCAGCCTGGGCGACAGAGCAAGACTGTCTCAAAAAAAAAAAGAAGCAATTTGGTTGTCAAGTTACATGTCTTTCAAACATTTTTTATGTGGCACCTGATTACAAAGATTACAAAGAAAATGTTCAGTTTAAACAAGTGTATAAGGACAAGGACTCTCCACACCTAATTTGACACAAAATTTATTTTTTTTAAGTTTCTTAGTAAGATAATTTACCCCAAATCTCAAAATACTTCAGAAACAATCATTTAAGCACAAATATGAGTCCACTACATTATCTGCTTTTTTATAATTATTTTAAGAATTCTTACAAGTATCATTCTTGTATATTTGCCAACATAAAAAACTGCTACTTATCCTCAGTGACCAAATCTTTAAGCATTTCCAAGAAAGCAGTTTTAATTGTATTGAAAACATTCTACTACTCTTTTCAGGAGATGCTCAACCTAGATAAATTTTGCAAAACCGCTGTAAGATGTTTTTATAATATATGCTTGCTATTGCTGCCGTAACAAATTATCACAAATCCAGTGGTTTAAAACAATAACAACAACAAACTTACTCTCCTACAGTTCTGGAGATCCTAAATCTGACGTAAGTCTCATTGGGCTAAAATCAAAGTGTCGGCCAGGCGCAGTGGCTCACGCCTGTAATCCCAGCACTTTGGGAGGCCGAGGCGGGCGGATCACAAGGTCAGGAGATCGAGACCACCCTGGCTAACATGGTGAAACCCCGTTTCTACTAAAAATACAAAAACAAAATTACCCGGGCGTGGTGGCAGAGCCTGCAGTCCCAGCTACTCAGGAGGCTGAGGCAGGAGAATGGCGTGAACCCAGGAGGCCGAGCTTACAGTGAGCCGAGACTGTGCCACTGCACTCCAGCCTGGGCGACAGAGCGAGACTCCATTTGAAGAAAAAAAAAAAAAAAAATCAAGGTGTCGGCAAGGCTGAATTCCTTACTGGTGACTTTCATGAAAACCTACTTCCTTGCCTTTTCCATCTTCTTGGGGCTACCCCCATTCCTTAGTTTAGGGAACCCTTTCTCTCTTTTCAAAGCCACCAATGGTGGCTTGAATCCATCTGAAATTATATCATCTGACTTTCTCTCTGCCTCCCTCTTCTACTTCTAAGGAATCTGGTGATTACTTTGGGTCCACCAAGACAATCCATGATAATCTTCCCATCTCAAATTAACTGATTAGCAACCAAAATTCCATCTGTAACCTTAATTTCTGTTAGCAATGTAAAGTTAACATTCCCAGGTTCCAGGAATTAAGATATGAACATCTTTCAACCATTATTTGCCTACCACATATAGCATGTAACTTCTTATAAAAAGTTTTTAAAGCATAACATTATATGTATATGGTTCTTTCTAACGGGAGACCCAACAGTACTCTCCAGGTACGCCGACTCCTGTTTCATTGTTCTTCGCAGCAGACCACGGTGACCCTCAATTACTCTAAGAGGAGCAAAGTCTTCAGTCTTCCCTATTGCTGATAACTCTGCATATTATTAGCCCAAAACTTAACAAGTCAATTGGATTATTTACCACCTAACTTCATACACACACACACACACACACACACACACACACACACACACGTTTTAGATATAAATTATATAGACTATATTATAATTTAAATATAAATTCTATAATACTGGCTGTTTTAACATTTTTTTCTGAACCAAGATCTTATCTGGGTTGATATATTACATTTGACTGAATGAATCTGAGTTTTACCTAGTTGAATAATCACAAGCTAAGGTATGTCCCCTACTTTTCCAAGGCAAAGGAGGGGGAAGAAGAGATAAAGCATAATTTTATTTTTGCTCTCTCTCAGCAGAATCATAAAATATAATTTTATAACAAGGAGTCCCTGAAGTATAAATAATGGGAAAAAAAACAGCAGAAATCCTATTACATATTAAATAATCAATTGAAGTTCTGAACTGGGATGGGAAAAATGGGAATTACAACAAATTGCTTTCATTAGTTCATTTAGATAACCAACTTTAATTATGGTATTAAATAATACTATCTTTATATAGTCAGCTTAATTTCCCCTAAGAAGCCAATTTGCTTAGAGACTTTTTAGAAAAATACCATCAGATCTCTATTTTTTCTTGCATTTTCAGTAAATATAAAAGTATCTGGAACAATATAATGTAATACAAGAAGAAAACTATTTCTAATCATGTTATTTCACGATAATAAAAGCAGTTGCCAAATAATGAGCATGTACTTTCTAATTATTATATATAAAATATACAGCTATTGTACAAGGGTGTTTCACGTATATTATCTCATTTAATCCTCTTAACAACTGTATGACATACAGCTATTACCCTCATTCCCATTTTAATGCTGAAAGAAGTAAACAACTCACTCAAGGAACAGGTCTCTTTGACTCCAACCACTATTACGTAATGCCATTCAGCCAGAAAACAGTTATTTTTTTTAAGTCCTAATTGTTAGATTTTAAAGAGCAGCTTGAATTTTGCGCTCCCAAGAAAGATATTCAGTGAGGATCCCCTCAGTCTCTGCATATAAGACAAATTAAACCAAGAATTGTTTGAAAGTATAGAGAAAGAAAGTTGCAGGAGCTTTGTTTCTCTAATGTAATGTCACTTGCTTGATTCAGCCTTTCTTACTCCCAAAAGGCTGCAGAACTGTTCTTTATCAAGGAAATTACAACTTAATCCTTTTCTTCCAGCAGGCTTTAGAAGGTTATTCCATTGTCTTCAAGCTGTCAATATTGTAAATGAAAAGTCCTTTGCCTAATTTTTTTCCCTCTGTAGGCAACTTATTCCTTCTTTCTGGAAAAGTGCAATATACATCTTACTCAGTTTATCTTTTCTCATCAATCTCATATGGAGCTCCCTGAGCCTTTTCAATCTCAAGATAGGTTTCTCTTTCTTATCATTTGTTTAATTATTACTGATCTCTTCCATCAGACTTTTTTTTCTTTTTTCCCCTGCCTCTGAAACTCATATCACGTGTAAGGTTTAAAATGACGTTGATGTTCCCAGATTTATTTACCTTTTTCGTCATGATTTCCATGTTTCAACATTTGTCTCTGTACATCTCACACGTAAGCTTCCAGGCTACTAACATGGTCTTTAATTCATCTACTAAATTGTTTCCTCTGAAAAAAAAATTAGGTGGTGGATTTTTTTTTTATTTCGGTTTTGAGTTTTGGCCCCAGGAAATTTCTTCCCCACTTTATACTTTAATTTCTCTGGGAGATATTTTTTTTTTATTCAGGTATTTACCTGACTCCTTTAGCAGTCCTGGATATGTATTCTGATTGTTGTCTTAATCATCCCTTCTGGCTGAGATGGGCTGTTATTTTTCACTTGGTTTGCTGGGCTTCATGTCTAGATGTTGGGGTATTCCACAGTGACAATCCCACATGCGTTGGAACACCATACACCTCTGTTATCTTTAGAATGATTTGCTGTGGACGCCAGCAAGCTGTCTCTTCCCTAATGAGAGGCACCTGGAAGAGGCCTCCAAAGGGAACATACTCTGTCTCCTTCACTCTTGAGAATTGTAGAGAATAAGGAGAGATGGAGGTGTGGTATACATGTAAACTGTGTGAGGGCAGTGAGACTTAAATAAAGATTCAAGAGATTTATCAGTTTAGAAGCCCCATTCTGCAACTTCCATTTAGCAACCTTCTCAAGATCTCTGTTATCAATTATACTAATTTGCAAGTAACAGAAACCATTGTCTATCTTAGACTGAAATGACAGGAGAGTAGAGGACCAACCTTAGAAACACATAAGAAGCTGTAGAGCTAAGAGTAGGAAGCACAACTGTCTTTTAGTAGGAAACATTATGACCAGGCCACTGCCCACACTAAAGCAAAAATCTGCTGCTATATATGATTCCTTACTATAGCTAAGATTTTGTATTCAAAATTCTACATTTACAAAATGAAGTGCATGACTGGACAAACCAAGACAATCCCTGACTGCAAAGAAGTAGAAGGAAGGAAGATCTGACACTACCAGTTTCCGCATTCCTCTCAGCAAGGAGTGCCCACAGTTTAAAATCTCCAAAATCAGAAAAAGAATTGGATACTAATTAGTCAAAATGAAAAAAATCACAAATATCCATTGTGACTCCCAGATTTTTTTTTTTTTTTTTTTTTTTTAAAGACAGAGTCTTGCTCTGTCACCCAGACTGGAGTGCAGTGGTGTAATCTCGGCTCACTGCAAGCTCCCCATCCCGGGTTCACGCCATTCTCCTGCCTCAGCCTCCCCAGTAGCTGGGACTACAGGCGCCCACCACCACGCCCGGCTAATTTTTTGTATTTTTAGTAGAGACGGTGTTTCACTGTGTTAGCCAGGATGGTCTCAATCTCCTGACCTCGTGATCCACCCATCTCGGCCTCCCAAAGTACTGGGATTACAGGAGTGAGCCACCGCACCCTCCGACTCCCAGATCTTATATCAGACTCCATGAAAAGTATGCTTATAATTTGCTTTTAAAATGAAATTCTCAAGCACTAACAGTCTCAAAAAACCATACAGGCTGGGTGCGGTGGCTCACGCCTACAATCCCAGGACTTTGGGAGGCTGAGACAGGCGGATCACAAGGTCAAGAGATCGAGAGCATCCTGGCCAACATGGTCAAACCCTGTCTCTAATAAAAATACAAAACTTAGCTGGGAATGGTGGCATGCGCCTGCAGTCCCAGCTACTTGGGAGGCTGAGGCAGGAGAATCACTTGAACCCAGGAGGCAGAGTTCGCAGTGAGCAGAGATCGCGCCACCGCACTCCAGCCTGGTGACAGAGCAAGACTCTGTCTCAAAAAAGGAAAAAAAAAATCATATAGCATATATTCAGAAAAGCTATTTAGTGGTTTTGGAGACTATATTTGAGGGGTAGGGAGAAGCAAAGATAAATAAGTTCTAAAGGCAGAAAATGTATTGATTTCTGAAGTAAATTCAATTCAACATTACAGTATAAAAACTGTCATCAACATTCCCAAGACCACAGTCTTAAGTAGTTTGTTTAATTATACAAGCATTTCAAGTTGATTTTTAAAATAATCTCAGTTTGAATTTTCTTCTTTTTGATGGTAAATAGCATCTATGAAAGAAACACATGGGTTCAAGATTTCTAAATGGACTTTTTTTTTTTTTTTTTTTTGAGACAGAGTCTCGCTCTGTCGCCCAGGCTGGAGTGCAGTGGTGCAATCTCAGCTCATCAAGCTCCGCCTCCCGGGTTCATGCCATTCTCCTGCCTCAGCCTCCTAAGTAGCTGGGACAATAGGTGCCCGCCACCACACCCAGCTAATTTTTTTGTATTTTTAGTAGAGATGGGGTTTCACCGTGTTAGCCAGGATGGTCTCGATCTCCTGACCTCGTGCTCTGCCCATCTCAGCCTCCCAAAGTGCTGGGATAACAGACGTGAGCCACCGCGCCTGCCCCTAAATGGACATTTTTAAGAAATGTCAACAAAGGACAAACAGAGGAAATGGGAATTCTGTACCACACAGGAGCATAATTCAGGCTGAGATTTTAGCACCAACAATAATAATAGTAATTAATAATGGCAATTAATATTCACTGAATGTACACTGTACCTGGTACTCTTCTAAATATTTTATATGTACTAGCTTATCCTCTCAGGAACACTGTGAAGAACAGTATTCTCATTTTACATGTAAGGAAAGACAGAGGCCAAGAAAGTGGCCCATGGCCTCACACAGCTGGAAACTGGTGGGGTCAGGGTATAAGCCTGGAGCATGTGCTCTACAGCAACCTGCCCTGATGTCTCCTGTAAGCTGGTGGTAATGTGGCTTGGCTGGGCTCTAGCTTTTCAAAAATATCAAATGTATTTGCTATTCTACCCCACATATAGAGATATGATTAATCTTTATAAAAATCAGGCCAGTATTTCATCATCTAGGCAAAAACCTTTTAAAAATCAATTTTGTATACTAATCTCTCAAAAACTACTAGACTCCAGCAAAAGGAAAACAAACAAACAAAAAAAAAACAAGGCTTCCCACTTTTTTTATCCAGCTATCCCAAAGCAGAACTCTGCCTTACAGAGAAAAATCTCAGAATTCCTTAACCATATTCAACTCCAGAAAATAAGATATATAAGCTATTACAGGTTTCAGTGAACCTCAGAATAAACCTCCTAAGAGGTTTCTGCAAGCTAATTAAGTATACCGGGGTTTACAACCAATTTTGACTCCCATAATAACTATGATACATACTTTAATAGCAACTATATCCTCATTTATATTTTGAGTATAGTTTCAAAGGTGCCCTTCCCCTTCCCTCAACTTTTATAAGGCACAAGAACTTAAACAGAATGAAGACAATATGTGCCAAAGCCTACTGTGAACTGAGGAAGTAGAGTGCTGCAGGGATCCATTCATTAAAAATTCAAGCCCCATATCTAGTCTTTTATTTCAATAGAACCTAGATAAAAAGAGCATTTACATTATGGACTTTTGAAAGAGGGATTAAGAGGAGGAGGCGAGAAATACTAATTTCAATAAGATATTCAAAGGACTGATAAAATGAAAACTTCAGATGTAGAGGCAGGAAAACAGAAGACTGAAGCCTGGAAAGGATAATATTTTAAGAAAGTGAGAACAGTATAAAATTCTGACTAATGACTGAGAAAAATCCAGTGGCTGTGACAACAAGGTGAAGCAAGAAGCAGTTACAGCAGAGAAGATGAAAGCCTAGAAGACTACGTAGGAAACACATTCCAAGCTCAATAATAGTTATCATTTACAAAAGCAAGTAACATAAGAGGCTTTGTAGTCAGAGAGAGGATGTTATAAGTTGAAGCTTCTCAAGGTAGTTTTATGTAATGACTTGGTCCAGGATGTGGCTATGTTAGTGAGAGACTTAGGAGGAAATGGGAGAGTCAGTTGAAACTGGAAGATGTCAAAAAACTGAAAGGACAGGATATCCAAAGGTCATGTTAGTGGATGCTCAAGTAGCAAAGGATAATGACAGAAAATGTGATTTTTTTAAAAAATAGTTTTATATCAGGCATTGCAATAATTTGAGGAATATTGAAAAATATATTAGAAGCTGCAATAGATGGCTATAAGGAGGAATAATCTTAACCATTACTAAGCACCACCACTATATCTTTTAAAATGTCATGTATATTTTAGTTGCATCATTAAAAAACTGATTATGCTGAAGTGGATGACATCTGGGAAGACAATTACGTAAATCAACCTGCCATGGCTAAACAAACATCCATCATCTCAAGTATCAAAAAACAGATGATACACTCAAGAGAAATTATACTTGCCCTCTAGAAGCTTTTTAGATTTCAAAATAAAAAATTGTATACAGCAAAGCAAAATGTGAATATATATGAGAGAACAAAATGCTGATTGAATACAGCTTCGTTTCATCTAGATACCTAAAATGATTGAAAAGTCCAATTTGTTTGAAATTGCTTTTTCTCTAGACTATGGCACATATTGAAACGATTAAGTTCTGAACTACTGTATTCAAAACACTCAAAACCCCATATAAGCGGGGGGACTACTATACTAGATGAGTTTCCTTGAATCAACCTCAAGTGTTCAAATGTCATCCAACTCAGTAGAATTTGTACTTTATAATGGCTCTCATTGATGGTAGGATAGAAAATGTCCAGTCTTTAAAAGAGACTATAAATTAACTAAATTTGACAATAGTAATCCATTAAAATTGAGTTCCACATCAATAGGCATTTGACTGCATTTGGAAAGTTAATGTTGTGAGTCTTCCCCTAAGTAACTTTAGATTACCATCTCTCTGTTTACCTTTTGATGGAAAAGAACTGCTTCTACAAGAAGCAATAAACCCTTCCTTACCTATTCTCAGGAAACACTATTTGTACCACAAAAAAAGTAAGAATAAACCTTTATTTAAAATTTAGATATCATCAAATGATACTTACCAATGCACACATCGATCTTCCCTTTAATAGCAGCTTCATGCAGAGGTGTATAGTTCCAGTTATCCCTGGCATTTGGATCAGCTCCTTGGCACAATAACAGACTCACAACCTCAGCATGGCCAAAAGAACAGGCATTATGAAGCGGGATGAGACCTCCATCATCACGAGCGTGGACATTAGCACCCATCTGTAGTAAGTGTTCTACAACATCCTTCCTTCCAAAACCTAAAAAGAAACGAAAAAATGTCTTGTATATATATTTGATTTTGTAAAAAGAACCATTAGAATATCTGTAACAATATCAACAAGTATGAACAACTGAAGTACTGCACTCTATAGTAAATGGTGTAAAACAAAAGAAACATTAGCTTCATTCAAACTGACTCATTTCACAGAATTTAGAACTAAGGAAGCTCTTCCTTTAGTCTTTGGGCTGTTCATTCAAAAAACATTTTCTAAACACTTAATATGTGCTGTGCAACAGTGCTAGAAACACAAAATAAATATGACAAGACTTATCCAGGAACTCACTTTCCCCTCAGGCTTCACAACACAAAACTGTATATAGAAACTCATCACTACATTCATAGAAACAAGGGTTATTTAAATACTGCTGATAAGCCGGGCGCAGTGGCTCACACCCTCACAGCACTGTGTGAGGCCGAGGTGGGCGGGTCACCTGAGGTCAGGAGTTCAAGACCAGCCTGGCCAACATGGTGATACCCCGTCTCTAATAAAACCACAAAAATTAGCCAGGCGTGATGGCAGGCACCTGTAATCCCACCTACTTGGGAGGCTGAGGCACGAGAATCGCTTGAACCTGGGAGGCAGAGATGGCAGTGAGCCGAGACCACGCCACTGCATTCCAGCCTGGGCAATAGTGCGAGACTCCTCAATAAAATAAAATAAAATAAAAATAAATAAATAAATACTGCTGATAACCGAATCTAAGACAAATCACAACACACAGCATTGTATTAGGGAAATTGGGGATGAATGTATGGGTATGAGAAACACATGGTGAACGCTTGGTCAAAGGGAATTTTGAAAAGGAAGAACTAAAGATGATGCCAAAATATCTATTCTTGGGGCTAGTGGCCAAACTATATGAAATGGGTGGTGAACTGGAACAATTCAAGCTTGGATTCACTTAGTTTGAGGAAACGATATGGCAAATGAGTGGGAATACAAGCACTTGGGAATATAAAACCAGAATTTTATAAGAAGTATCACAGTTTTCAGACAAAAATGGGGGTTTAGGGGGAGTCAGAAAGAGTCTCAAGTAGTCTAAGGATGAGGCAAACACTTAGAAAGGTAAGAAATACTAAGAAAGCACAACATCAACATCGTGGAAGTCAAGGAACAACAACATTATGCAAAGTCCAGTACCATGAGGATTTAATGAGATCAACGGAGAAGAAAACAATGGCCATTGGTAATATTAAACTAATTTTAGTATAGTGGTAAAATTACAAACTAAATTGCAATGGGTTATAAAAGGAAACCGCAAATATTCGCATTTTTATATTCACAAGCTAGAATCTTAATTAATGATTCTTTCCCACTTTAAATTGTATTAGGTCTTATTAACTAGGTATCACTACCTCTACTATTATTGTGTAATACTGTTACAAAATGGCATCTTAAATAAAAATAAAAGACAGTAAAAGAGTCACATCTTCCTTTATTTTGGGCATATGTTAAACAAATAAAAACCATGTGGAAAAGAGTAAGGGGAAAAAAGAAATTTATCTCAAGATATGTCTTCCATGCTATCTATAGAAATTCATTCATTCCAGAAAAGCAGGCTCTAAGAAAAAGTCTCCAAAGTAAAGCATACATTTCCACAGATATGTATTACAAAGTCAGAATGAGGTTTCCGTAGAAAATATCCTTAAAAATTAAGCTGATAATTTTAGGTGAAAAGATCAATTTTGTATTAGTAACTGAATCAGTAAAAGCATAGGGTACATGCTCAAGTAAACTGTCAGCATCTTACCAGGGTTCCTGGTTTTGTTTTTTAAATACCTGCAGAACTTTACGGATGTTAGGTTTTCTTTAATTCTCTAACTTCGACTTCCTTCCCTCTACCATCAATGCCCTACTCTTCCACTGGGCCATAAGTGCTGTCCTGACCCAGGAAGGTTGAATTATTCTCCTTCTCTACGGATCTGAATAAAGCCTGAGTGCAAACTTCCATTTCCCTAATCAGCACCAGCCCTTGAGAGCAGCCATGGGAGCTGACTCCTGCAAAGCCACAGGGGTGGAGCCGCCCAAGGCCTTGGGAGCCCACCCCTTGTGTTGGTGTGGCCTGGATGTGAGCCGTGGAGTCAAGGGAGATTATTTTGGAACTTTAAGATTGAACAACTGCCCTGCTGGGTTTCGAAGTCCATGGAGCCTGCAGGCCCTTTGTTTTGGTTGATTTCTCCCTTTTGGAATGTGAGTATTTAGCCAATGCCTGTACGCCCACTGTATCTTGTAACTAACTAACTGGCTTTGATTTTACAGGCAGAAGGGACTTGCTTTGCTTTGAACTCTGGACTTTTGAGTTAATGCTGGAATGAGTTGAGACTATTGGGGACTATCGGGAAGGCATGATTGTATTTTGAAATATGAGAAGGATATGAGATTTGGGAGGAGCCAGGGACCAAAAAATTTGGTTTGGATTTGTGGCCCCACCCAAATCTCATGTCAAATTATGATCCCCAGTGTTAGAAGAGGGGCCTGGTGGTAGGTGAGTGGATCATGGAGGCAGATTTCCCTCTTGCTGTTCTCGTAATAGTGAGTTCTCACAAGATCTGGTTGTTTAAAAGTGTGTAGCACCTCCTCCTGCTCTCCTCTGCCTCCTTCCCTGACCATATAAGACATGCCTGCTTCCCCTTCACCTCCCGTCACGACTGTGAATTTCCTGGGGCCTCCCCAGCCATGCTTCCTGTACAGTCTACAAAACTGTGAGTCAGTTAAATCTCTTTTCTTTATAAATTACCCAGGCTCAGGTAGTTCTTTATAGCAATGCAAGAACGGACTAACACAGCCATTATAAAAACATTTTTACCATTACTAAAAAAAAAAGTCAAAATAAATTTCCTTGTACATTTGTCCTATTCATTTAAGATAAATGCCTCAAAGTAGTAGTACTAGATCAATAGGTATACATTTAAAATTTCACATGTTGCCAAGTTGCCCTCTACCAATTTTCATTTTCAACCAAAATCCTCGTGACCATTCCGTGCACATTTAAAAGCTTTACAAAGAGGCAAAAAAAAAAATGAATTGTTATTTACATTTTTCAGTTCAGATATTTGCTTTTTTACTGTTGAAAACTAAATATATGAATACAGTTGAACTCTTACCCTCAATCCTAGTCCCCTCTTTGCTTCCCCAGAGGTACTATTACATAAATTCAATGTTTGTTATATCATGCAAATTATATACTTTTCAATGTGTGTTTTTTAAACACTTGTGTTTCTATATTTATATTTTATACATTTCATGTTATTATTTGTATATTATGCATTTCATATTCTATGTGATTAGAATATATTTCATATATTCACATTATTTTTGTCAACTTCATATGGTTCAATCTATATTAGTGGAAGGTTGATAACCATAATCCATTCTTCTGGCTGATATGGTTTGGCTCTGTGTCCCCACCCAAATCTCATGTTGAATTGGAATCCCCATGTGTTGAAGGAGGGGCCTGGTGGGAAGTGATTGGGTCACAGGGGTGGTTTCTAATAGTTTAGCACCATCACCCTAGTGCTGTCACATGAGTGAATTCTCATGACATCTGGAGATTTAAAAGTAGGTGGCAACAGGGAGGTGGAGCTTGCAGTGAGCCGAGATCGCCCCACTGCACTCCAGCCTGGGCAACAGAGCCAGACTCCATCTCAAAAAAAAAAAAAAAAAAAAAAGAGGGGGGTGGTGGCACCTCCCGCTTTCTGCTGTCTCTCTCCTGCCCCACCATGATTGCTTCCCCTTTGCCTTCTGCCATGATTGTAAATATCCTGAGGCCTCCTCCCACCCATGTTTCCTGTACAGCCTGCAGAACTATGAGTCAATTAAAACTCTTTTATTCATAAATTACCGTCTTAGGTAGTTCTTTATAGCAGTGTGAGAATGGACTAATACACTGGCCAACAGAAAGACTCAATTTTGCTCAGACTCAATTTTGCTCGGGAATTGGGCAGGAAATAATATACTAAGAGAAAGCCATCCCTTCCTCAGTCCAGAGGAGGAATCCTAATTAAGCCAATCAGGTAATTTCATTCTGCTCTGTCAGTGACTGGCCATGAGGACAGATGGGAAAATCTAGAAGCTTCTGGAAATATGTTTCTCTCTTCTACACCTTCTACAGAAGGTGTGGGAGGAAGAGTGCCCTTTCTCCTCTCACCCTTCCTCCCAACCGTTAGAAAATTCAACAGAATTATTTTTTTAAATGCTGGCATAGAACCCTTACTACGTTCACAGAACTGAAACCAACTCTTGAATTTCCTACCACTACACTTCTTATCAAGCAGGAAAATAAATGTCCTTAGGCTTTAAGTCAGTTGAAGTTTTAAAATACTCATAGTTAAATCCATGCAAATTGATAAAAGCATCTGTTCCTATGTTTACTAAGCATTCACATTTCAACTCTTGTCAGTTCATTGTCTTGGCCATTTTCTTTTGGGCTATTTGTCTTTTTCTTATGATTCTGCAGGCGTTCTTTACATATTCTGAACATTAATCTTTTCCTACATGGATTGTGATTTATATATAAAATTTAAGGAAACCTTTCCTATTTCTGTACTGTTCCTACATTTTCTTCTAGATTATAATTCTTTCACATTTAGATATTTAAATAACTTGTAACTATGGTGTGAGTTGAAATTTTTATTTTTATTTTTCCTTATCTTTTCTTTTTGGTTGGTCAGTTTGTCTATTTGTTAGTATAACTTTAGAATAAGTCTAGATATCTAGTAGGGTAGAGTTGACCCACCTTGTTCCTCTTAAAAAATTATCCGCCGGGCGCGGTGGCTCACACCTGTAATTTAGGGAGGCCGAAGCAGGCGGATCACGAGGTCAGGAAATCGAGACCATCCTAGCTAACATGGTGAAACCCGTCTCTACTAAATATACAAAAAATTAGCCCTGCGTGGTGGCGGGCGCCTGTAGTCCCAGCTACTCCGGAGGCTGAGGCAGGAGAATGGCGTGAACCCGGGAGGCGGAGCTTGCAATGAGCCGAGATCGCGCCCCTATACTCCAGCCTGGGCAACAGAGCGAGACTCCGTGTCAAAAGAAAATAAAAAGATAATGGAGAGATTCACTTGTCTCACACAATTTGTCAAGACAAAGGCAATCCAGGCACACATAGCAGTTTATCAACGGTATTAGGAGCTCCTTAGAATCTTTCCACATTCTTAGCATCTCCACTTGCTTCTTACCTCACAGTCACAAGAGTGCTATATTTCTAAGCCTCATATCTAGGTTCTCAGACAAGAAGGGAGAGTGAGTAAAGGGGGGCGCGGGGGAGCTTTCTCTCTTGACTTTTTTATAATTAAGGAAGAAATGGCATCTCCAGATACTTTCATACATAGTTCATTGGCCAAAAATGTGTCATCTGTCCAGCTACCAAAAAAAACAAAAAAGGCTAAAAAATCAAGTCTTTCATAGCCAGACACACTACTGCCTTGAACGAAATCTAAGATCTGTTAGTGAAGAATTTGAAGAAAATAAATTTGGGGTACATAACCAACAGTATTTGTCACAACTTTGTAAGTCAAGGGTAAGAAGATTGGGTTTCATTGTAAGTATGTGGGAAACCATTTATTAGGGAAATTACTTGATTCTATTTAAATCTTAAAAGGATCATCTGTCAGCTATGTGAAAAACAGACAAGTGAAGAGCAAAATCAGAGGGACTAGTCAAGAAAATTCTGCAGTAGTCTGGGCAAGAACCGATAGTGGGTTGGAAAAAAACAGTGAAAGTACAGCTGGGTCAAAGAAGAGAAAAATGGATAGGTTATAAAGCAAAGATGACTGGCTCTCAGATTTCTAGCTTAAGCAACTCTATTTTTAGAGGCGCCAGTTGAGGAAGGGTCAGGCAAAGCAGGTAGCAACAAGAAGTGTACCCCGATGAACTGCTTTTCTGCAACAACTATATCAAGTAATATAATGTATAAATTTCAGCACATTCTTTCCCCAAACAGTTCATGAGAAAAAATAACATTATATTACATATTCAAAGCAATTTAAAAATATACTATGTGGTGTGCTGGCAGTGAAGAAACCCAAATTCCTAACACATAGCCTAACCCCAATATACTTAACAATTTTCCTTATTCTAATAGCAAAGAGTTGATTAAGGCCTTTCAAAAATATTTCAATATCAAATTTAAGGTCACTGGTATCTATTCTCCATTCACTTATGTTCAGCATTGTAATCCCGCCTAAAATTAAAGCTTCCATGGAACGATGGCCAATATTAAATCATATAACTGACAACTATGACTTCTGAAATTTAATAAAAGAGAAAAATCTGAGGTGTTTGGAATATTTTTAAACTGATGTTTTTATCTATGGCAGCAAAATCACATCTTAAAGTCATTTTCCCCCTAATTAGACTGTCAGCAAAACTACAACCACTGTACATCACTTGAACTATTAATCTTTTAACCTACACTTATATACCAAATGAGAACATTTATATTACATCTCTCATGCTTTTTAAGCGTAAAAAGATCCCATTACACCCAACAGATAAAGTAACTGTAAACTAAGTTTGGGGTTGTCTAGGAAAATAACTCATGGAACTCTCTCATATACATCTATGTGTTAAATTTAATTTAGCCTGAAGTTGCCTCCTTACATATTTAAGGTTAGGCCTAAAGGTTTCTTCATACATACATCTAACTGGATACGTAAACTGAATGTAACCTACTCTTGTACCAATCACAAAGACTCAGCTAAAGGCAGCCAAATGTTCAAACTGTGTTCAAGTAAGGCAAACAATAAGCTGTAACCAACCAAGCTCTTTCTATACCTTACTTTTGTCTTCTGTACATCACTTCCTTTTTCTATCCATAATTGTTATCTGACCATGTGGCAGCCCTGGAATTACTCTGAACCTATTCTGGCTCTGGAGGCTGCTTGATTCACCAATCATTCTTTGCTCAATTTAACTGTTAAATTTAATTTGACTAAGGTTTTTCTTTTAATATGTGACATAAAGGAAATCAGAGAAGCTGAGTTGGGAAAGATAAAAAGGCACTTGGTGACAAATGTGACTTGTTCATCATTATCTTTAGAAACATTAAGAAAAACTAGAATCTAAAATATGAGAATGGCTTGCTATATATATATATATACATATAACATAAATATTACTTTCCCTATCTTAAGTATTATCAGTCCACTTTCATCCAAAATAAAAAGCAAAACAAAAATTCTTAACAATGAAAATATTGCTTTCAATGAAACAAAATTCAGCTATGACACATTTATGCAATACCTATGAGTTTAAAAAAAAGGTTTTTCCCGGCCAACAGACTTGCCATTCACTAGTTTAACACTAGCGGTTCCAGACACTTTTGAGTATCTCTAAAGGTCCACTAAACACAGTAATTCACAATTTTGCTATTAAAAATCGAATGACACCTGTATCTTGGCTGATGTGCAGGAGGCAGCCTCAAAATTATAGAGGGGTATATAGCACAGCAGCCCCATCTCAACATGACTTTCTAATTCTACTCGCTTTCTCGTACAGGTCTATCTTCTAAAGTTCTTTAAAGTTTTCTGTTTTACTATATTTCATGGAGAAAACGTATCTGCTATAGTGATAGTCCCGAAACTAGGAATTAGGGAAAGACTAGTGACATGAAACAGAAGAGAATAAGAGAAAACGTAAGAGAGATAGAGGATGGGAAGAGAGGAAATATTGTAGAAATAATGACAATACTTTTAATAATTAAAGGAAGAAGTAAAAGTTCAGATTAATATATTCATGGAGTGCCAAACAGCATGGACACTTTGTAGCAAAGTCTAACAACAACAAAGGCCATAGTCTTTCAGAAAGAAAACAAATCAGCTAAAAACAAAAAACAAAGAATCAGTTGACTGAAGTCAACCTTAACTATGAGAAAAGACACTTTCATACTTAATTTCATATATAGCTAACTTTATTTCCATGTAAAAGTCAAATTAATCTCAGATATGCAAAATCTCTAAGGTGAACACAGAAAGATCCTGGTTGAAAACACTCATGACAAAAAATGAATTCAGTAGTACGTGTGTGAGCTTATGTCTATATATCATGAATTAACTCAGTACAAATCTATCCTGTCTCAAGACTTAACACTGACTAATAATCACCCTAACAAATAATTACAATATAGGGTTACAAAGAAAACTTAACCAAGTCTGGGATAGAGACCTTCCCTAATAAAGTGATATTATGAGCTAAGATCTAAGGAATAAGCAATTTACCAGACAAAAGGATAGGGATAAATGTTCCAAAGAGAGTAAGGCACAGTAAATCAAGAGGTGAGAAACTCTTTATATTCAAGTACCTAAAAAAGTTCAGAACGGTTCAAACAGAGAGAAAGAAATAGAGACTAAAAGTGGCAACAACATGGAATCCCCGGGCGCGGTGGCTCACGTCTGTGATCCCAGCACTTTGGTAGGCTGAGGCCCAGCACTTTTGGATCATGAGGTCAGGAGATCGAGAACATCCCAGCTAACACGGTGAAACCCCGTCTCTACTACAAATATAAAAAAATAGCCAGGCGTGGTGGTGGGCACCTGTAGTCCCAGCTACTTGGGAGGCTGAGGCAGGAGAATGGCGTGAACCCGGGAGGCGGAGCTTGCAGTGAGCCAAGATTGCACCACTGCACTCCAGCCTGGGCGACAGAGTGAGACTCCATCTCAAAAAAAGAAAAAAACGTGGAATCAACTAACTTTCTGCCCCAGAAATCATGAAGATAAGCAGATCATCCCTCAAAACAAACACAGTATATCCAAACTACAATTCCTTTACTTTATGTATGTCAGTGTGAAGACTAAGACGATTACCAAAGCGACAGAATTCAAATTTCTGCTATGTGAACTTAGATACAGGTTAAGAAACTGCTAAATATAGATAGGTACCTATATATACATCAATCTTGGCAGCCAAAAAGGAAAAAAGGCTACAAGGATTCTTGAAATTCTGCTGATAGTTTTTGGTGTAGCTTCCTTAAATTCAACATAGAATTTGTTGTAGAAATTACTCTTAAGGCCACAGTAGGGAGGAAAAGGTTAAACATAGTACAATGAATGAATCACAGTAACTGGACATCAAATGAAAATGCAGCAAAATGCCCCCGAATGTAATTTTTAAAAAACAAAATCTACCTCCATTTTTAATGGTTGATTTTTATTTATTTTTTTATTTAAGAGACAGGTCTTACTCTATTGCCCAGGCTGGAGTGCAGTGGCATGATCAGAGCTCACTGCAAACTTGACTTCCAGTGCTCAAGTGATTCTCCCACCTCAGCCTCTCTAGTAGCCGGGGCTACAGACATGCCACCACACTGGGTATACAGTAGACACATGACAGCAATGACTTAGCCTGAGCATACCCTGAGAATGACCCTGTATGGCAGATGCACCTCAATGTGTGGTCACAGTTCCGAGCTAGAGAATACAAGAGTGGCCAACCAGGAGATCCATTCATTATCTACAAGGGACATCTGAGTCCCAAGCCCATCATGTAGAATGGAACATGGGCCATATAGAGGATTGAGGCCCTTTGTTTTGGGTTAAAGGTTGCCAGGTAGAGGTTGCTGGGGGAGGCTGTCAAGTGAAAATGCTGTACTAACCGCATGCTTTTTGCAAGCAGTTGGTTATTCTACCCATCCTAATGCCACTGGGCCATGTGGTAATTCTGTCCACCACGCCAGCAAGGGACTGGTGGTTCTGCCCAGCCCACTGCCACTGGAATCTCTTCCCTGTATTTTAGCCCCCAGGACATTATGTTTCATTCATTGGCTCAGGGATCTTTTTTGGCCTCTTGAACCTGCTGCTATCCCCATTACAGTCAATACAGGTACAGCACAACATCTGGCTAGCTTTTTAAATTTTTTTGTAGAGACAGGGATCTCGCTTTATTGCCCAGGCTGGTCTCAAACTCCTGGGCTCAAGCAATCCTCCCACCTTGGACTCCCAAAGTGCTGGGATTACAAGTGAACCATCACACCTGGCCTATATTTATTATTCAATAAATGGTTCAAAAAACACCTGGCATCTGCTTAAAAAAGAACAATTTTTAAAATATTTACCTCTTAATATATAGCAAAATAAATTTAAAATAGATTAAGGTGTAAAATGTCAAAATGAAACCGTAACAAAATTAAGTGGACAGTTGCATGATCTCAGAATAGGAGAAGCAATAGAAGAAAACAAACAAAAAAAATTTAAGGCAATAGATTTGAAAAGTTTATAGATTAAAAAAACACTTTTTAAGGCAATAGATTTCAAAAGCTTACAGATAAAATTTTAAAACAAGCCAGGAAAATATTCACAATGACTTTAACAAAGCACAGATAACAAAGACACCAAAAGGCAAAAGAAAAAAAGAATACGAAGAGATATAATGCCAAACAGTGAATGCCAATTGTCTTTTAAAAGTAAAACAGTGACTAAGAAATGCAAATTAACTAAATATTGCTTTTATCAAACAACTAAAAAGTTTTCAATGTTGACGTTTACAGACGTGTACAAAAATGTTCATAGCAGCACTATTCATAATAGAACACACATAAAAACCACCCAAATACTCAACAGTAGAATGGGTAAGTAGTGGTATATTCCCACAATAGAATTATACAAACAATGAAAATGAACAAACTACAACTATATAAGATAGATGAATCTCCCACAAAATAGTACTGACTATATAGTATCATGTATCACAAGTTCAAAACAGACAAAATCTATGAGTGTTAGAGGGGTAACGACTCAAAAGACATAGGACAGGAGCTTATGGATTGCAGATAATGTTCTGATTCTTGAGCAGGGCACTAGTTACCCAGGTGTGTTCACTTTGTAAAAATTCACCTCCCGGTACACTTATGATGTGTGTGTGCTATGGAGCTATGTCCACACTAAGAAACTATGGTAATAGCTGATGTCGTCCAGGGAGTGATGACAGGAATTATTAGAATCTTTTAGGAAACCAAACGGTATTTGTTCCCAATGATAAAATCTGAGCTTTCAAGGAAATACTAGAATTCTGTAACACTTGCAACTATTGCTATAAGCTTAACAGTTTCCCAATTCTAAAATACTTTTCTGATGAGATTAGTGGCAATATTAACAATTATGCTTATTATTTTTATTACAAAGTAAAATGTGTCAACATTTGGAATATCTGCACAGCTTCAAGAACCAATATTTTCTAAATGCTCAAAACAAGTACAGGTATACCCGTTTCTGGATTCTAACAATGGATTCTAACACAGCAGAAGTATAAAAAAATTCACTGATTTGGCTTCAGATTCTACGTTGCAACTAACCCTTAGGAAACTATTACTTATCAACTGTGGGTACAGAATCAAAGAGAAAAAAGGCAAAATTATCTGACAATGCTATTAAAATATTTCTTCCTTTTCCAACAACATTTTCTGTTTGAAGAAGGATTTTCTTCATATACTTTAACCCAAACAATATACCAGAATTGGCAGGTAGAAGCAGATGAGAATTAGCTATCTCTTTTTAAGCCAGACATTAAAGTGACTTGCAAAGTGTAAAATAATGCTGCTTCTCATTATTTCCTTTAGAAAATAGCTTCTTTTCATTAAGAATGTTGTTTACACATATTTACATATAATGGAGTTTATCATTTTATTTTTAAAATTTCTAATATTATATTCATTTTAAATTTTTCATACGGTAAGTCTCCATAGACAGAACCCACATAAACAAAAATTATTTCAATTATTTTTAAGAGTGTGAAAAAGCAGTGAGACCAAAAAGTTTGAGAAACACTGCATTTTTACTATAAGCTTTCTTAAGGGCAGGAAACATTCCATTCCCATAATCTTGCTCATATTTCTCGAGCTGTTACTGAACTACTCAAAAACCTTACAGCTCAAGCCAGATCCCTGAGAAACAAACCAAGGGGGAAAAACACACCATGGAATTGCCCCAGTGAATGTTAATTAAACAAGTTGCATGCAGCTTGCTTGAATTTCCATAAACACTTCATTAATGCTGAGCTTCATACTGACAGAGAAGGTCTACAGGTCACTCTCAAAAAATGTGAATCAACAGATAAGATGAAAAGAGTATCCTCAACATAACTGCAGAGATTCAGTCTATTAAATATACTATTTTCCATATTTCGTGTTAGTAATATTAAGAAACGCTCCAGGACAATAGAGAGGCTAAAATGTCCACTATGATACCCCCCTTTTTTTTCACTTAAATGTGGTAAAATACACATAATATAAAATTTGCCATCATAACCATTTTTAAATGTAGAGTTCAGTGGCATTACATACTTTCAAACTGCTGTGACTCCAATATGTTTCAGTTACTGTTCAAAAAATTTTTAACTTCTTCTTCCATGAGTCAAAACATACAGCAAAATTTATCTACGAGATTTTCTAACAACTCTATATAGTCTTTTAAAGAAAGTCGTTGCTGGAAGGGTGCGGTGGCTCAGGCCTGTAATCCCACCACTTTGGGAGGCCAAGGCGGGCAGATCACAAGATCAGGAGAACGAGACCATCCTCGCTAACACGGTGAAACCCCGTCTCTACTAAAAATACAAAAAAAATTAGCCGGGCGTGGTGGCGGGCGCCTGTAGTCCCAGCTACTCGGGAGGCTGAGGCAGGAGAATGGCGTGAACCCGGGAGGCAGAGCTTGCAGTGAGCCAAGATCGCGCCACTGCGCTCCAGCCTGGGCGACAGAGCGAGACTCCGTCTCAAAAAAAAAATAAATAAATAAGAAAGCAGTTGCTAAAATATCCTTCCTTCTTCCATTTAGTTATGAGGTTCTTCAAAGATTACTTCCAATCACACTTTTTATGTTTATAAAAACAATCAACTGAACAAAAGACCAGATAGTCCCAACATTCTAGTAACTGCAAATGTTCCAATACCATACTTACAAAAAAGTTTTACTTTAAATGCCTAAGAGAAGGACTGGAGGGAATATGTCAAAATCACTAGTAGCTCCCTTGGGGTGGGAAGATGATGCCCTACTTTTTACTGTACTTTCCAAAATTTGTAAAGTTACGTTTATTACCAGAAAACCAACTTGAGAAAGCAGTAAGAATCGTCAGATTACAAAATGACACAAAATACAGATTTTATTTCTCATTGCTATCAACTTTCCATTTGAGTAGCACAGACCAAATGATTTTACGACAACCAGATTGGGTTTAAATCTGGCACCATTACTTAAAAGCTAGCTATGTGACCTTGGACTCTGATGACAAAAGACTGGGCTAGGCCGGGCGCGGTGGCTCACGCCTGTAATCCCAGCACTTTGGGAGGCCGAGGCGGGTGGATCATGAGGGCAGGAGATCGAGACCATCCTGGCTAACAAGGTGAAACCCCGTCTCTACTAAAAATACAAAAAATTAGCCGGGCGCGGTGGCGGGCGCCTGTAGTCCCAGCTACTCGGGAGGCTGAGGCAGGAGAATGGCGTGAACCCGGGAGGCGGAGCTTGCAGTGAGCCGAGATTGCGCCACTGCAGTCCGCAGTCCGGCCTGGGCGACAGAGCGAGACTCCGTCTCAAAAAAAAAAAAAAAAAAAAAAAAAAGACTGGGCTAATATACGAGGATTAATATTTATGTACTTAAGAATGTCAGAAGATCAGAAATCAGAAGTGTTAACTCAAAAAGTTTACTTGTTCAAATACTTACAGAGCACTAAAACAAGCAATTCATTGAATTAAATAATGAAATTATCTTATTATATACCCCATATTTATCTGCTTTCATAAATTAACATAGGATAACAGTTATATTTTTCTGTTGTTAAGTCTGTGTATTTTGGGGCTGGGGAGAAGGAGGAGGCAGACAACTTTTGATAGCTTGCTCAAAGTTTCAAAAATTTATCCAAAAAGTTTTCTTTTTCCAAATAAGAATATTTTCCTGCAAAGAAGAAAAACATAAGTTGGTACCTCAAGACATTAGAAAAAAATAGCTAAGATGTATTAACTAAGTGTAATTCTATGTCATTTCTTTTGAAAATACCAAATTTCCACAGTCAACATGAGAATAACCCAAGCATTTGGAAGAGGAGACCTGCACATCTTATTAACATGACTGATGAGAATGTCAAAATGGTTTCTACGGTTGATGAGTATTATCAGAATGAGGGCATCAGAACTTTTCAATGTCTACTTACTATGTATATAATATATATGTCAACATATAATTTGACATATATAATAAGTTATATACATGTAGACACAAAAAAGTGTGTATACACACACTTTAACAAGGCATCAGGGAGTTTAGTTTATTTTTATTTTTATTTATTTTTATTTTTTTTGAGACGGAGTCTTGCTCTGTCACCCAGGCTGGAGTGCAGTGGCGTGATCTCGGCTCACTGCAAGCTCTGCCTCCGGGGTTCACGCCATTCTCCTGCCTCAGCCTCCCGAGTAGCTGGGACAACAGGCGCCCGCCACCACGCCAGGCTAATTTTGTGTGTGTGTATTTTTAGTAGAGACGGGGTTTCACTGTGCTAGCCAGGATGGCCTCCATCTCCTGACCTTGTGATCCGCCCTCCCAAAGTGCTGGGATTACAGGCGTGAGCCACCACGCCTGGCTGGTTTAGTTTATTTTTGAACTAATGACACAGAGACTATAGCTTTAAGGTTTTTTGAGTCAATCAGTAAATTTAAAACAAATTTTGTTCAGTTTGGACTTGTAGTTCATGGAAATCATCTGCTAACTACCAAATGCTTCCTCACTTTAAAAGAAAATATACCAAAGAAGAAAAAATAAACAAGTCCAAACATCTGCCACCTACCAGCAGTTTAGTTTGTTCTACTGAAAAGGCAAAAGGGATAGAGAAAAAATTTTACATCACGTTATTTTCCCTCTTCCAAAACCAAAATAAATAAATAAATAAATAACTTGTCTAAATTGAATGGGGAGCTGACACACTCCAAAAAACAGCTTAAAAAAAAGTTTACCCTCACGCTGCTTTAATTCTATAAACAGATACCTGAACAAACTGGCAAAACAAGATTCGAGAAGAGAACTCAGTAACTCGCTCTGGTGAAAGCAAACTTAGACATCTGATGAAGCCTTAAAAGAAAAACAACGGGCACACAAAAACAAAACACCTAAAACTTTCCTCAATTACTTGAAATCAAAGTGATTTTTTTTTTTTAATGAGCCCCGGGGTTATCCTGAGCTCCTAGGCTTTAGTAGAAATCCCTAGGAAACCCACCCTACTCATTTTTTCTTGAAGATATAATGCTTTTTATTCACCAAGAAACTGAAAGTCCATTTCTGAATGTTTCTTTCTCGTGTATGTTTCATTGGTTTTATTAAGCCCCGTAAGGGGAGGCTGCACCTAGCCCTCAGACTCCAACCCATCTTATCTTAACTAATCCTATTCAATTCTTACTATAAGTATCTATTAATGATGCATGGTATTAGGTGCCTCAAGAGCAGGGCTACACCAAAACTTAGCTATCAGAAGAATAAACATAAGCCAAAGTAGCTTCAAGGACAATGACATGGGGAAAAATAAAAAGGTAAGAAGCAACTGCCTTCAATTTTATCTACTGCAATATTTTATAGTAAGCTACCCAAAGATTCTTTGTCTATGACACAAAAGGAGGCTGTTAAAAATATTAAAGACTAAACTACTATAGTGTTTTCTCCCTCATGTCATCACAGAGCTCATGTTTATTCCTTTCCAAAACCAAACCTAACATTACAATAAAATTTATTTTCTCAGAATTATTCACATTCCTTGATTACTTTTCTTCTGGATTCTAAGCTTGAGATTTTTTTTTTTAACATATTTATGCTCACAACTCGACCTTTGATGATATGCCTCCTATCCTCCCAATGTATTTCTCTGGCCTGTTAACTGTCAAAGAATCACTTCCCGTCAGGAAAGAACACCTGGCCTGTGACCTATTCAATTCATTGATGGGGTAGGGAATGCTTTACAGGTGACTGGACTACACTTACCAAAAAGACTAAATAGTAATCTATCAGGAAGAGACTTTATCTATAAAATGCCCTTAGCACAATGTCTCCGGTTAAGGTTCCTGAAAAAATGTCTCATAGGTTATATAAACAGAGGTATAAAATGATGATGTTTCATAATTTAAATGCTACTACTGTAAAAGATGATCCTGCAGACCTTACTGAGAGACTTGATCTATTCTAGGCCAGAGCTGCAGGTGTAGCACAACAAAAAGGGACAGGGGGGATTACCTTAACTATCTCAGACCTTTATTTTTATCCTTGAAATTATTTAGTAATTAATTTCTGTAAAAATGAGCAACGAAAGTAACTGAGGTCAAATACATACAAAATTCTTACAAGAAGAATTTGGAGAATAACATCCCCGCAGACAATTAATACCTAACAGAAAAAAATGCCCACAAAGCAGACAAAATTATAATCAATTATTTTAACACTAGCTAAAAGAGAATACGAGAATGATACAAGATATGAACGTATAGCATGTGCCTGAGTTAGAAATAAAAGGAGAGAGTTCAGAAAATAATTCAAAATAAAAGAAAAAATAATTTCAAGAAAGGACTACAAAAGAAAGAACACAAAATGGAAAAAATGCCACATATAATGCCTTATAACAGAGGTCAGCAAACTACAACCCATACACCAAATCTGGCCCATCACCTATTCTCATAAATAAAATTTTACTGGAACACAATCACACTCATTCATTTACATATAGTCTATGGAAACTTTCACA
Organism: Homo sapiens; assembly: GCF_000001405.40. Classification (NCBI taxonomy): domain Eukaryota; kingdom Metazoa; phylum Chordata; class Mammalia; order Primates; family Hominidae; genus Homo; species Homo sapiens. Next base: position 9,563,441 of record NC_000008.11, on the reverse strand, counting down.
GTATAAAAGCAAAACTGAGTAGCTATGAGAGGGACCATATGGCTACAAAGCCTAAAATATTTACTATCTGGCCATTTACAGAAAGTTTCCAACTCCTGCCTTAAGAAAAATAGAAGATGAAAGGAGAAAAAAAGTTAATAAAAAAAGAAGATATATATTTTTTAATAGGATTCAAAAGAAAGTGACAGTTATCAGGGGTTTGGGGGCAGATAGACATAGTTTAATGGGTACAAGAGCTTATTTAAGATGACAAAAAATGTTCTGGAAATGGACAATGGTGATGGCTGCATAACATGGCGAATGAACTTAATGCCACAAAACTGTACACTTAAAATGGTTAAAATGGTAAATTTTACATATATCGTATTAAAGAAATGGAGCAAGTAACAAATTTAGAAGAGGCAAAGTTTCAATATACATAAAAAGAAAAGAACGAATAATAAAAAGTATAATTTGAGAAACTTTTCTGAAATAAAAGATCTGAAACTATGTAAAGAAAAGCCATACCACATACCTGAGAAAATCTATCTAGAGAAACGAACACCAAGACATACTGTAATAGAATATCTGGTCTTTAATGGAAGAGAAAAAAAAAATCCTTTGCCCATCTAGAAAGAAAAAAAAAAGGCTAAGGGAAGGAAATTCCCATTCTCATCAGACCTTCAACATTAACAGCTCTTAGCAGGTCCTTGAAAAATAAAAGTTTAGGTATGGAAGAAATGATGGCCAGATGCAACATAGAAGAGGTAAGTAAAAACCCTATAGTTCTGAGTTTGAATTGGAAGTATCAATATTAGTTAATGAGGTAGATTAAAAGACACAGATTGTCAGAATGTCTTAAAAAGCAACACTCACATATATACTGTCTATAATAGACACACTTTAAATATAAAGGCAGATTGATTGAAAGTGAATGAATAGAAAAATGCCACACACAGCATAAGAATACTGAAGTGGATATAGTCACATCTGATAAAATGTAGCTAAAATCATAAAGATTTTCATAGGATATGTATGAGAACTTCTATGACTTGGGGCCAGATAAAAGTTCTTATCCAGGTGATGAGTCAGAGAAAGCAATAACCATAAAATAAATATATAAATTAAATTTAAAATTTCTATTCAAATGACTCTCATTAAGAAAATTAATCAGTAATTCATAGCCTGGGAGAAAATATTAGCACATTTATCCCACAAAGCACTAGTATGCAGAATATATAAAGTACTCTTAAACTTAATAATAAAAGATAACCCAACAAAACTGAATAAAACTGAAGTGTGCCCAGTAGAAAAAAAAAGGACAAAACTTCATAAAAGATATATAAGGCCAGGCGTGGTGGGTCACTCCTGTAATCCCAGCACTTTGGGAGACTGAGGTGGATGGAACACCTGAGGTCAGGAGTTCGTGACCAGCCTGGTCAACATGGTGAAACCCCGTCTCTACTAAAAATACAAAAATTAGCTGGGCGTGGTGGTGGGCGCCTGTAATCCCAGCTACTCAGGAGGCTGAGGCAGGAGAATCGCTTGAACCGAGGAGGCAGAGGTTGCAGTGAGCCAAGATCGCACCATTATACGACAGCCTGGGCAACAAGAGCAAAATCAAACAGCAACCATCAAAAATCGTTGATGGGAATGTAAAATGGTACATATACTTTGGGGAAAGGTGTTGGCAGTTTCTTATAAAACCGGACATTTACCTACCCTAAGACCCAGAGATTCTAATACTAGGTATTTGCCCAAGAGAAAGAAAATCCGTGTCCACAAAAAGGATTTTATAAGAATGTTCATTGCGACTTTATTCATAATAGCCAAAACAGGAATCAGCTTAAGGGTCTATCAATTGAAGGGATACACAAACTGCAGCATATTCATATAATGAAATCTACTCAGCAGTAAAAAGAAACTACTGATACACGTTACAAAATCAAAAACATGCTGAGCAAAATAAGTCTTACAGAAAGACTAAATATTGTATGACTGCATTTATATGAAATTCTAAAACAGGCAACTCTTATTCTATAGTGGAAAAAACATCAGAATGGTGGTTGCCTGAGGGAAAAGGGGTAGTGACAAGATTGAGATAAGGGGTATGAGGGAACTTTCTGAAGTTTCTATAAGGAAAGTCATAAGTTCAGTTACACATGTATCTGCATTTGTCAAAACTCAGTGAATGTACACATAAGATTTGCACAGATTTCACACTAAAAGATAAATCTTTACACAAATACTGAACTTAGATAATGATATGCAAATTAGCATATTTGGAGAAGCTGCACAGATGCCTACTATTTACACTCACATGCTTTAATAAAAAGATGATTGACGGATAAAAGAACATATATGTAGGAATACACATGTAATAGAAATTGTACAGTATTATAATTTATGTAAGCATTTCTCTATTGTTGAACAGTTGGCTTGTTACAAATTTTTTGCTATTAGCAATAAATTTACATATCATCTTATAAATGGCTAATTTGTTCTTTAAATCATTTGCTTCCAAAGAGCAGTATCATTGAGGTAAAAGAAAGAGACACTTTGCACATCTTTCTAACTAAAAGTTCTCTGTAAACTTTTTTTTTTAAAGAGGTACCTTCAGAAAAGTGTTAAGGTTTTAAGAAAACACTAAGTAAAAGGTAATCCAGTTTATAATCAACAATTTTAAGTCTGGGAAGATATTTATGAAACTAGGTCCCTTTCTTCTATTACCAAATTAGACCCTTCTTACATCCTCAGACAGGGCATTTGCTTACAAGTAATATAAAGGATCTTGCCAGGCAACGAGAAGTGTAAGATAATTCCCACTCCAAGACTGCAGCATTCTGACTCATTTTATTACCCACTGATAGGCAACAATCTAGAGTATATGGTGACTTCTATTATTAACAGGAACGACATTTGTACAAAGGCGAGAAATGAAAAAAAAAAAAAAAAAAAAAAAAAAAAAAGACAAGTATGGCCATGCTGAAAAATCTAGAGAAGAGTCAGGAATGAGTTGAAAAATCTCTGTACTGTTAAATATGTATTGTAGTAGATACCATTAAAAACAAAACCCAACAAAGAAAACTAGTTTTTATTTTAAAATACCTCACATTACCTATCATAATCCAAGTCGTATATGTTAACTAACAGGAAGCCCATTTCAAGATTTCTTCAATTTCATGTAAATACTATAAAATCTCAGAATTTAATGTTTTACTAAGGCCTTAATAAAAAAAAGACCTCATTTAAACTTTTCTATAAAAAGAGACGTCTTCAGAATATATGGGTCCTTTAACAAAAATATGTCACTACTAGAAACCATCCTAAGGAGGTATCACTCTAAATTGGTACTATTTATAAAACTATTTTGACTGCTATACTTTAAATAATAGAAAACCAGGGTCAAGGACCACATCTGTAGAAGAAAAAGTCTCATATAAATTCTAGTCAACAATAAAAGAATGGCTCATCTTTACAAAGCCATCTTACAAAGGCATCAAAAATAGTATTTTGAGAACCTGTATCAACAATGGAAACAAGATTTTGTCTTAACTGCAGATAGGATGATTCCATTATTAACACAGTCTCTAAACCATATTCTAAACAAATTATCACAATCCAAGATAGGATACAAAGGATTCTTAATTTTACTGCTGGAAAGAATATGATTATTCTTAAGGTAATATAAATAAAGTGATAAGGATTTAAATATGGTTTCATACCACATCTGAGATCTTTAAAAATGATTTCCAAATACCACATGTTCTCACTTAAGTAAGTGGGAGCTAAACCTTGAGTACACATGGACACAGACAAGGGAAGAATACACACTGGGGCTTACTTAAGGGTGGAGGGTAGGGATGGGGGAGGCTGAAAATCAAAAAACTACCTATCTGCTACTATGCTCATTGCCTAGGTGATGAAATAATCTGTACACTAAAGCCCCCAAGATTCACAATTTACCCATGTAACAAACCTGCACATGTAATCCCTGAACCTAAAAGTTGGAAAGAAAAAAAAATTGTTTCATTTCATTCTATAGAACTGTAAACTCATTTTTAAAAATAAATAAAAGCATTAGTTAACATCGTCCCTTCCAACCTTTGCTTGGCTAGCTTGGGCTCACCCTTTTAATTCCTGCTTTAAAAAAATCTACCTACAAAGACTTCCTTAACTGCTCTAAAACAAGGATAAGAGCTCCTATTACATATTGGGACAGACAGTATAATATACGTTTCCTATCACTCTAGATTAGACACTAGATACTTTATAGGTTTTTGTTGTTGTTGTTGTTTATGCTTCCCCACTAGACTGTAAGCTCCATAAGGGTTAAGGGCTGCTTGCCATTACACAATTGTGTCAGTATTTAACACCCGATCATCTAAGCACACTAAAATATTTCTGGAACAAATAAACTGCAGTTTTTAAATTTTTCCATCCAAGGGATTGTACCAATTTCTCATCTTTAAAACAGCTATTCCGTGACAATTCAATTACTATCATAATAACCAGTCAACTGATAATTTTTTTCATTTCTCAGCCTATACATGATAAAGAAGACTAAAGTTTAATAAAACTTTAATGTTACGAATTCAATCACGGAAGCGTGGCAAACTGACTACAGGACATTATGTTTTCATATCGAGAATTTTATTACTGTGTTTTCCACAACTGAGCTAAAAACTTTCTTAAAAAGCCAATTCAAGGTTAGCTTGTCATAACTACAACATAATTACGGTACTGTTTGATTGTTTATCTTCTAGCTTATCTGGATATACATAAAACTCTGAAACAGAATAACAAGTAACTATTGTGGCAAATAGAAGACACGTGATTTGAGAAACAAGCACTATTTTGTGTGACTTATCCTAAATACATTAATACACATAAATATAACTATCATTTATTGGTGATTACGCATAAAGTGGGATGGTGAGAAATGACATGATTTGTGACGCAATTTGTTAAAATAGGCAAACTTGGAATAAAGTATGCAAAAGTAGACACCTCTGTTGATTAATAAAATCAGACTTAGGCCTTTCATTTAGCCTAAGGAAAAAGAAATGCTATTTCATCTAAAACAAGCAAGACCCTTGAGCAAACAAATAGGCAAAAGTCTGTTTCTGATTCAATTCACTGCATTCCTAATAAGTAGTGTCTGTATATCAATAATGAATCCAGTGACCTAACAATGATTTCCTTTAAGTGTTTCTCATACCACTGGTCACGACCCATTAATGGATCACAAGCAGCATTTGCTAAAAATGAAACAGAATAAAATATAAAATATCAGAGGACAACACATGTATTAAGGGAAAGTATTGTTTCCAGAAACTTTTGATTCAGTTGCGTATGTGACAATGTAAAATGTATTTCTAAGTATGGGCTACAATAAAAAACATGTGAAAGCTACTCTCTTGCATATAAGCCCCTCCGCATTACTACTTCTCCCAAAAATTGGGAACTCTACACTTCAATTACTCACAAAAATGAAAAGTGACCTTAATCCAGGGTTCTGACAGTTTAAGTTTGATTTCACAAGCTCTAAAATCAAACTGCCTGAATTCAAACTCAATTTCCACTATTTCCTGACTGAATTTGGACTTATTTAAGCGATCGATATATGCTTCACTTTTGTCATCTGTAAAATGGTTAATCATATCTCCCAAGTGTGGTAAAAATAAATACTACAGTGGGTCAACACATGTTTTACTGTTAACAGAACAAACTGAAGAAGTGATATATATATATATTAGAAATATAGGAGAAACTTAACAGAAGTTATCTCTGGTGTGTTATCTCTGATGTTTCTGTGTGATGCCTTTCATTTTGTATTTTTCTGTCCTATTTGAATTGTATAACGTACAATATATGTATTTCCAATATAATGTTTCTAATGTATAAAACATTATTACCTACATTTTTAAAATATCAACAATAGGTATCCAGGCAGTGAGATTATGGTCCTTTGTTTTTATTTTACAGTTCTCTTTATTTTATAAACATATTATTAGGTGTCTTTGAGAGAAAATCATCAACTACTTGCAAAAAAAAAAAAAAAGACAAGTGTGGGGTCCAGAGCTTAAGAAATTCACACTTTTTGAGGGAGAACTTTGTGCCAGATACTTCTCACCAAATGCTCGCACAACATCATTTTATGATTTTTGCCCATGAGAAAACTGAGGCAACTGACACGAGGTAAATGGTCTGCTAGACAACAAATAATAGTGGCCACAACATCAAAGCCTATATTTCTTCCATCATCATATAATGCATCCAAATATTCTTCTCCAGTTGTTTCACATTGGCATATTTTGGTCTCCCCGTCTAGACTGCAAACTTCTTTAGAAGAAGGGAAACTTTCAAACACTTCATTTATGTCTTTCATTGGGTTATTAAGGCTACAATAGATCCTCAAACATGTGTTGGGTTGTATTAAACCTCTTTTGGTCTGGACTGTCCTCAAAGGACATACCCTTGTAAAAACAAAATAAACTAGCACACAAACGACAAAACTACTCTAAAGCTGTCCAAATCTAACTGTATTCCTGCACACCAAAAACTAAAGTGTAAATATATCCATATGCAGAGACTACCAACTACAGTGAGTTTTGTAATGAGTACTGTGCAACCACTGAAGAATTCCTTGGATTCACTTATCCCCCCCAACCACGCCCCCATCACCCAGGCACCACCAAAAGAAAGGAACCTCCAGTCTTCTGGTGAGGTGATGAAGAACCATAACCACGCCCCCACTTTGTCCCATCACAATAACCTGTTTTCTTGTCCTAACCGGACCCTGCACCCAAACCCATAACCCTTAATAAACAATTCAAAAGTCTCTGACCTGCAGCGAAGTGCAGGGGAGAAGACTTCCGGCCGGCCATGTCCTTTGCATTTACGTTTGCCGCGTCCACCAGCCTCTTTACCCGGGACACGTCCCCATTGCGACAGGCCTCCAGCAGTTCCCGTAGGGCCCCGCTCACTGCTGGGACCCCTGTCCCAGGTCCTGCTGCCCCAGGCCCCAGTGGTGCTGTGCTGCTAACTCCGGCCGCCTCGGGGCTCTCCGCCAAGCTCGATCCAGGGGAGGATGGAGAGGAAGATGAGGAAGAAGTCGGGGAAGAAGAGGACGACGGTGAATTGTTACTGCCACTGCCGGCTGGGTTGGGAGCGACCCCAGCGGCAGATGAAGTAGAAACCGCTGGGACCACGGGAGCGGCGGCGACGGTACAGATTGTGCTGGTGGTACTGCAACAGCTGGTACCGTCAACCGGGTCCGGGGATCGGGGCCTGTCGGGCGGATCCCGACTGCCATCCCCCTCCGGCAGCGCTAGGCCGTGCCGCGGGGAGGCGAAGGGGGCCAGGCCGCTGGCCGTGGGAGAGGCTGGGGTGGTCCCCGGGGCCAGGCCAGGGCTGAGTGGGGGAGGAGGTGGCGGCGGCGGCGCTGAAGCCCCTGGGGCGGGCTGGAGCTGTTGTTGATGATGGTGGTGATGATGCTGAGAGCGACGCGACGCCGCCATCTTCGGACTCCCCTAGCACTGTCACTGCGGCAACGGCCCCCACCGCCCGCCCTCACTTCCGACTGTCGGACCAATCAGCATCCAGCGCACAGGAAATGATGCTAGGCGGGGTAGCAGGGGCCAAAGAGAAGGAGGGAAGTATTGGGAGCTCAGAGAACAGCCAAGGGAACGGGGCGGGGCTTTGTCACTGAGAGGCGGGCTTTGTGACGTGGTGGCGGGCCGGCTGGAGAGATTTGAATGCTGGAACCAGCTTCTGCCTAGATGGGAAACATTTCCTGCATTTCTCACTTTCAGTCGGCTTTCTTTGCCCTGCTCCGCTCTGTTTCCCTTAGTCTCCCTTTGCTTGCTCCAGAGCCAGCTGTTGAGATGCAGATCAGAGCAAGCAGGGAATGTGTCCGTTATCATCTATTAAGCGTCCTTGTCTGAAAAATGGAACTTATAGTACCAACCTCACAGAATTATTAGCGGGATTAAAAGAGCTAACAGACAAAGCGCTCTGCCAGTAAAACACAAGTATAATTAGCCCGTTGGTAATTTTTTAAATTATAGTATTTCTTTTCCAGGTGTCCCCTTGAGCTCTTGTCCCTTCCCTATAATTTTTCTCACCCTATGTGCTTTAATTCCTCGTTTTTAAATGCTGGTTCAGATTGCTAGGATTGGCGTTCCAGCTCTGCCATTTGTTGTTTATATATGTACTTGCTATTTCATCACTCTATGCCTGTTTTTCTCTGTAAAATTGAAATAACAATAGTGCAATAAGTGTGAATTATTAAAATTATGATTTTTTTTTCCTATTCTGCTCTCTCTGAAATTTTATTTTTCACCCTAAGTGTAACTAATTATGAATATATTCCTTTCTTTTGAATTCTGGCTTAGCTTAGCCTCTCCCACACCCGAAACAGATAAAAACCTGATTGCTAGGCTGGTCACGGTGGCTCATGCCTGTAATCCTAGCACTTTGGGAGGCCGAGGCCGGCGGGCCACTTGAGCCCGGGAGTTCAAGATCAGCCTGGCCATCACGGCGAAGCTCCATCTCTACAAAAAATACACAGATTAGCTGGGCAAAGTGGCACATGCGTGTAGTCCCAGCTACTCAGGAGTCTGTTGGGAGGATCACTTGAGCCCGGGAGGCAGAGGTTGCTGTGAGCCGAGGTCACACCACTGCACTCCAGCCTGGGTGACAGAGGGCGGAGACCCTGTCACAAAAACAACAAGAAAACATAACAAAAACCTGATTGCTGTCCATTACTCACCATCAGGTGCTATTTTTCAGCAACTGCTTTTTCTGTCTTTCCCCCAACCTATGTATACTTTTGTTTTTCTACTATCAAAAGATGTATCCATGAATGAGATAATCCCATTGAGGACTCCATTTCATACCTACTGTTCAATAGTAAAGCAGGCATTGTAGAAGTATACAGAAACAGCATTATTCCAATAGAGTGGACACAGATGGAAATTCTGTAAGAGAAACAAGATTTAGATGAGTCAAGCAGAATATTAAACTAGGTGATAAATTGTTTCATGTGTTCATTGTTAAATATGATTTATGTGATGTTAATATTCCCATTTAAGTAAATAGATGAGTTTATTTGGGGTTAGTAAGTAAATACAATAAGGTCAGGAACATAATTAGTATTACGAGTGGCATTTATTTTCATCTAATCTGGGGTTACAGATTATAATTCTTAACATTATCCAGCTGTGTGATGAAATGTGCCATTGTTCGCAGTAGACACCGGACAAAAAGTGTAGCTGGATAGGAAAACTCACATCAGTGCAACTAAAATCAGTCCACAACATTCTTCTTCATGCTTCTGTTTTTTAATCTTAACTTCTTGATGTACAGCAGAGAACCATTGAGAAGTGGGAGTGATCCAACATGATATGTTAGATATCCATAACACACCATGTGTCCCCTAAATAATGGCCTCCTGGAATGGGAGGCATAAGAAATATCTCATCTGGTCTCCCAGTGGTCAGTTACTCATAGAAAGTAGTGATGTTCAGACTTATTCAAAATGCATCTGTTGTGTCTATCAGTACAAAAAATAATAATAACAATAAAATAAGGAAGTCTCTGCTGGACAGAGATTTTTAAAAACTAAATTGCCGGCCAGGCCCAGTAGCTCACACCTGTAATCCCAGCACTTTGGGAGGCCAAGGTGGGCAGATCACGAGGTCAGGAGTTCCAGACCAGCCTGGCCAACATGAGGAAACCCCATCTCTACTAAAAATACAAAAATTAGTTGGGCGTGGTGGTGCGCGCCTGTAATCCCAGCTACTGCGGAGGCTGAGGCAGGAGGATGGCTTGAACCCAGGAGGCAGAGGTTGCAGTGAGCCGAAATCGTGCCACTGCACTCCAGCCTGGGTGGCAGAGCAACATTGTCTCAGCAAAACAAACAAACAAACAAAAAACAAAAAACTAAATTGCCTGAAACTGGACTGGAAAACCATGTCTGGAAATGCATTCAATCAACTGGAAATTGCTTTCTTCCCCTCGAGCAGAAAGTAGGAAAAGTACTTAACATTAAGTATTTATGAAGTTTGGGTTTATACCGACTAATGTTGAGCTCCAAACATGAAAGGACACATGCTATTACCTAATCTTCTGTGGCTAAACACAATTCCAGGAGGAATGCACTATATCATAGTGGAAAGAGCAAAGCTTGGGGTCAAACAAACCTGGGCTTGAAAGTCACATCTCTGATGATTACTAGTTGGCTAATCTTGATAGGTATGCTTCAGCTCTCTCAGCCTAAAATGTTGACCTTAGTTTAGCACTGTCATGAGGATTAAAAGCCTAGGTGTTTTTTAAGCACTCTTTGAATGTTAGATCCGTTCTCTTACATGGCATGCATAAAGTGTTAACATGAACTCACAGCCACTATTGATAGCTTTCCCCTCGCAACTTCCTTTGTGACAAAGATAGGGGCTGGGAATAAATATCCATCGTTTTACACAGAATGGGAATCTAAAGCAAAGAAACATTAGGTTTAATTCTTTCCTTATCTGATAATTCAGGATTCTTTATAAACTCTGTCTCTAAACTATTGTTGATCACAGGTGTGTAGTATCTTATTTTCATAAGCGTTTTCACAAAAACAATATCCTGGCCGAGTACAGTGGCTCACACTTATAATCCCAGCATTTTGGGAAGCTGAGGCAGGAGAATGCTTGATCCCAAAAAATCAAGATCAAAGATCAGCCTGGGCAACAAAGTGAGACCCTGTCTACACACACACACACACACACACACACACACAAAGTATACCCAAGTACTACAAAAATGGGAGCACATAGCACTCTCTTAGGCTATACTGTTGACACAAAAGAAAAGCCACCAACTCAAAGGACACCGATCTTTTGGGCTGTGTTCTGATGTTTGCTTTCTTACCCTATGGGGTTCGCATGGACACTCTGAAAATTACACAATCATGAACTTGCACAAGTTCCATATTTCAACTGGAATTGGTGTGTCATTCCATCCATATACTTCCCATTGATCTCCCACCGTATTTGGTATTCTGGTAGTATTTCTACTAAGTCTAGTTATTCTTCGATCCCCTCTGCAATGCCTCCTCCGCAAATCCACGAGCACAAGCCAGAGCTGTGGTTTGGCTGAGGCATGTCATTTCCTCATTTTTGGTCTTACCGAAACATAATAAGTTATTTTTATGTCAGAAATGTCTATGGTGCCAAGGGCCCAGATTTCTCTATAAAAGTGTTGCGTTCTCTTAGTTGAAGTTCCATCCAGAAACCCAGGTGAATATTTTTTTACAAAACCACAGATGGGCAATGATGCCAACAGCTGCAATCGTACTAACAACATTGTATCAGAAAAAGCTTTACCAAAAAAAAAACAGGTAAAACAACTTATTACAAGACAGCAAAATTACAGTAATTTAAAGATATCCTCTGTATCAGTTTCTTAGCAACTCTCCCATTAAAGTTTTAGTAGCTTTATAAGATAGCTCTTACATACCAGGGTCTTCTGGCTGCTGCTCCAAAGACATCTGTAGCCTGCACTGAGATAACTTGGATTTTTTCTGGCTATGGTCTGTACGCTCATGGGTAGTCGGTTTAATTTGAAGTGTTAGTTCCAGGCAGAGAGTTAGTTCCGGGCAGAGAGGTGGTTAAAGGTGTGGATTCCACATACAGACTGCTTGGATATGAATCCTAGCTTTGTCACTAACTAGCTTCGTATGATTAAAGGATATTACATCATACATTTTAACAGGAATAAATAAAAATCTATTTGCTGTGCTTTAAAAAAAGAAGATAAACAAGTTTTCCCACCAAAAATGTTCCTTTCCTTGTAAGCTTTTTTTCCAAAAGTAATTAAAATCATACATGTATACCCCATTACGGATTTGCATATGACTATATCACTCAAAAGAGATAAACACCTGCCCTCCCCCAAAGTCATAACCATGTTTAGAAAAGGCTCAGAAAGTCCTGAAATGCATGGATATGGAAGGGTATAACTAGCCAACAACGCATATATAATGATGTAATGGCTTATGCAGATGGATATAGCTAACCAGAATAGAGCTGATGCAACTGCAAACCAAGAGACTGCAAGGCACCCAGAGGACTCACCCTCCCCAATCAGAACATGGGGACAACCCACCAAGCCATGATGAATGTGGATTCCCGCCACTGCTTGAGGGGTCGTGACTACCACATACTGACCGTGAGGTGACTCCAACCAATGGCAAAGATTGGGGCAAAGACATCTGCCAGCAGAGACCATCAGAAATACCGGCTGAGAATGAGTGGCAGCCCAGGCAGTGAGAGGCATTAATCAATCCCCAAACATGTGGTATGTGCCTTCCACCCACTATCTCCTTTTACTTGCTTGCTGTTGTTACTTGGCTTGTTGAAAGAAGGAAATGAATGAAAGCTGTTTAAGTGGTGTATGTGTGTAACTTCTCTTGGTATTACCTATTCCTCCATATCCTGAACCTAGGTCTTTTGATGCTGAGTTGCTCAGAAAAAAATACTGTACAATCCAGGATAAGTCATTTAACCTCTGGTATGGTTTGGCTGTGTCCCCACTCAAATCTCATCTTGAATTATAGTTCCCCAGTCCCCACATGTCATGGGAGGGACCTCGTAGAAGGTAATTTAGTCATGGGGATGGTTACCCTCATGCTGTTCTCATGATAATGAGTGCGTTCTCATGAGATCTGATGGTTTTATAAGGGGCGTTTCCCCATTTTGCTCTGCATTTCTCCTTGCTGCCACCATGTGAAGAAGGACATGTTTGCTTCCCCTTCTGCCATCATTGTAGGTTTCCTGAGGCCTCCCCAGCCCTGTGGAACGGTGAGTCAATTAAACCTCTTTCCTTTATACATTACCCAGTCTCTGGTATGTCCGTGTAGCAGTGTGAGAACAAACTAACACAACCTCTTTGTAAACTCACCTGCAAAGTAGAGACACGAAGTAGAGACATTAATAGTTGTTCTGAGAAATTAGTAAGTTAATATATGCCAAGTGCAATAAACAGTTTCTGGCATGTGATAAATGGAATGTAAGTGTCAGCTTTTATTGTTATCAAGAACAGGGATGGGATATACTTTGTATAAAGGTCACCTAAGAGACACTAGTCTTGTCTGCCCAACAACAAGCAGGTCTCCTTTTACTCAATATTGTTGTTATTTGGCTTCCCATGCATGCTGCTGCTTTTGCTTTACAGTGTCTTAAAGGAAGGTCTAATAAGCTTGGAAATGAAAAGGGACTCTTATATTAAGGGAAATGCAAATAGTCCCTTCTGGCTGTGGTCAGGATTTAGGAGAGATAGAAACTCTACAAAGGAAGGCACCTCAGCCTGAGGTAGGCAGGTTTCTCTCAAACATATTCCTCCCTGCAGTGCTGAGAAACCATCTCTGTTGTGTGGAAAACCACCACAGCTGCCAAGACCACCTCAAGAGAAACCAACACAGCCATAATTCCTGAAGTCAGTGTGGTCCAGGATGTTTGCAGAAGGAACATCCCACAGAAGATGAATTTACAACCTTGAATCACCACACATGAGAGAGGGCCAACAACATGAGAGAAAAAACAGAAAACCTAAAAAAATCAAAGACTACAGATAATACAGCAATCTACAATGTATTTTTATATCCACATTTAAGGTGGGCAGAATAATGGCACCTCAAAGATACTCAAGTCCAAATCTCTGGAAGCTGCAGATATGTTACTTTATGTGGCAAAGTGGAATGAACATCGAAGATGGAATTTAAGCTTGCTAATCAACAGACTTTAGAACAGGGAGACTTTCCTGGATTATGTGAGTGGGCCTAATGTAATCATCAGCATCCTTATAGGTACAAAAGGGAGACACAGAAGGAGGTTGAAAGTAATACCATGTGAAGACTCAACCAGTCAGTGCTGGCTTTGAAGGTGATGGAAGAATCCACAAGCCAAGGAATGTGAGCAGTCTCTGGAAGTTGCAAAAGAAAAGGAAACAGATTCTTCCCTAGAGCCCCCAGAAAATAACTCAATCCTGCTAACACCTTGATTTTAGCCCAATGGTACCAATGCCAGATTTATGACTGCAGAACTGTAAAATATATTTGTGTTAAGCTACTATGTTTGTGATAATTTGTTACAGCAGCAAAAGAAAACTAATACATGCCCTCTTTGGAAAATCAGGTGATATGAAGCCATCAGCCTATTTTTATACAGGACAATAGACTGAAGTGGCATAGTTTCTGCCACTTGGTATTACCAGAGGGCAATTATTCTCCATCGTTCCTTTTGTTCATGTACATCTTTCTGGCTTTACTCAGTTAAGAGGCTGGGTATACTAGTCCCCTATAGCTGCTATAACAAATGACCACAGACTTAGTGCCTTGAAACGGTACAATACAAATGTATTCTCCTACGGTTCTGGGGCAGAAGTTTGGAATCAGTTTCACTGGGCTAAAGTCAAGGCATCGGCAATGTTGGCATCTTATGAGGACTTTGGGGAGAATTTTCTTCTGAGAGCTTTGAGGGGAGAATCTCTTTCCTTGACTTTTTCAGCTTCTAGTGGCTGCCTGTAGTCTTTGGCTTGTGACCTTTTCCTACGTCCTAAAAGCACATCACTCATCTCTGGTTCCATCCCATCATCTTCTGTTTGACTCTCCCTACTCCTACTGCACTCTTAAAAGGACCATTGTGGTCAGGCGTGGTGGGCCCACGCCTGTAATCCCAGCACTGTGAGAGGCCAAGGTGAGAGCATCACTTGAGCCCAGGAGTTTGAGACCAGCCTGGGCAACATGGCGAAATCCTGTGTCCTGAAAAATACAAAAATTAGCCAGGCATGGTGGTGCACCCCTGCAGTTCCAGCTACTTGGGAGGCTGACATGGGAGGATCACCTGAGCCTGGGGAAGTAGATGCTGCAGTGAGCCAAGATCACGCAGCTGGACTCCAGCCTGGGCGACAGAGTGAGACCCTGTCTCCAAAAATGACGGTGACATTGGACCCACCCAGATAATCCAGGATAATGTCCCATCTCAAAATCCTTAATCACATCTACAAAGTCCCTTTTGCCATATAAGGTAGCGTTTATGGGTTTCAGGGGTGAGGATGTGGACATATTCAAGGGCCCACTATTCAGACTACTACAATGAGATGCCATGGCATGCCTTATATGAAGAGGAGAGAGATGCCTGTTCTAGGGGGCAAATTTGGGTTGGTTTAGCACATGGAAAGACAAAGCAGATGATAAAGCACCATATCCAGTCAGAGAGCTGTAATAGGGTCAATGCTGTCCCTGTGGATAATTTAATCCACTAGGACTCTGACCACCTTTTTCTTCCACAAGACATCACACTGGTCCATTACATTGATGATGACATTATGCCGATTAGATCTAGTGAGCAAGAAGTAGCAACTATGCTAGAGTCATTGGTAAAACATTTACATAATAATAGAGGGTGAGAAGTGAGTCCAACAAAAATGTGGAGACTTCTACCCCAGTGAAGTTTCTAGGGGTCCAGGGTTGTGGAGCATGTCAAGATATCTCTTGTAACATGAAGGAAAAGTTGCATATGTCCCTTTCTTCAACTCAAAAAGAGTCGAACCCTTTTAGTGAAACTCTGAGGATTTTGGGGGCAACATATTCCTCAATAGAATGTGTGACTCCAGCCTATTTACTGAGTAACCCCCAAAAGCTGCTAGTTTTGGGTCCAGAGCAAGAGAAGGCTCTGCAACAGATGCAGGCTGTCATGCAAGGTGCTCTGCCACATGGGCTGTGTGATCCAGCAGATATAATGGCGCTTGAGGTGTCAGTGGCAGAGCGGGATGCTGTTTGCACCTTTGGCAGGCCCCTCTAGGTGAATCACAGTGCAGCTGCTTGGGATTTTGGAGCAAAGCCCTGCCATCCTCTGTGGATAACTACTCTCCTTTCGAGAAATTTGCTTGCTATTAGGCTTTCAGTACTAGAGACTGAACACCTACCCATGATCACCAAGTTACCATGAGACCTGCACTGCCCATCATGAGCTGAGTATTGTCTGACCCGCCAAGCCATGAAGTTGTGCATCCACAGCAATACTCCATCATCAAATGGAAGTGACAGTTATGAGATTAGGCTCAACAGGCCCTGAGGGCACAAGTAAGTTAAATGAGGAAATGGCCCAAGTGCCCATAGCTCTCACTTTTCCTACATTATTTTCTCTCTCCCAGCCCAAATTTTTGGCATCATGGGGTGCTCCCTAAAATCAGTTGAGGAGGAGAACATTTGAGTCCGGTTTATAGATGTTTCTTCAGGATATGCAGGCACTATCTGAAAATGGACAGTTGCAGCACTGCAGCCCCTCTCTGGGACAGCCCTGAAGGCCATTAGTGAAGGGATATCCTCCCAGAGAGTTGAATTTCCGACAGTAAATCTGGTTGTTCATTTTGCTTGGAAGGAGAAATGGCCAAATGTGTAGTTACATACCAATTCATGAGCTGTGGCCAATGGTTTGTCTGAATAGTTAGAGCCTTAGAAGGAACTAGTTGAAAAATTAATGACAATGAAGGCTGGTATATTCTTTTTGTTTTGCTTTGTTTTGTTTTGTTTTGTTTTGTTTTGTTCTGAGATGGAGTCTCCCTCTGTCGCCCAGGTTGGAATGCAGTTGTGCAATCTCGGCTCACTGCCACCTCCGCCTCCCAAGTTCAAGTGATTCTCCCACCTCAGCCTCTGGAGTAGCTGGGACTACAGGCATGCTCCACCACGCCTGGCTAAATTTTGTATTTGTAATACGGGGTGGTTTCACCATGTTGGTCAGGCTGGTCTCAAACCCCTGACCTCAAACAATCTGCCTGCCTCAGCCTCCCACAGTACTGTGATTACAGGTTGGAACCACCATGCCCTGCCAGAACTCTGGCATATAGACAGTGATATGGTAAGGCTTTGTGTCCCCACCCAAATCTCATCTTGAATTATAATCCCCATGTGTCAAGGGAGAGACTAAATGGAGGTAATTGAGTCATGGGGATGGTTTCCCCCATGCTGTTCTCATTATAGTGAGTTCTCATGAGAGCTGCTGGTTTTATAAGGAGCTCTTTCCCTCTTCACTTGGCACTCCTCCTTCCTGCCACCTTGTGAAGAAGGTGCCTTGCTTCCTCTTCACCTTCTGCCATGATGGTAAATTTCCTAAAGTCGCCCAGCCATGCTGAACTGTGAGTCAATTAAACCTCTTTCCTATGTAAATTACCCAGTCTCCAGCAGTTCTTTACAGCAGTGTGAAAACAAACTAATACAATAGGCTTCTCTGGATAGGCAAAAAAAACCTGAAGACATTCGTGCACCATGTGAATGCTCACCAAAAGATGGGCTCAGCAGAGGAGGATTTTAATAACCAAGTGGACAGGATGACTCATTCTGTGAATGCCAGCCAGCCTTTTCCCCCAGCTACTCCTGTTATTACCTAATGGACTCATGCACAAAATGGCCATAGTGGCAAGGACGAAGGTTATGTATGGACTTCCACTCACCAAACCGACTTGGCTATAATCACTGCTGAGTGCCCAATCTGCTAGCATCAGACATCAAAACTAAGTCCCCAGTATGGCACCACTTTCTGGGGTGATCAGCCAGTTACCTGGAAGCAGGCTGATTATACTGAACCATTTGCATCCTGTAATAGATGGTGTTTTATTCTTATTGCACTAGACACTTATTCTAGATATGTGTTTGCCTTTTCTGTATACAGTGCTTCTGCCAAAACTGCCATCTGTAGACTTATAGACTGCCTTAGCTACTGTCATGGTACAAGCATTGTAAGAAGTCTTGCTTCTGATTAAGTAACTCATTTTCACAGCAAATTAAGTATGGAAATGGGCCAATTGCCATGGAATTCACTGATCTTACCATGTCCCCATTATCCTGAAACAGGTGTCTTGATAGAACCGTGGAATGGCTTTTTGAAGAGATTCAGATCACTGAGTCTCTAACTGAGTCAGTGGTAACACTTTGCAGAGCAGAGGCAAGATTCTCCAAGAGGATGTATATGCTCTAATTCAGCATTTAGCATATGGTGTTTTTTCTCCCATAGCCAGGATTCACAGGTTCAGGAATCAAAGGGTGGAAGTGGGAGTGGCACCACTCACTATTAACCCTACTGATTCACTAACAAAATTTTTGCCTCCTGTCCCTGTGATCTTAGATTCTGCTGGTTTAAGAAGTTGTAGTTCCAAAGTAAGGAATGCTTCCACCAGGAGACACATTAATTATTCCACTGAGCTGGGAGTTAAGACTGCCACCCAGCCACTTTGAGCTCCTCATGCATCTGAATTAACAGGTAAAGAAGGGAGTTAGTATACTTTCCGGGATCATTGCTCCTAATTACCAAGGAGAATTTGGGCTACTACTACAAAATGGAGGTAAGGAAGAGAAAATCTGGAATACAGGAGACCCCTGTAGATCCCTTAGGTGATTCTTTTAGTGTTATTCTGCCCTTTGATTAAAGTCAATGAAAAAAATAAAATAAAACTACAACAGCCCAATTCAGGTCTTTCAGAAGTGAAAATCTGGTCACCATACCAAGCAAAGAACTATGATCAGCTGAGGTGTCTGCTGTGGCCAAAGGAAATAGGGAATGGGGAATGAAAAGAAGTAGTTGTAAATACCAGCTCCAACTCTTGACCAGTCGCAGAAATTAGGACTGTAAATGTTATGAGTACTTCTTCCTACTTTGTTGTAATATATGTATATACTTCTTTGCTTTCTTCCTTCTCTTATCACCTTATCAGCTAACATAAGATGTATTCATAATAATGAACCTTATGTCATAGTATTTAAGTTGCAGGATGTCAAGGAGAAGAATGAACTGAGTGATCCAGGGATGTTGCATTCTCTTCTGCAGAAAAGGTTGCACATTTTTGGTTGTACATAGTATAATTGCATCATGTTGGGCAGAAATATAACTTTCTTATTGTCTTTATCTGGAGATTAAATATGGTTTAAGGAGATGTGTATGGGTGCCACGCTGATGGGGGTGGACTGTGGTGCTTGGTTTTATGTGTCATCTTGGCTAGGCTATAGCACTCAATTATTCAATCAAACAATAATTTAGTGTTGCTGTAAAGATATTTTGTAGCTATTTTAAACATCTAGAGTCAGCTAACTTTAAGGCAATTTTTGCCAATAATGTGGGTGGACCTCATCCAATCAGTAGAAGAGGCTTAAGGGTAAAACTGAGGTGTCCCTCAAGAAAAAGAAATGTTGACTGAAAACTGCATTATCAGCTCCTGCCCAAGAGTTTTCCACTGGTTGGCTGCAGCCTACCCATAGATTTCAGACTTGCCATTCTCCATGATCACATAAGCCAGCTCCCTGAAATAAGCATATGTTCTAAAATTGATGGTGGTGGCTACACAAGTCTGTGAATATACTCAAAATCATTGACTCGAACGCTTTAAGTCAATATGGTATATCCCGAAAAAGCTATTACAAAAAGACAAAGACATTTTTAAATGTTTGTTAATTTTTTGTGGTAAAATGTAAAGGTTATTTGTATCAGTTTAGTTCACATTAGAAGAGCACCATATAGTTTTGTAAATAAATAGTACCTATATACTAAGTTATTGTAATGCTTACACATCTAGCAAGTTCCTCAGAATGCTTGACAAAGAAGGATGAGGAAAAAATTAACTTAGAGGCTCCTTAAAAGTAGGAGTTATCTCCTTTTGTTTTTCACAGCATAAGCTCTCACAAGGAAAAAGATTATTAAATCATATTCCTTTATGGCAGAAAACCACAGAGAATTTACCCTGAAGAAATAATTTATGAGAATAAAAACCAGGTATTTTTATAGTAGAATTATTTTTAAGAGTGAAAAACTGGAAGCAATATAAAACATGGACAGAATGTGGTGGCTCACACTTGGCATCCCAGCACTTTGGAAGGCTGAGGGGGGAGGATCGCTTGAATCCAGGAGTTCAAGACCAGCCTGGGCAACACAGTGAGATCCCACTGTACAAAGCAAAATTTAAAAATTGGCTGTACATGGTGATACACACCTGTAGTTGCAGCTACTCAGGAGGCTGGGGTGGGAGGATTGCTTGAGCCCAGGAGTTTGAGGCTGCAGTGAGCTATGATCACACCACCGCACTCCTGCCTGGGTAGCAGAGTGAGACCCTGCCTGTAAATAAACAAATAAAAAGAAATCAAACATAAGCAATTAGAGATTGATTATTCAAATTAAGACATTAATTTGATAGAATCATGCAGTTCTATTAAAACAACAAATATGGAGATTATGTCAACACATGGAAAAACACTTACAAAAGCGGGCCGGGCACGGTGGCTTATGCCTGTAATCCCAGCACTTTGGGAGGCCAAGGTGGGCACATCACTTGAGGTCAGAAGTTCGAGACCAGCCTGGCCAACATGGAGAAACTCTGTCTCTATTAAAAATACAAAAACTAGCTGGGCATGGTGACACACGCCTGTAGTCCCAGCTACTTGGGAGGCTGAGGCAGGAGAACCATTTGAACCCAGGAGGTGGAGTTTGCAGTGAGCTGAGATTGTGCCATTGCACTCCAGCCTGGGTGACTGAGTGAGACTCTGTCTCAAAAAAAATAAAAATAAAAATAAAAGAACGTAAATCTAACATATTGTCCTTCCTCTTTCACCATGTGGTGACAAGGGATAGTAGAAAGAACAGGCTTTGCTGTCGTGTTTTTGTTTGCATCATGATTCTTCTAATCATGTACTGTGTAACTTTGGCAAATTATCTGAGGCTCAGTTTCCCCAACTGCCAATGTGTACAATAATTGCTAGGTTTCTGTTAAAGAATCAATAAATTAACGGATATAAAATGCAAAGCACAGAGATTGGTACATAATAAGCCTTCAATTAATGTTAGCTTCCTTTTTTATGCCTCCACTAATAATAATAAAAAAAAATACACATTACGGCCGGGCGCGGTGGCTCATGCCTGTAACAATCCCAGCACTTTGGGAGGCCGAGGGGGGCAGATCATGAGGTCAGGAGATCGAGACCATCCAGGCTAATATGGTAAAACCCCTCTCTACTAAAAATACAAAAAATTAGCCAGGCATGGGGGCGGGCGCCTGTAGTCCCAGCTACTCGGGAGGCTGAGGCAGGAGAATGGCGTGCACTTGAGAGGCGGAGCTTGCAGTGAGCCGAGATTGCGCCACTGCACTCCAGCCTGGGCAACAGAGTGAGACTCTGTCTCACAAAAAAAGAAAAAAATTACACATTACAAAATGACAACTATACTGTTAGTACAACTATCTAGAAGATTGTAGTTGACTGCCTGTGTAGTGATCCCCTGTATTCATGCCCTTGGTCTTAAAAAGAAAAAAAGGAAGAAACAACGATTGTAAAAAGGAAATTCAGCCATGCAGAAAAACCATATTAAATCTAAAGGCCCAAACCTCAATAAAACCTAATAGGGAGAACTGATATAGCAGAAGAGACAATGAACTGTGCTGCTATAGACTGGATTGTGTCTCCTAAAATTCCTGTGTTGAAGCCCTACCCCTCAATGTGATGGTATTTGGAGATGGGGCCTTTGGAAGGTAATTAGGTATAGATCAGGTCACAAAGGTGGGGCCTTCATTACGGGATTAGGGCCTGTCTTAGTCCATTTGCATTGCTATAAAGGAATACCTGGAGCTGGGGTATTTATGAAGAAAAGAGGTTTATTTGGCTCATGATTCTGCAGGCTGTACAAGAACCATGGCACCAGCATTTGTTTCTGGTCAGGGCTTCAGGCTGCTTCCATTTATGGTGGAAGGTGAAGGGGAGCTCGCATGTCAGAGACGATGTGGCCAGACTGGAAGCAAGAGAGAGGGAGAAGGTGCTGGGTTTTTTTAACAACCAGCTTTTAGGCTGGGCGTGGTGGCTCACTCCTGTAATCCTAGCATTTTGGGAGGCCAAGGCGGGCGGATCACCTGAGATCAGGAGTTCGAGACCAGTCTGGCCAACATGTTGAAACCCCGTCTCTACTAAAAATACAGAAATTAGCTGGTCATGGTGGCAAGCGCCTGTAATCCCAGCTACTTGGGAGGCTGAGGCAGGAGAATCGCTTGCACCAGGGAGGCGGAGGTTGCAGTGAGCTGAGATCATGCCACTGCACTCCAGCCTGGGTAACAACAGCGAAACTCATTCTTAAAACAAAAACAAAAACCCAGTTTTTGCGGGGGGACTAAAAGAGTGAGAACTCACTCATTACCACTAGGACAGCACAAAACCATTCACGAGAAATCTGCCCCCATGATGCACACCCCTCCTATTGGGCCCCACCTCCAATACTGAGTCTCAAATTTTAACATGAGGTTAGGAGGAGACAAATATCTACACTATAGCAGTGCCCTTATAGGATGAGACACCAGAGAGTTTTCCTCTGTCTTTGCCATGTGAGCACCCAGCAGAAAGGCATCCTTTTGGAAGCCAGGAAGATCCCCTCATCAGAACCTAGCCATACTGGCATCCTTAGACTCCGAGTCTTCAGAATTGTGAAAAAATAAATTTGTTGTTTAAGCCTCCCAGTCTGGCATTTTGTGATGGCAGCTCAAGCAGACCAATCCATGTGCTAAGGGTAAATTGACACGGGATTTCCAGTCACATTTACGTTATTTATAGAGATGAGAATAGTGCAAGAGAAAATGATGTCCCTAACGGTCAGTAAGAGGAATTCCAACTGTAAACCATAAGATTGGTAATAGAAACAAAAGGTAAAAGATATATTGAAGTCATAATCTAGAAAATTAAAGAAATTGTCTTTGGTCCAAAAGATTATTTCAGCCAAGACTTATTCCTTAATCCATGGAATATGTCTCCAACTACGTACTCAACATCTCTACTTCAGTGTCCAGAAGCGTCTTACATTTAACTTACCTATAACCAAATTATTCTTTCTTTCTCTCAAAATCTGTTTTCATCTTAGTCTCCTCCATCTTAGTAAATGGAGCCATTCCTTCATCCATTTGGTAAGTCCAGGACCCTAAGTGTCTCCCTTAATGTCTCTGTTTTATTTATTAACATCTTCCATTCCACCACATCCACAGCTAAGCCACCAGAAAGTCCTAGAAACTCAATCCTGTAAATATAGTGTGAATCTTAGCCTGTTTTACCATTTCTTCCACCACCGATCTAGTTCAAGTTACCAACCTCATGTATGTGGACTAGTGAAATAATTTTCACCCTCATCTCTGTGCTTTCACTCTGCTATCCCCTCCTCCAGCCCAGTCCATTGCAATTTTTAGTAATAATGGAACGATTAATACATTTTAAATTATGAAATACAGCATACACAGAGAAATTGCACAAAACACCAGTGTACATTTTAACAGATTATTATTAAACAGCTAAGCATCATCTAAATAAAGCAAGCATTCTCAGCACCCCAGAATCCCTGCTGGGGCTTCTTTTTATTCTTCTTCTATGATAACCACTACCCTGACTTTTATATGATAATTATTTCCTTGTTTTTCTTTATATCTTTGTCACCTGAGTGTACCTGTGTAAGCATTTTAGTTTCTTTTGTGTTTCTGGATGAACTTCAAAACCTTATTTTTTTATAGTAATTCAAAAGATAAGCTTAATTTTTAAGTCTTTTTTTTTTTAGTATATTATATAAAAGAGTGGGTGCTATGGACCGAACGTCTCTCCTCAAAATTTATATGTGGAAATCCTAGGCCTGCTGGTAGATTTGCTTAAGCCCATGAGTTCAAGACCAACCTAGGCAGCATAGCGAAACCCCTTCCCTACAAAAAATAGAAAAATTAGCTGGGGCCTGGTGCGGTGGCTCACGCCTGTAATCCCAGCACTTTGGGAGGCCGAGGCGGGCGGATCACGAGGTCAGGAGATCGAGACCATTCTGGCTAACACAGTGAAACCCCGTCTCTACTAAAAACAGAAAAAAATTAGCCGGGCATGGTGGCAGGCGCCTGTAGTCCCAGCTACTTGGGAGGCTGAGGCAGAAGAATGGCATGAACCCGGGAGGCAGAGTTTGCAGTGAGCTGAGATCGCACCACTGCACTCCAGCCTGGGTGACAGAGCGAGATTCTATCTCAAAAAAAAAAGAAAAAGTGAAAGAAAAAAGAAAAATTAGCTCAGTGCAGAGATGCGTGCCTGTCGTCCCAGCTACTCAGGAGGCGCATGTGGGAGGATAGCTTGAGCCTGGGAGGCAGGGGTTAGAGTAGGCTGAGATCACACCACTGCACTCCAGTCTGGGTGACAGAGTGAGACACTATCTAAAAAAAAAAAAGAAAAGAAAAATTCTAATCCCAATGTGATGATATTTAAAGATGAGGTCTTTGGCGGAGGGTAATTAGGTCAAAAGAATAGAGCCCTTATGTTGAAATTAATGTCCTTAGAAGAAGAAAAATGAGAGCTCTCCCTCCTTTCTTCCTTCTCCCTCTCTATCCTCCACCTCACAGCCCTTGCCAGTGTGAGTATACAACAAGAAAGCCAGGAAGCAGATTCTTACCAGACACTGAATCTGCCAGTGCCTTGATCTTGGACCTCGCAGCTTCCAGACGGTGAAAAAATAAATGTTTGTTATTGCAGCCACCCAGTCTATATTTTTGTTGTAGCAGCCCAAACTGACTTAGACAGTGGGAGAGGGAGGGAGGGTGGCAAGTGATACAAATGAGCATTAAACTTGCAGTTGAAGAGTCTGTCTTCTTAGATTTTAATAGTCTGTTTCTGGTATCTTGTTTCTATTCAGGTAAATGCTAAGAGCAACAGGATGTTAACATGTGACTTTCAGTCTTGGTTTTGACTGAGTAAGCAAGACAATAGATAACAAGTGTGCCACACAAATCAAATTACTATACCATCCATCCACAACTTGCAAAGGAAGGGACTATAAAAAATTAGCCAGGCCTGGTGGCTCACGTCTGTAGTTCCAGCTACTTGGAAGGCTGAGGTTGGAGGATCACTTGAGCCCAGGAGGCCAAGGATGCAGTGAGCTATGATAGCACCACTGCACTCATGAGAGTGGGGAATAGTGGTCCCCACTTCTCTCTTCAAATAGGCCATTCAGAGGGCCCTACGTGTGAACCCTGGAGTTTGCTGCAAACGAGTGGACTGATTTCTGACATGCACCTGAGACATTTAGGGTGAGAGGGTTTGATTGTCCACTTGAGGTAGCAGAACAGAAAAATACACACTGGGCTGCACTGGGATGGGGAGCTGGATGTGGGTAAGGTTGTGCAAATAGTTTTCATGAGGCAGAAGCTGGCCTGAGGGATGAAGAGAGTTAATCTGGAGCTATTTTGCAATCTGCTCAAAAGCATTGCCTCAGACGGTGGACCAACAGATTACTAGAGACTGTGGGAGACCATGCAAGCAGGCAGTCGAAGAAAATGACAGGGAATGGAGTTCAGTATAGTAAGTTGGGTCTCTGAAGAGCCCACAAGGCACCCCCAAAATGAAGTCGATTTCGATCATCCATCCTACATAGAGTTTTAAAACATCTATTGTTCTCAGAGGGCACCAAAAAGTCATATTTTTCTCTCCTTCACAACTCCTCCCTTCCCTGCATTAATTTTGGGGACATCAGAATCTATGACTATGGTATTAGTCTAGGTTCTCTAGAGTTAACAGATCCGGTAGGAGATAGATAGATAGATACATACATACATACACACATACATGGACAGATGGATAGATACATGGTTGGATGAATAGATGCATGGATGAATAAATGGATGGGTAGATGGATAGATACATAGATGGATGAATGGATAGATGGATAGATATGTGGATGGATAGATAGATATAGATAGATAGATACACAGATACATTCATCCATCCATACATAGATGAGTAGATGAAGAGATACAGGGATGGATGGATGGATAGATAGATAGATAGATAGATAGATAGATAGATAGATAGATAGATAGATATAGATAGATAGATACATGGATGGATGGATAGATACATAGATAGATACATAGATACACACATAGATGAATGGATAGATGGATAGATAGATAGATAGATAGATAGATAGATAGATAGATAGATAGGGATTCATTGTAGGAATTGGCTTACTTGGTTATGGAGACCAGTAAGCTCCTAGATCTACCATCTGCATGCTGGAGTACAAGGAAAGCTGGTAGTGTAATTCAGTCCAAGTCCAAAGGCCTGAGAATTGGGGAGGGGTGGGGGGATGTGGAGAGGGTTGGCAATGGTGTTCCCAGTCTGAGACTGAAAGTCTGAGAACCAGGAGTGCCAATGGCTTCGGGCAGAAGATGGATGTCCCAACACAAGCAGAGAGAGTGAATTTGCCCTTCCTCCATCTTTTTGTTCTATTCCAGCCCTCAACTGATTGCATGATGCCTGCCTGCACTGGTGAGGGTGATCTTTACTGAGTCCATGGATTTAAATGCTAATCTCTTCTGCAAAAACTCTCACAGACACATCCAGAAATAATCTTGTATCAGCTATCTGGGGCTCCCTTAGTCCAGTCAAGCTGACATATAAAATTAATCCTCACACTCACCAGGCTAGGTGAGGAAGAGGAGGAATTCAGGGCAGGAATTAATGACCATGTGTTCCTTCTTCTACTACCAGTTTCTAAAGCAGGCTCAAGCTGGTGAGGGGGCAGTTTTAACTTTCCAACAAGTTCCATTTCTCTACGATTTTATTATCATGTTCATGTATACTATAAAACAAGACTATTCTTAAAAAATTGTACTCCAAAATATAACATTGTTTATTTTATTTTTTAGAGACATGGTATCACCATGGAGAGCAGTGGCATAATCATTGCTCACTGTGCAGCCTTGAACTCTTAGGCTCAAGTGATCCTCCTGCCTCAGTCTCCCAAGTCGCTCAGGTGCACGCCACCATTTTTTTTTCTTTTTCTTTTTTTCTTTTCTTTCTTTCTTTTCTTTTCTTTTCTTTTTTTTTTTTTTTTTTGAAGATATAAGGGCTTACTGTATTTCAAGGCTGGTCTCAAACTCCTGACCTCAAGTGATCCTTCTGCCTCGTCTTCCTAAAGTGCTGGGATTACAGGTGTGAGTTACTGCACCCGACCTGTTTATCTTTTTAATAAATAAGAAAAGGTCCTCAAATATTATTTCTATTATATATTTGAATCCCTACAATTGGGGAAGGGGTATTTAATCTTATCATCCTTTTATTCCTGAGATGGTAGGAGCTGGATCTTTTACACAATGGATTTCTCTTTTGCCACAACCTCCACCACCTTGCTTATACTCTAGGCTCTTTCACTTTTTCTAGGTAAGCGTGGTACTGAATAATGTTCCAGTATATGTCACTACTCATTATTTCCAGAGGCTGACTTCTCTAATCCCATGTTTCCCACTGTACCTCCCTAAAACTCAAACTTTACATGCTATATATGCAAAGATAACTTTGAGTAGGAATAATTACAGGTACCACAAAGGAGTGGTTGGCTATTGCGGCATACAGACAGGAAAGAATTGGTTCCATCTCCACTTTCCTGCTGTGCTCTCCATCCCTCAGAGTTCCTGCATCTGGCTCAGTGCTCAGGAAGAAAACATGTACACGTGCGCCCTGGCGCGGTGGCTCACACCTGTAATCCCAGCACTTTGGGAGGCCGAGGCAGGCGGGTCACAAGGTCAGGAGATCAAGACCATCCTGGCTAACACGGTGAAACCTCGTCTCTACTAAAAATACAAAAAATTAGCTGGGTGTGGGTGGCAGGCACCTGTAGTCCCAGCTACTTGGGAGGCTGAGGCAGGAGAATGGTGTGAACCCAGGAGACAGAGTTTGCATTAAGCTGAGATTACACCACTGCACTCCAGCCTGGGCAACAGAGCGAGCCTCCCCCTCAAAAAAAAAAAAAAAAAAAAAAAAAACAAGGAAAAGAAAAGAAAATAAGTACATGTGCAACCTAATTTCGTGTGAGACCAGCGTGGCTCTGTCTTCTGGTATACCGGAACTTATCAGACTGGCCTAAACTGCGGCATTATGAAAAATGGGTTCTCTTTCTTTTTTTGAGATGGAGTCGCGCTCTGTCACCCAGGCTGGAGTGTGGTGATGTGATCTCAGCTCACTGCAAGCTCTGCCTCCCGGGTTCACACCATTCTCCTGCCTCAGCCTCCCCATTAGGTGGGACTACAGGCGTCCACCACCATGCCTGGCTATTTTGTATTTTTAGTAGAGACGGAGTCTCACTGTGTTAGCCAGGATGGTCTTGATCTCCTGACCTCGTGATCCGCCCACCTCAGCCTTCCAAAGTGCTGGGACTACAGGTGTGAGCCACCGCGCCCGGCCAAAATGGGTTCTCTTTCTAGCGGCAGAATTTGATCCCTTTCTTCAAAGTGTTTTGCCAAAATATATGCTAAGTTAAAGTACATGTGATCACAATTGTAGAGAGTTGCTACAATGGAACTTTTTTCCTCTGGCAAGAGATGCTATCCTTTCAAAAATTCAGAGTTCAATAAGGGACCATAAAGATAGTTTTTTTTTTTGAGACGGAGTCATGCTCTGTTGCCCAGGCTGGAGTGCAGTGGCACGATCTCAGCTCACTGCAGTCTCTGCCTTCTGGGTTCAAGCAATTATCCTGCCTCAGCTTCCCAAGTAGCTGGGATTACAGGCACCAGCCACCATGCCCGGCTAATTTTTGTATTTTTAGTAGAGGTGGGGTTTCACCATGTTGGCCAGGCTGGTCTCGAACTCCTGACCTCATGATCCACCTGCCTCAGCCTCCCAAGGTGCTGGGATTATAGGCGTGAGCCACTGTGCCCAGCCAAAGATAATTTTTTACACTCCTTGCACCTGTAGGCACTATTCTATCTCTACCTCTGTATGTAAGACCTCAAGATGACTTAGCCTCCTCATTTGGGTGCTGGGGCTTGTAATCAGTCTTTGGTAGAGGTCATGTAACGCTGAACCCAACACAAGCAGAGCTTGATGTCCATCTGAAAAGTAGAAGAGGAGCTACCTGTCAGTTGGTGGCTGACTTCTTTACTGATTTGTGCCCAGGCCACACAGGTTATTACATATTTTGAATATAACCCCTTGCTATGGGTCCTATGTCGAGGTGTGCAAATACACACCAAGTCTACTATACTGAAGGCTTCATGGAATCACATCTTCAGCAACAGTAGTTCTGTTATTTTGTCCAACACTGAAAACATCAGAGACATCTTATAAAAACTAATCAGCCAGTAAGATGCAGTGTGTATTCATGAAGTACTGTCATTGATTACCCAGACCTCATTCTAAATGGTGAATGGTATTCATGGCATTGTAAGTACTGGTGGAGCTGCTGTCTGCTTGCCCAAGCCCGTGTGCTACTGGAAGCAGGCAGAATGCAGCACAGCTCATTGCATTCTGTAAGCAGAGTGCTCAAAATCATACCATAAACTCCCTTGAGAGAGCTCCAAACCAACCCAAGGACACTGAAGATGAAGGTCTAATGAATACTCCTGATTAGTATCTGTATATAGGGTCATCTCAGTTCCTAACTTGAACTGAATATTTGAACATCAGCTGGCAGCTAGAGAGTGCCATTTGGATTTGTATCTCAAGTGTACTTAGTTCATGAAGGGATCTGTTCCATTATCACAGAGTGTTGTATTGGATTCCCTTTCACTTTTTTTTTTTTTTTTCAGAAAAAAACGGAAAGAAAATGGATAAAAGGTGACTAATGTGGGTAATTATCTTTACAATTCTTGCCAATGCAGTACTCTCAAATCCTTTTTATCGTCTTTCTTTTGGCCCTCTGAGAAACAAATCTTGGGAAATTTTAACTCATTGAAAATCTATAGACTTCAGCCAACACTTTCTAAAGAGCAAGAGCATCATTATGGCTTTTTTCAAGCACAAAAAGAGGTGCTTAACTTTAATTACACTAAGATTTTATAGATTTGGCTGGCTTAATATTGTAAGCCTTGATTAACACTGGAGAGCTTATAATCATCACTATTCAGGCTTCAAGAGTTAGAGGAGACCTGAAGAAAACACCTACCAAGGGGGACCATTATTAGAGGAAGGGGGAGCTCTGGAGTGACAGAGACACAGATTAAGATAGGAGCCTAGTGGTTCTTGACAGATTTTGAGAATAGTCAGGTGCTTACTGTTCATGTGAATTCAAAGCAGATATAAATAATCAGAAAGTAAGAGTTTACTAAAAGAACACCTTTCAGAGGTACACTGCAATAATATAATAAGAACGATATTGGTTGGGCACGGTGGCTTATGCCTGTAATCCCAGCACTTTGGAAGCCCAAGGTGGGCGGATCACAAGGTCAGCAGATCGAGACCATCCTGGCTAAAACGGTGAAACCTTGTCTCTACTAAAAATACAAAAAAAAAAAAAAAAATAGCCGGGCGTGGTGGCAGGAGCCTGTAGTCCCAGCTACTCAGGAGGCTGAGGCGGGAGAATGGTGTGAACCCAGGAGGTGGAGCTTGCAGTGAGCAGAGATCACACCACTGCACTCCAGCCTGGTGACAGAGCGAGACTCTATCTAAAACAAAAAGAATGATATTAATAGCATCAATTTATCAAGAACACACTACAATGCTTCTCAAAGTGCCCCGCACAAAGGTAGCTTATGATTTCCCCATAAATCTCCTTTACAGCCCACCGTCTTCAGTTTGTCCAACTTGAAAGTCTGGATTCTTCCTACTTATTTCCTATTTTACTTTCCTAAGGACATTTGGCTTCTAGATTGCCAGGGCTATTCAGATATTACTGAATCAGCTTCAAAGACTCTATTCCTACTATGATTATTTATGCTTAAGTAACATGGGTGATATGGTTTGCTGTGTCCCTACCCAAATCTCACATTGTAATAATTGTAATAATCCCCACGTCAAGGGTTGGGGCCAGGTGGAGCTAATTGAATCCTGGGGGGCGGTCTCCCCCATACTGTTCTCATGGTAGTGAATAAGTCTCATGAGATCTGTTGGTTTTACAAATAAGAATTCCCCTACACATGCTGTCTTACTTGCCACCATGTAAGACGTGACTTTGCTCCTCACTTGCCTTCCACCATGATTGTGAGGCCTCCCCAGCTATCTGGAACTCTCAGTCACCTAAACCCCTTTCCTTGATAAATTCACCAGTCTCAAATATGTCTTTATCAGCAGCGTGAAAAGAGACTAATACAAAGGGAAACAGATAAATATGTGTTAGTGCCCTGGGAACACACATCTCACCAAAGCTGGACCTGGAAGGATGCTGATACTGAACTGAAGGTTTAGGAAACTCCTGTTTCCATGTCATCATAGAGCTTCAGAACTCCTGACCTGCAGTAGTCATTTTATACATGTGATTTTTAGAAAAGAATAATTATCTTAAATGACACTTGTGCTGGACATGGTGGCTCACGCCTGTAATCCCAGCACTTTCGGAGCGCCGAGGTGGGTGGATCACGAGGTCAGGAATTTAAGACCAGCCTGACCAATATGGTGAAACCCCGTCTCTACTAAAAATACAAAAATTAGCTGGGTGTGGTGGCACGTGCCTGTAATCCCAGCTACTCAGGAGGCTGAGGCAGGAGAATCACTTCAACCTGGGAGGTGGAGGTTGCAGCGAGCCAAGATCGTGCCATTGCACCCCAGCCTGGCCAACAGAGTGAGACTCTATCTCCAAAAAAAAAAAAAAAAAAAAAAGACACTTGCTTACTAGGCTGAGTTAGAAGAGTTATTATAGGCCATGTGAATATGTAATTACCATGATTTATTTGTCAAGTACTGAACAGAGGTGAATTTCCTACATTTCTATTGAAATTGAGAAGTTAATTGGTATGACTATTAAACAAAACCCAGAGAGCATTATATACGAAATATTTCCTTATAATTGTAATACTGATTTCAAAACCTATTAGGCTTGAAATTTTATTCAATAGTTCCCAAACATTTTTCCCTTCAGTTAATGGATCTCTGCACTTATCTTTATCACTAAAAATATTCTAGGGTATATTTAAAAGGTTTACAAAAGTTCTTGCTGGACATACAAAATTAAGTTCGTTTTTGTGAAAATCTGCTGAAAAGTCCCTTGAAATTAATTGAAAAGTATAATTTGCCTTATGATTATTAATTAGTCTTCAGGTGACCCTTCATGTTCCCAAAGTACTATATAATCAGTAGCTCCTCTGAGCTACTCTTATGTTATTCATTATAATATGCTTTTGATACAATGTGTGATTTACTCATGTTACACCTTTCAATATGTTTCAGTGGATGAAGGGAATAAGATTAGCCCTTGTAATATCGTGTGTTGGGGTCCCCAGGACTACCCCCAGGTTTGATGAATCACTAGTGGGGCTTGCAGGACTCCATATCTAGTCATACAACTGTGATTTACTACAGCAAAGGGATACAAACCAAATCAGCAAAGAGAAAAGACACATGGGATGAAGTCCAGCGGAAACCACGTACAAGCTTCCAAGATTCCAAGATCAGTTGACGGCCCAACTAGAACAAAAGACTGACCTTCCCTAGGCTGGGCGTGGTGGCTTTTGTCTATAATCCCAGCACTTTGGGAGGCCGAGGCGGGTGGATCACGAGGTCAGGAGATCGAGACCATCTTGGCTCACACGGTGAAACCCTGCGTCTACTAAAAATACAAAAAAATTAGCCAGACTTGGTGGCGGGCACCCGTAGTCCCAGCTACTCGGGAGGCTGAGGCAGGAGAATGGCGTGAACCCGCTTGCAGTGAGCCGAGATCGTGTCTAGCCAGGGCAACAGAGCGAAACTCTGTCTCAAAAGAAAAAAAAGACTGACCTTCCTTGAGCAAGAAGGAATTTGGCCAGCAGACAGCCTATGGACTTGAACTGCAGCATTGGCTCTGCCTGGGTCTCCAACCTGGTGGCCTACCTGTAGGTTTTGAACTTGCCAGCTCTATAATCACATGAGCTATTTCCTTAAAATACACCCCTCCCACCCCGTGATTCTGCTTCTCTGGAGGACCCTGAAACATAAACCATATTATTTGTACAAACAATCTAGACACAGTAAATCACTTTAACCAGTTAAGAGTGGGAATGTAATTGCCCAATGGGTTCATTTTGCCCACTGCCCAGACAGAGCTAATTTATCAAGACAGGGGAATTGCAGTAAAGAAAGAGGTTAATTCATGCAGAGCCAGCTGAGTGAGAGACTGGAGTTTTATTATTACTCAAATCAGCCTCCTGGAATATTCAGAGGATAGGTTTTCTCAAGGATTGTTTGGCAAGCAAGGGGATGGGTGCAGCTGCTTGGTGGGATACAATCACAGCCGTGTGGAAAAGGGTGCTTTGCACACTAAGTCTGCTTCTGGATGGGGCCCACAGGACTGATTGGTGGTCACAGTAGAGTCATCCGTTGTCAGAAATGCACAAATCTGAAAGCCCATATCAAAAGGCCAATCTCAGGTTCTACAATTGTGATATTATCTGCAGGAGTAATTGGGGAAGTTGCAAATCTTGTGACCCCTGGAATAAAGGGTGACCATTGCTGTATGTCTACACCTTAGCAGAATTCAGGCTCCTCTCATCCTCCTAACCTGGTGGTCTTTCATTAGCTTTACAAAGGTGGTTTCGTTTTGGGGAGGGGCTATGATCATTTAAACGGTAAACTAAATTTCTCCCAAAGTTAGTTTGGCCCAAGTCCAGAAATGGCTAAGGGCAGTTTGGAGGTTAAAGGCAAGATAGGGTTTGGTTAGATCAGATCTCTTTCACAGTCATAGTTTTCTTACTGTTATAATTTTTCAATGGCGGTTTCAGGAACACTCCTGAAATCTAAATTCCCAGATGTCTGTCAAGGGCCACGCTTGCAAGCAAGTTTTTCCCAGGACAACAGTATAGGTCTGCTGCATTAACTCCTTGCTCTGTATATTCCTGTCAATGAAGAGCCAAACTCTGGAAAATATTTTGAGAGATTTGTTCTGAGCCAAATATGAGTGCCCACGGCCCGTGACCCAGCCCTTAGGAGATCCTGAGAACATGTGCCCAAGGTGGTCGGGGCGCAGCTTGGTTTTATATGTTTTAAAGAGGTATGAGACATCCATCAAATACAGGTAAGAAATACATTGGTTTGTGGTTTGGTCCAGAAAGGCAGGACAACTCAAAGCAGGGGTGGGGGGTGGTGGGGCTTTCAGGCTATCGGTGAATTTAAACATTTTCTGGTGGACAATTGGTTGACTTTGTCTAAAGACCTGGGATTGATAGAAAGGGGATGCTCTGTTTAAGATAAAGATTGTGGAGACCAAAGTTCTTTTGAAGTCTTACAGTGGCTGCCCTCAGAGACAATATACGACAAATGTTTCCTATTCCGATCTTAGTTATCTCTTTAGGGTTGGGAGGGTCTGGAAGAAAAAGATCTAGCTATGTTAATGGATTCTTGGCCGGGTACCGTGGCTCACGCCTGTAATCCCAGCACTTTGGGAGGCCAAGGCGGGTGGATCATGAGGTCAAGAGATCGAGACCATCCTGGCCAACATGGTGAAACCCCGTCTCTACAAAAATTCAAAAATTAGCTGGGCATGGTGGTGCATGCCCGTCGTCCCAGCTACTTGGGAGGCTGAGGCAGGAGAATTGCTTGAACCCAGGAGGTGGAGGTTGCAGTGAGCCAAGATCCCGCCACTGCATTCCAGCTTGGCGACAGAGCGAGACTCTGTCTCAAAATAAAATAAAATAAAATAATAAATAAATAAATTCTTTATGGATGCAAATTCTGTCATCCACCACCCCCCTCCCCCAACCTCCTCGCAAAGAACAGCTTTGCAGGGACATTTCAAACTATGGCAATGAAACATGTTTTGGGGTAAATTTTAATTTTCTTCCTTGTCTCGTAACATTATGCCAGAGTCAGGTTGGAAAGTAAGTCATGATATATAGGGTTAAAGAAAACCCATCTGATGAGAATTTATGATTTGTAGGGCGTGACTCCCCAGACCCCTTAGATGGGAATTTGGGCAAGATAAAAAAATCAGAGTTTAGTCCTCACTCCCATCTCATATGCTTTATATAAACCATAGAAAGAGGGAAAGAAAAGGAGGGAGGAGATTTTCTTATCTCTTTGCTGGATTCTTGTGCATGCATGCCTTGTCTATAAACCAGAGTGAATTCCTTGTGTCCAGAGGGCTGGAGGAGCATTATTTTTACATATAAAACTATTGCCCATAAACTGAGTTCTTTTCCCATTTTGTATTGGTGGCAAAGGAAGAACTTCATAGCAGAAAAGGCAATCAGGTTTTATTTACTGTCAGGGAACAAAGGAGGGAGGCTCTGGCTCTCAATGCTCCTTTTTGCTGAACTATGGAAGACATGGGTTTTTTTTTAAGGACTAGGAGCAGGGTGAGAGAGGAATGTTTGCATGTGCCAGGCAGGACTGCAGACATATAGGCTGGATTCAAACATATGTCTTCATACAACACATATACACAAAAGAGTGGAGATTTTCTTTTGGGGGAGAGAATTTTAGCACTGAAGGCAACTTGGGGAACCTTTTCCTGTTGCTCTGGTTTGCGGGGTCTTATCTCCCTCTGGTATCTGATCGGGGTCAAGAAGTTCTGGTGCCATGCCGGGGCACCTAGTTTCTTTAAGTAATTATGCCTACAAATAAAGTGACTAAAGAAAAACAGTAAGAAAAATAACTTTTCCAGTTAATTCATCAGGGCTCCCCTGCTAACAAAATCACAAACAAGCTGAAGCTATTCCTTATACTGTTTTCCTTGTTACCACTAGTACTTCCAGTCTATCGTTTGCTTTTTTGTGTTTTTGGGTTTTTTTGAGACAGGGTCTGGTTCTGTCACCCAGACTGGAGTGCAGTAGCAGCATCATAACTCACTGTAGCCTCAAATTTTTGGACTCCAGCGATCCTCCCACCTCAGCCTCCCAAGTAGCTGGGATTACAGATGTGTGCCACCACGCCTGGCTATTTGTTTTAATTGTTTGTTGAGAGAAGGTCTTGCTGCATTGCCCAAGCTGGTCTTAAACTCATGGCCTCAAGTGTTCCTCCTGCCTCAGCCTCCCAAAGTGTTGGGATCACAGGCGTGAGCCACTGTGCCCAGCCTCTAGTCCACCTTAACATCAGACTACATTACTCAAGTAAAGAAGTTAGTGTCAAAAACTATTGATCCAACATTGGAGTCCTTAGATCTGTACTGCTATGCAGTTTCTGTCCTGTGATATTTTATTAGACAGCATAACTTTGAATTTCACCAGAAATTCCATGCATGAATGTGTCCTGAGATACGAAGCATGACAAGAACTGGCACCCAAGTACTTGTCAGGATGAAGATTCTTTGACAGCAGTCCCTCCAGGGCTTGTTCCTCTTCTGCAAGTCATCAGCAAGGAAGATGCTCCTGGGATGGAAAGACGGAGTTTCCAGGAATTGCCAGTGTTTGCAGAATCTGTACTTGTTTATTCCACAGGTCTAGATAAAGGGGCAGGCTTGGATGGGCTTGGGGAAAACACATGACCTTCATTTCTTTTCTCATTATTTTGACAGTGTCTAACCTAGCCTCCCTGCATCTTCCCTTCTGCCTTTTCAGTTTATTTCACATATCACTGTAAGAATTTTTCCATAAACCTGGGTCTAGTCATATTGCCTTACTTCATCCCCACCAGCTCTCTGTGGTCTCCTGAACTCATTCTCAAGGCCTTGGCGCTGTATTGAAAGAACTTCACAGTGTGGGCTCCATTTTTCCTCCCAGCCACATTTCTAGCCACCTCCCAATCAAGGGAAAGTCCGTCATTCCTTTTTTGTCCCAAATCTAAGAATCTATCAGATTCTAAAGTTATATGGGCTTTATAAATGCATATCCGGATGTAACACACTCTTTTCAAGTAAATTTTTATTGAAATACACACACAAAAAAGCACACAAACCATAGATATATAGCTGAATTTTCGAAATGAACATACCTGGGTAAATCATACCCTGATTAAGAATGAACAATTACCGCCTGTAATCCCAGCACTTTGGAAGGCCGAGTCGGGTGGATCACAAGGTTAGGAGATCGAGACCATCCTGGCTAACACGGTGAAACCGCATCTCTACTAAAAATACAAAAAAAATTAGCCAGGCGTGGTGGCGGGCCCCTGTAGTCCCAGCTACTTGGAAGGCTGAGGCAGGAGAATGGCGTGAATCCGGGAGGCGGAGCTTGCAGTGAGCCGAGATCGCGCCACCGCACTCCAGCCTGGGCGACAGAGCAAGACTCCATCTCAAAAAAAAAAAAAAAAAAAAAGAATGAACAATTTCCAACATCCCATAAATATCTTCATACTCCTTTCCACCTATTCCTTGCTCCCCTGACTTCCACCACTAATGATGTGTTTTCCTGTTTTTGAACTTTACATAAATTAAATCAGCTGAATGCAGTGGCCCCTGCCTATAGTCCCAGCTACTCCTGGAGGCTGAGGCAGGAGGATCACTTGAGCGGAGGAGTTCAAGATCAACCTGGGCCACATAGTGAGACCCTATCTCTAAATGAATAAATGAATAGATGGATGGATGGAATCCGTCAGACAGCACATACTCTTGCATCTGGCCTCTTTTGCTAAACATAATGTTTGTGATGTTTACCTGTGTTAGTGTGTGTAACAACAGCTGGTTTATTCTTATTGCTGTATTGTATTCCTTTTTTTATCTGTTTTATTTTGTTGGGCTTTGAATTGTTTCCGTGGTTTTGCATAATGCTGCTATAAATATTCTCCTATGTGTTTTGGTAAATGAATGTATGCATTACTGTTGGATATATACTGAGGAGTAAAACTGCTGGGTCACAGCCTGTGCATCTTTTTCACTTTGGCAGATGCTGCAGAACAGTTTCTAAGGGGTTATGCCCATTACATTCCCAGCAGCAAGTAATAACTATTCCACTTCCTTCACATCCTCACCAACACTTGGCCGGCTGCGGTGGCTCATGCCTGCAATCCCAGCACTTTGGGAGGCTGATGGGGGTGGATCACCTGACATTAGGGGTTCAAGACCAGCCTGACCAACATGGCAAAATCCCATCGCTACTGAAAAATACAAAAAAATTAGCTGGGCG
The DNA here is from genome assembly GCF_000001405.40 of Homo sapiens. Taxonomy (NCBI): domain Eukaryota; kingdom Metazoa; phylum Chordata; class Mammalia; order Primates; family Hominidae; genus Homo; species Homo sapiens. The sequence goes on along the minus strand of NC_000008.11, from coordinate 9,525,491 downwards.
TGGTGGAGCACTCCTGTAATCCCAGCTACTTCGAAGGCTGAGGCAGGAGAATCACTTGAACCCGGAGGGCAGAGGTTGCAGTGAGCCAAGATCGCGCCACTGCACTCCAGCCACCTGCGTGATGATGAGACTGTCTCAAAACAAAACAAAACAATCCTCACCAACACTTGGTACTGTAGGACTATTTCATATTAGCCATTTTGGTGGATGTGGAGTGACAGTTCAATATGGTTTTAATTTCTGTTCCTTGGTGACTATTGATTTAGAGCACCTTTTTAATGTATTTATTGTTCATTTTGATTTTTTTTCTTTTGTGAAGGGCTTATTCAAGTCCTTAGCCAATTTTACCCCCAGGAGTTATGTACATGTCCTATATGTAAGACATTTTATATATACACATACAGACACGCGCACGTGTATATTTCTTCCATCCTGTGTCTTGCCTTTTCTCTCTCAATGTTTTTTGATGGGCACAAGTTCTTAATTTTTTTTTTTTTTTTTTTTGAGACGGAGTCTCCCTCTGTCGCCCAGGCTGGAGTGCAGTGGTGCGATCTCGGCTCACTGCAAGCTCTGCCTCCAGGTTCACGCCATTCTCCTGCCTCAGCCTCCCGAGTAGCTGAGACCACAGGCGCCCGCCACCATGCCCGGCTAATTTTTTGTATTTTTAGTAGAGACGGGGTTTCACTGTGTTAGCCAGGATGGTCTCGATCTCCTGACCTTGTGATCCGCCTGGTTCAGCCTCCCAAAGTGCTGGGATTACAGGCGTGAGCCACCGCACCCGGCCTAATAGTAATGAAATTCAGTATGTCTAGTTTTTCTGAAGCCTTTTGTGTCCTGTTGAGAAAAGTCCTTGCCCCACGATTAGGAAAATATTCTCCCATCTTAGAAAAATTAGTTTTACCTTTTACATTTAGTCTGAAGTCATATAGAACTAACATTTTTACATGATGTGACGTAGAAATCATAATATGGTTCTCCCATATGAATATCCAATTGTCCCAATTAATTTTAAAAATCCATTATTTCCCCCATTCACTGCAGTTATACTGTTGTCATAAATCAAGTAACTCCATTTGTTGTGGGTCTATTTCTGGATTCTGTATTTTGTACCATCAATCTATTCATCCTTGTGCCAATGCCACAATATCTTAATTATTATAGTTTTATAGCAAGTCTTGATATTGAGTAGTGTAAGTCCTCCAGCTTTGTTCTTCAAGGTTAGCTTGACTATTCCATATTCTTTGCATTTAATATAAACTTTAGAATCTGTTTGTCAAATTTTCACAAAAATAAACTGTCTGAGATTTTGATTGGCATTTCATTTAAACTACACATCTATTTGTAGGAGAATTTACATTTTTATAATGTCAAATTTTTGGAATTGGTACACGTAGTTTATCTTTTTTTTTTTTTTTTTTAGACAGAGTCTTGCTCTGTCGCCCAGGCTGGAGGGCAGTGGTGCGTGGTCTCTGCTCACTGCAAGCTCCGCCTCCCAGGTTCACGCCATTCTCCTGCCTCAGCCTCCTGAGTAGCTGGGACCACAGGCGCCCACCACCATGCCCGGCTAATTTTTTGTATCTTTAGTAGAGATGGGGTTTCACCGTGTTAGCCAAGATGGTCTCGATCTCCTGATCTCGTGATCCATCCACCTCGGCCTCCCAAAGTGCTGGGATTACAGGTGTGAGCCACTGCACCCGGCCTATTCTTTTATTTAGACCTTTTTAATTTTTGTAAACATGCTTCATTGTTTTATTGGCCTTGGATAACATATTGTTTAGGATTTTAGCATCTGTGCTCCTGAGAGATATTGTACTAAAATTTGCCTTTATTGTAATATCATTTCTGGGTTTGGGTTGTAAGGCTATGCTGGCCTCATAAAACAAGCTGGGAAGCATTTCTGCTTTTATATCCTATGAAGAGTTTCTTAAGAGTGTAGTTTCAATGAATTCACTGGTGTGAAGCCATCTAGCTCTGATAGTTTCTTTCTGAGAGAATTTTAAATTACACATTCCATTTATTTAACATATATATGATTGAAAATTTTTAACTTGTTTTTCTGCCAGTTTATCAAATTGTAGTTTTCTTTCTTTCTTTTTTTTTTTTTTTTTTTTAGGTGGAGTCTTGCTCTGTTGCCTAGGCAGGAGTGCAGTGGCATGATCTTGGCTCGCTGCAACCTCTGTCTCCCGGGTTTAAGTGATTCTCCTGCCTCAGCATCCAGAGTAGCTGGGATTACAGATGCCCACTATCATGCCCGGCTAATTTTTGTATTTTTAGTAGAGACGGGGTTTCACCATGTTGATCAGGCTGGTCTTGAACTCCTGACCTCAGGTGATCCGCCCCTGCTCGGCCTCCCAAAGTGCTGAGATTACAGGCGTGAGCCACTGTGCCTGACTCTGAATTGTATTTTTCTGTGAATGTGTACATTTTGTCTAAGTTGTCAAATTTGTTGACCTAAAGTTATTCGTAACCTCTTCCTAACAGCTTTTTAATATCTATCTAATGTACAGTCATGTCTCTTTTCCAGTATTTGCAATTTCGGTCTTCTCTGTCTTTTTCTTACCTGTTGTGCTAAAATCACTCCGGAATGTCTTTTCAAATAATCTTTGACTTTGTCGATTTTCTTTATTGTATATTTTCTATTAACCTTTCCTGTTTATATTTTATTTTCTTCTGTTATTCGAATTTAATTTGTTGTGGTTTTAAAAACTGCTTGACATGGATACCAGTAAGACCTGCATTGAAAATACTCTCTTTATAGTGGTGATAGGTTGTATCATTCCATTCACCTTTTTTTTCCCATTGTTCTTTGTGTGACTAAAAGCAAGTATTTTCAAATGAGGTCCCCTTAATAAACTAGGGATATAGACTGTTAATACGAAAATCTCATTTTTTTAGGGGGCAGCCCCTATAGTGTAGAGCTGTGGCCATAATTGTAATTGAGCATGTAACAATTCAAAACATCGCCCAAGGGTCTGATTGCTGAGGACCAACTTTCACACACACGAGTTATTATATGGTAGGAAGTGACTTAGCACCAAGGACAACTTGAGCACCGTGGTATTGGCCTTGGACAATGCCACTTTTTGTGTCCTTTTGAGATTAATCTATTAGGAGTACTGTGTTAGTTTCCCAGGGCTGCTATAACAAAGTACCATAAACTAGGTGGCTTAGAAAAACAGAAATGTGGCTTGGTGTGGTGGCTCACACCTGTAATCCCAGCACTTTGGGAGGCTGAGGAGGGGGATCACTTGAGGTCAGGAGATTGTGACCAGCCTGGCCAACATGGCAAAACCCCATTTCTACTAAAAAAACAAAAATTAGCTGGGTGTGGTGGCACGCAACTGTAATCCCAGCTACTTGGGAGGCTGAGGCAGGAGAATTGCTTGAACCCACAAGGTGGAGGTTGCAGTGAGCTGAGATCGCGTCATTGCACTCCAGCCTTGGCCACAGAGTGATACTCTGTCCCCCTCCTCCAACCCCCCCCAAAAAAAAGGAAAAACAGAAATGTATTGCATCACAGTTCTGGAGGCTAGAAGTCCGAAGTTAAGGCAGCAGCAGAGCTATCCTCTCCCTGAATCCTATAAGGGAATGTTCCTTCCTTCCCTTTTCGTAGCTTCTGATAGTTGGCTGTCCATATGTGGAGACCCCTGGCTAGAACATGCATCACCTGAATCTTCTGTCTTCATACCTCCATGTTTCTTCTTTGCATGTCTGTCTCGGTGTTCAAATTTCCTCCTTTTTTTTTTTTTTTTTTTGGTTGAGACAGAGTCTTGCTTGGTCATCCAGGCTGGAGTGCAGTGGAGAGATCTTGGCGCACTACAGCCTCTGCCTCCTGAGTTCAAGTGATTCTCTCGCCTCAGCCTCCAGAATAGCTGGGATTACAGGTACATGACACCACACTCAGCTATTTTCTTTTTGTTTTTGTATTTTTAGTAGAGACAGGGCTGCACTATGTTGGCCAGGCTGGTCTCGAACTCCTGGCCTCCAGTTATTAACCTGCCTCGGCCTCCCAAAGTGCTGAAATGACAGGCGTGACCCACTGCGCCTGGCCAAATTTCCACTTTTTATAAGGACATTAGCATATTGGATTAGGGCCTACCCTAATGATCTCATTTTAACTTGATTACAACAGCAAATACCCTATTTCCAAATTAGGTCACATTCTGAGGTACTGGGGGTTAAGATTCCAACACATCTCTTTGGGGAGATACAATTCAACTTCTTCTTCTTTTTTTTTTTTTGAGGCCGAGTCTTGCTCTGTCACCCAGGCTGGAATGCAGTGGTGTGATCTTGGCTCACTGTAACCTCTGCCTCCCGGGTTCACTCCATTCCCCTGCCTCAGCCTCCTGAGTAGCTGGGACTACAGGTGCCCACCACCACACACGGCTATTTTTTTTTTGTATTTTTAGTAGAGACAGGGTTCCACCATGTTAGCCAGGGTGGTCTCGATCTCCTGACCTCGTGATTACCCGCCTCGACCTCCTAAAGTGCTGGGATTACAGGTGTGAGCCACCGCGCCCGGCCTGCAATTAAACTTATAACAAGGACAATTTCAACGCCTGTTAAGAAGGCTCCACCGGACCGGGCATGTCAATTCATGCCTGTAATCTCAGCACTTTGGGAGGCCAAGGCAGGCGGATCATTTGAAGTCAGGAGTTTGAGACCAGCCTGGCCAACATGGTGAAACCCCAACTCTACTAAAAATACAAAAATTAGCCGGCTGTGGTGGCACATGCCCGTAGTCCCAGATACTCAGGAGGCTGAGGCAGGAGAATCGCTTCAACCCGGGAGATGCAGTTTGCAGTGATCCTAGATTGCACCACTGCACTCCAGCGTGGGTGACAGAGCAAGACCCCATCTCAAAAAAAGGAAAGGAAGGGAAGGGAAGGGGAGAGGAGGGGAGGGGAGGGGAGGCACACGTTTTAGAAAATGGTCAGACGCTAATGCATGTGCTTCTAGAATACACTGAGGCTTCTCTCTGGTACCTCTTATGTTTTAGAGATTTAGTACCTACTCTGCCTCTGTAATGCTCTCGGTTGTCTGCAATGTTTCTTTCTGAATCGCACTTTAGCATTCTCACCCTCTAGGCAGCATCAGTAGATTTTTAAGACCAGAAAGCAGAGGGGCAAATGAACTACTAAGTATAGCTACATTCCTGGGTCAATTAAATCCAAATTGACATCCCTAGTGCATCTGTAATGTACTAACGATGATGGTCTACCTCACAGGGATGTTGTGAGGAATAACAAATTAATGATTGTAAAGCACTCTGAAAATAGAAAAGCCTGAATAAAACCTTGTAATTATTAACGGTCATCATTTGCAACTGACCTAGAAATTACTGTTAAGTTATACCACACATCTTGTAATCCATTATTTTCTTGTAATTTTGGACTTCCAGCTCCAAGCTCTGTAGAGAGAGATTTTATGCTGCTACACTGCAGCTCCCAAAAGCCTGCTCAAGAGAAATGTGAAAGCAACACTATCCTGTGTCTCTCACCTGTAAAATTTTCTTTTTCTTCCGTATAGTTGCGATTGGAGATAATTCTTTTATTTATTTATTTTTGACACAGGGTCTTGCTCTGTTGCCCAGGCTGGAGTGCAATGGCCGAATCATAGCTCACTGCAGCCTCGAATTCCTGAGCTCAAGCAATCCTCCCGCCTCAGCCTTCCAAGTGGCTGGGCCTTCACGCGCACACTACCTTGCCCAGCTAATTTTTTTATGTTTAATTTTTTTGTAGAGGTAGGGGTCTTGCCATGGTGCCCAGTTCCTGATATTCATTCATCCAACTGTTATTTAGTGAGCATGCCAGGCACAGGCCTGGGTTCTGGTGACACAAAGATGAAAAAGAAAAGTAGATGTAGTACCTATTCTCTTGGAGTTAATAGTCTGATCACAGTCGGGCACGGTGGCTCTTACCTGTAATACCAAGCACTTTGGGAGGCTAAGTCAGGTGGATCACCAGAGGTCGGGAGTTTGTGACCAGCCTGGCCAACATGGTGAAATCCTGTCTCTACTAAAAATACAAAAATTAGCCGGGTGTGGTGGTGGGCGCCTGTAATCCCAGCTACTCTGGAGGCTGAGGCAGGAGAACGGCTTGAACCCGGGAGGTGCAGGTTGCAGTGAGCCGAGATCATGCCACGGCACTCCAGCCCGGGCAACAGAGGGAGACTCTGTCTCAAAAAAAAAACCAAAAAGAAACTAATCAGACATAAAGATAAAATAATCAGGTGATTGTAAAAATAATGTACTAAATATGCTGAGATAGGAAATGCAGAAGAAACGAGGAAGGGACAAACAACCCCACCCTGGGATCAGGAGTGTGTGCCAGGGACTGGGTTGATTGGGAGCTGAGGTGAAACACCAGGCCTCACCCTTCAAGGGCATTCTGCTCCCGTCCATCACACTGTCCTAAAGAACTGTGCTCAGAGAAAAACTACTCCCCCATCTTATTTTGCCAGGCGATGGCTTGCCTAAGGTGTTTTTGCTTTCTCTCCTTAAAAAACTGAAAGGGGCCGGGCACAGTGGCTCATGCCTGTAATGCCAGCATGTTGGGAGGACGAGGTGGGAGGATCACTGAGGTCTGGAGTTCCAGACCAGCCTGACCAACGTGGAGAAACCCCATCTCTACTAAAAATACAAAATTAGCCAGGCGCGTTAGCCTGTAATCCCAGCTACTTGGGAAGGCTGAGGCAGGAGAATTGCTTGAACCTGGGAGGCAGAGGTTGCGGTGAGCCGAGATCACACCATTGCACTTCAGCCTGGGCAACAAGAGTGAAACTCCATCTCAAAAAACAAAAACAAAAACAAAAACCAACTGAAAGGGAGAGGTACGTCTTTTACCAGACCAAAAAGAACTTGCCATATCTGCTCGGCTATCCAGGGGTTAGGATTAATAAACTGGTAACCAGCCACTAGGAAGATGTGCAATAAGCTGTTGGGTTTCTGGTTTTGCCAGACCTTGGCATTCTCTATGAAGAGTATAGAAGCCCTCCTGCAGGTGCCACTTGATTTTATGATGAATAATGACCCTAATTAGGGGAATATCCTAGTCAGGATTTTGGATTATTCGTCCTGCTGACCTCAATGCCTCTGCATCCCAGGACCCCGGTCTCTCCATCTTCCCGTGTCTGGGTGGTTAAGGTCCCGATTACTTCTCCAGTTCCACGGAGGCAGGAGGTATTCCTTGTTTCTCCTGTGCTTCCAAGAACTGGATTTTTCATCGTGCATCTCAGCCTTTCTTTATGACGGAAGAGTCCGTCATCCAGATCTGCTGGTGAATGGGTCCCTAGTCATAAGCCCTTTTCTGACAACTTCCATTCCACAGCTGGGCGCTCGGCTGTGGCTTTTTCTGTCTCTTCCTGACACATAATTCTGGATTCTAGACATGTTTCAGATGTGTAAATCTGGCCCATTTTCTCCTTCCTTTCCTTCCTGTCTTCAACAAATATTTATGAAGCCCCTCTGATCTCAGCGCTGTGCTTGGCTGTGGCAACACAAAGGTTTAAACTAGCAGTCAGACTTCCCTACACAGCTTTCTCCAGAATCACCAAATATTGGTCGGATCCTTGGAAGGACCCATGCAGCTTCTCAGCGTCCTAGGGTGAAATGCATTTAAAATAAGGTCGAATAAGGCCAGAATTTAAAGTTATCGCTTCAAAAAGTGACTGCTTCCTGGCCACTGACCACAGCAGCTGCCCGCTGGCTCCAACCAGCTTGAGTCTGTCTGTTCTGAATTTTGACTAATTCAGCTTCCTCTCAGCTTCACTCAGCCCTTGTCTCTATGCTATGAGCACAGCCTGACTCAGTGAATGGCTATTCTTTCTGTTCAGCACATCCTGTAATTGTTTCTGGACTCCGTAATAGGCTTTGGTTGTAACCATGAATATTTTTCCAAGGTTTAGTTTGCACAAGGTCCCAGAGGGAAGTAATTTATTCTGTAATTTCTTGGATTTGACCTGTTGGGTCAAAGCTTGAAGAGCTTAATCACATATGTGGATCCCTGCACCCATACATAAATATAGTTCTTACTGCCTGGACCCCAAAGCAGCTTTACCACCTAGACCCATCCGTGTGCTCCCACCAGAGCAAGGTTTTAGCAGAGAGGAGAGGACACAGGGATCACTCCCCTAAGCGTTGCATGAAATCATGGAAAGGATGTGTTCTGAGCTATTGAGCTATCACTGTGAAACCTGGCTCCACTGGTTACCAGGTGAACTTCAAATTCTACTCTGTTAATTGAGTGAGATATAATCCATTTCAGTAGTTTGTTGTAAATATTAAAAAATATAGTAAGCAGGCCAGGTGCGGTGGCTCATGCCTGTAATCCCAGCACTTTGGGAGGCCAAGGCGGGCGGATCACCTGAGGTCAGGAGTTCGAGACCAGCCTGGCCAACGTGGTGAAACCCCGTCTCTACTAAAAATACAACAATTAGCCGGCTGTGGTGGCACATGCCTGTAGTCCCAGATACTCAGAATAATGGCACATCATAAGGCTCTGTAAATATCTGTTAATCCCAAGCAAAGAACAGAAGGCTCTGTCTCCTTACATGTGTAATTCAGAAATCAACTTCTAGTGCCCAGTTTCTTTTTTCTTTTCCTTTTTTTTTGGAGACGGAGTCTCACTCAGTAGCCAGGCTGGAGTGCAGTGGCATGATCTCGACTCACTGCAACCTCTACCTCCTGAGTTCAAGCAATTCTCCTGCCTCAGCCTCCCATGTAGCTGTGACTACAGGCACCCCGCCACCACACCAGGCTAATTTTTGTATTTTTAGTAGAGATGGCATTTCATCATGTTGGCCACGATGGTCTCGATCTCTTGACCTCGTGATCTACCCACCTCGACCTCCCAAAGTGCTGGGATTACAGACGTGAGCCACTGCGCCTGGCCTCACTGCCTAATTTCTAACAGGACTTGAAGAGAATCAGGGTTTTTACTTTTTATTTTTATTTTTTAAAAAGCGACTGCTAAGGGAAGCTTGTAAGGCCATACTTCAGTACAATTATGAGGCTAGATTCCAGAGCTGCTAACCTGGCAGTCCTGTGACCTCCCCAAGGACAGATTAATTTAAAGTAGGTGAAGAAGAACAACAATTATTATCTTTTGTAGGACCGAGGAGTGCTTGTTAGGAACAAAATGTACAATCAAATGCTAATAATGGTTCTGCAGTCTGAGCATTTCTGAATAATTTAGGTACACAAATTGCTTTTGGTTGATGTAACTCTGTTTCTTGTGATATTTGCTCCTCTGGGGAAGTGTAAAAGAAAAATGAAACTCTTTCTTAGGTCTGCTATTCAGGGAAAAATGGCATTGCTCTCATAGAATGAGAAATAAGGTAGGAAAAGGGGATGACCCTATCACAATTATTTATATCTATTTTTCCATTTGTATTAGAGATAGCGTTGCTATTAATCAAGGACATTACAATGGCTAGTTTCAAAATATAAATCTTCAGGTGATGTAGCAGAGATATGGTGAGTTCCTCATGAATTGTCACCAAAGGAAGATATAGCCCTAATTGCTCAATTGTTCTAAACAGAGCCAAGATTCTGTGCTTCTTTTATGTACCTAGAGGTTAAGTAGTATGATATTTCTTAGAAATGCAGGTAACAAAATATTGTAATCAAACAACAGTAATACTCTGAATTTGTGAAATATCTTTTTTTTTGAGACGGAATCTCACACTGTTGCCCGGGCTGGAGTGCAGTGGTGAGATCTTGGCTCACTGCAAGCTCCGCCGCCTGGATTCAAGTGATTCTCCTGCCTCAGCCTTCTGAGTAGCTGAGATTACAGGTGCCTGCCACCAGTCCCGGCTAATTTTTTGTATTTTTAGTAGAGACAGGGCTTCACTATGTTGGCGAGGCTGGTCTCAAACTTCTGACCTCGTGATCCACCCGCCTTGGCCTCCCAAAGTGCTGGGATTACAGGCATGAGCTACTGCACCCGGCCAACACCTTTCTTTTAAATAGTTTAAGAGGCTTTCATGTATTTTTTTCCCCTTAAGAAAAATGGAAGCTGGCCACGGTGGCTCACATCTGTAATCCCAACACTTTGGGAGGCCAAGGCAGGTGGATCACCTGAGGTCAGGAGTTCGAGACCAGCCTGGCCAACTTGGCAAAACCCGGTCTCTACTCAAAAACCAAAAATAAGCCAGGCATGGTGGCAGGCGCCAGTAGTCTCAGCTACTTGGGAGGCTGAGGCAGGAGAATCACTTGAACCCGGGAGGCAGATGTTGCAGTGAGCCGAGATCATGCTACTGTACTCCAGCCTGGGCAACAGAGTGAGACTCTGTTTAAAAAAAAAAGAAAGAAAGAGAAAGAAAGAAAACTGGAAACCGGGCACGGTGGCTCACTCCTGTAATCCCAGCACTTTGGGAGGCTGAGGCAGGAGGATCACTTGAGCCTAAGAGCTCGAGACTAGCCTGGGCAACATAGTGAGACCTTGTCTCTACAAAAAGTTAAAAAAAAAAAGATATTTAGCCAGGCATGGTGGCATACGACTGTAGCCCCAACTACTCATGGAGCTGAGGTGGGAAGACCATCTAAGCCTGAGGAGGCTGAGGCTGCAGTGAACCGTGACTGCACTCCTGCACTCTAGCCTGGGCAACAGAGTGAGACTTTGTGTCACACACACACACACACAAAAAGTTAACTAGAAATATTTTCCCTATATGCCTCTATGTTAGGATAAAAATTGAGTGGGCTTTATTGATCCCTGAATTATGGGATTATACACTCTAAGGTATACATGTCCTGCTCCCGTTAGCAATAGCCCTGTTGAATGATTAACTATGGAACTGGAATCTGAAATAGATGGGTTTTAGTAAATTCCTGGCCATTGTGTTGCTTCAGGTGGATCTAGGCAAGTTCTTTAATCTCTGTACGCTTTCATTTATCTCTCTAGGAAATGGGGATAAACATAGAAAAGCCATTTAATTGCTTGGCTAGCACTGTTATCTGTGCCATGTAGCATCCAGTGACCCAGGAGTACCACATGAGCCTCCTCTGTGGTTGGGAGGGGAGTTGATGATGAGAGAATGCAAAAGCTGCTGGTGGATACCCTCAGTGAGAATCTGCTATCCTTCCCTTCCCTACCTGTGCATAGGACGCCCAGCCTTCTCTACCTGCCTCTGGCCTGAGATAGGAGTAGAGATCTGGCCTTCTCAGTGGCTTTGGTGGAAACAGCCACCGCAGCAGCCTCCTTGTAAATGCACATGCCCGTTGATTCCTGTGTCCTATGCAGGTGCCCACATGATTCACTGGGATGGTCGCTTTGCTTTAACATCTTTCACACACCAAAATTTGTGGCCATTTCTGAGAGGATTGCAAATTCAGAGCCACGGCCAATCACTCATGAGACTGTGATGGATCTGTTTTTCCGCCAAGTACCTCTTTTCTTCATTCTCTTGTCTCATTCTTTATTCCTTTGAAAGTAAGGCTTCAAAAAAATGCTCGTCTCCAAAGGAAATCAACGAGCAGAACCAATAAGTTCACAATTTTACACCCAAAATGTTATTCAGCTGTGTACGTTTTTGAAAGCCAGGGCTTTATATTTGTTTATGGTGGGAAAAAAAAATCAGACACACCGAATAAAATGTCCACTATTTCGGCCAGGCACGGTGGCTCATGCCTGTAACCCCGGCATTTTGGGAGGCCGAGGCGGGCAGATCACGAGGTCAGGAGATCCAGACCATCCTAGCTAACATGGTGAAACCCTCTCTCTACTAAAAATACAAAAAAATTAGCTGGGAGTGGTGTCAGGTGCCTCTAGTCCCAGCTACTCAGGAGCCTGAGGCAGGAGAATGGCGTGAACTCGGAAGGCAGAGCTTGCAGTGAGCGGAGATCACGCCACTGCACTCCAGCCTGGGCAACAGCGTGAGACTCCATCTCAAAAAACAAACAACCAAAAAAAAAAAAAACTCCCCTATTTCAACTCCTTTTACCTTTTAGAATAACAAAACAGTTAAAAGATTTTAAGATAAAACAAAATTTCCAATGCTGCCAAGAATGAATACCACCAACTCACATCTGAAATACTGTGAGTTTTCTTCTCTAGGAATACCCGTTTTTCTGTTCACACTCACTTTTTAGGCTCTGACTTTTATGGTATTGCACCACGGCATGGCAGGTCTAATCATTATCACTAAACTGTATTCCTAAACAAATTCAGCAAATTGAACGCACTCAACCAAGGTGGATTTGCAGATGAACGGCCTACTTTTATCTCTCTAAGGATCTGAAGTTAGCGTACTTGCCTTTGGGTTTCTGCCAGCCTTTTATTTGAAAAATTCAAACAGAGATCTCCTCAGTTGACAGTGTATATATTAGGGAGGCTTCTAAACACATCTAAAAAGACAAAGCTGCCAAGAGATAGTAAACAGCATTCAATAAATAGAACCTGCTTGGGTGAATGCCTTCTGGTGTTGTATGTTTTGACGCAGTACTTGGAAGTTTTCCTAGTTGGTTAATAATTGATGAGCTATCTCAACATATTGAGTCACAAACACACAATTTTAAGTGGAAAATTTTCTATTGTCCTTATTCACCTGTCATTAGCCTTGAGTCATAGTATTCTAATGGTGTCCTTCAAAAGTAATCCCAGAGCCTAGGAAGGTATTAAAAGATGGTTTTAGGTGAAGCACCGTGGCTCACACCTGCAATCCCAGCACTTTGGGAGGCTGAGGTGGATGGATCACCTGAGGTAGGGACTTCGAGACCAGCCTGGCCAATACGGTGAAACCCTGTCTATACTAAATATACAAAAAATTAGCTGGGCGTGGTGACCTGTAATCCCTGCTACCTGGGAGACGGAGGCAGGAGAATCGCTTGAACCCGGACAGCAGAAGTTGCAGTGAGCCGAGATGGCGCCACTACACTCCAGCCTGGGCATGACAGAGCTAGATTCTGTCTCTAAAAAAAGAGATCGTTTTAGTATCCTGATGGATTCCACACACTCTTCAAGGAACTCCCTAGGGTTAACAATATCAGATATTTTGAAATTACTTAAAAAAGAGTGAATGGGAATATTTCTAGAAAAACAATTACTTATAAAGTCTCTTATGGGACAAACAAGCAAGAAGATGACTTGGCTTTTATTTTCTTACCATATGTGGGGCTTTTCCTAGTGTTATTCTGGACTGTTCAGCCCAGATTTCTCCCTGTTCTGGGATGGGGCTGGCCATGGCTGGGGAAACAACAGATCCTCCTTTTGTTCCCCGTGGCAGGGCTTTAGCTTCATCAACTGACAAACTTCAGGGGAACCCATTAAACATGCAAGGGGAAAGCCTCATGCAGAGCCACGAAGAGAAAATCAGGAGAGGCAGGTTTTAATTAATCAAAAAAGTAATTAGAGTAGGGTTCAAGTTGGCTTGTGAGGTACATAACATAAAGCAATGTAGAAAACATGTAAGAAGAAGAAGAATGGTGGGTAAAGTAGAAGAGAAGTGAAGGAAAGGGTTAAGATAAAACCAGACATAAAGTTGATGTGAAAACACAGCTACAAAACCCAGGACACCCAAAGAGGGCAGAGTGATCAGTTACACTGAAGACCAGAACAAGTGGGACATGTGGCTATCACCCATCTTCTGACCAGAAAGAAATTCCTCTTCCTTTTTTTTTTTTTTTTTTTTGAGCTGGAGTCTCGCTCTGTCACCCAGGCTAGAGTGCAGTGGTGCGATCTCGGCTCACTACAACCTCCGCCTCCTGGATTCAAGTGATTCTCCTGCCTCAGCCTCCTGAGTAACTGGGACTACAGGTGTGCACCACCACGCCCAGCTAATTTTTATATTTTTAGTAGAGACGGGGTTTCACCATGTTGGCCAGGATAGTCTTGATCTTGTGACCTTGTGATCCAGCCGCCTCAGCCTCCCAAAGAGCTGGGATTACAGGCGTGAGCCACCGCGCCCGGCCCCTCTTCCATTTTTTTATCTGGAACATCTGCAACAGCATATCTACATCTAAGACAGTGACCCGATTTTCTGTGGTTATTCCAGATGATTCTTTCAGCTTAGGCAGAAGAGAGATCACATCTCTAGAGTCAAATAGGTATGAAGAAGGCTTCTTTCTGAGACTCATGACAATCTAGCTTCTTATTCTTCTCTCCTGCTTATCTCTTTAACTCCCTACGTAGGAAGGAGGACCAGGAAAAGGAAATACATACTTATTTTTTTCTCACTGTAGATTAAGTGCTGGGCTGGGTTTTCATGTGTTATTTCACTTATTACTCATAAACCTATGAGGGAGGTGCTATTTTTCCCATTTCATAGATGAGGAATGAGTCCTCAAGAGGTTGATCTATTTCCCCAGTACTGGTATGTGTCAGAGGCTGGGTTTGGACTGGCAACTGACTTAGACAGTAAATCAAATATAGCTATAATTTATGTTTAAATGAATCAACCAGCAAGATCCTTCTAAGTGCCCAGCCCTGGAGATGTTCTGTAACTCCCCCAAGCTCCCCTATGTCCTAACTCTCAGCGTGGAGAAAAAGGGTATGGAAAAATATCTGTGGATAAAAGCAGAGTAAAAAAGACTGATTTTTGTTTTTTTACATTCCAGTGATGTTTCATTTTTCTATCTTATTTTTTTTCCCCTGATCATTGTCTCTTAAGCAATATATATTGGTTAGGATATTAAAAATAAGCAGAAAGCCATTTTATTCTCCCAGCTGCTCTTTATCTAAGCAAGGCATAGCTAGCTAGAGGCAATTTCAATCCATTTTGGGAAAAAAGACTGCCCGCCTTGGCATGTTTTTATCCGTAATACCATCAGGCTTTAGATGAATCCAGGACAAAGCATCTTCATTGCATTATATGCAAGGGAAACAGAGTCAAAGTCATCTTAACTTTGTAATGAATAGCATTTTGTCAGAGTGAATATTTGGCTCGTGGGAGGTTAAAGGAGAAACAGGACTAAAATGCTTTAATAGGCAGAGGCTAGCACAGTGAAATGAATGTATTGCTTTTAGGAGAGTCCCCAGTGGACTGCACATAATGAAACTTGCTATCTGATGAGGCTGCCTGGGTGAGGAGACAGGCTGGCAGCTGGGAGCAGCAAACTGAATACAGGGCTGTCAGGAAACCTAAGGTGACCCTCACACCTGCAGCAGAGGTGGCAGGTTTCTCCCCTGCCTGGGTGAATAGATACACAGAATAAATGTGCGAAAGTTCCTGGGGGGTGAAGAAGGGTCACAGGCCTATCAGCAGTGCTGCTTGAGACCATCTATTTTCAGATATGAAAACAGACCATGCAGATATGACACAGACAGGACATGAATGCGAAAGCAGCAGCCTGGCTGTACTTGGATGAACTAGAAAATGAATCACACCAGTTTGCTTCCTGAAGGGAGTGTTTTTTAACAGAGCTAGATGCCCAGGTGAGATATCTGGATGCTAAATAACAAAGTAAATTAATTTGGCACGTCTGACCTCCACCCACAAGGCTACTTATTGGGTGGAAGAAAATTTACAGAGAGAGAGGAGGACAAACAACTCTTTGGAAGACGTGTGGAAGAGACTACTGCTTTTTTTTTTTTTTTTTGCAGAAGAATATAATTGTTTTGGGAGGGGCTTTTAGTTTTGCCAATGAATTAAAGGGTAAAACATTCCCACAGCCACCAAGATGGAGAGGAACCCAAGAGAAGCACATATAGGAGAGAAATAGAAACATCTATGTAGACAGAACACCAATGAATATCAACTGAGGGGGAGACTGTCCTCTCATCCCTAAGAGGCATATCTTGAAGCTTCCATTTCATTATTCACCCTATTTATGTATCGGTAATATTAAATCATTTCATTAGCTTATCTTATGTTCCACTGGATTGGACGCTGCCCAACAATAGAGACAATTACTGGAGGAAGTAGAAATGGTGCAACCACTTTGGAAAAGAGTTTGGCATTTTCTCCTAATATTGAACGTTGATATAACCTAATACCTAGCGATTCCACTCCTAGATATAGATCAAAGGTAAATTCTTGCCCATATACTTAGAATATAGGTAAGAGAACATCCATAATACTAAAACCTGGATACAAATGCCTGTCACTGAGGATGATAAATAAATGGTGAATTGACCTAATTGAATATTATATAGTAGACAAATGAACCACAGCAATTTTGCAACGGTATGGATAAATTTCTTCAACATACTATTAAGTGAAAAAAATACACATCAAAATAAAATATCTTTTTTTTTTTTTTTTTTTTTTTTCTGAGACAGGGTCTTACTCTTTTACCCAGATTGGAGTGCAGAGGCACAATCTCAGCTTACTGCAGCCTTGACCTGTGGGGCTCAAGTAATCCTTCCACCTAAGCCCCTGAGTAGCTGGGACTATAGGCGTGCACCACTACGCCTGTCTAATCTTCGTATTTTTTTGTAGAGAGAGGGTTTCGCCATGTTGCCTAGGCTGGTCTAGAACTCCTGAGCTAAAGCAACCCGCCCACCTCAGCCTCCCAAAGTGTTGGTATTACAGACGTGAGCCACTGCACCAGGCTAAATATACATTTTTATAAAGTTAAAAACAACGAAGAATACACAATTTTAAAGGACTACATACATATGGAAAGAACATCTATATTCCTACACACACTTATATATAAAAGCATGGGAATAATGACCAGAGATGTCAGGATGAGGGAGGAAAATCCGAAGAGACCACGTGGTTGGATGTAGGCTGCCAAGGTGGTGGCTTTTGTTTTAGCTGTGGGTTTGCAGGTGATTAATATAAATGACCAAATAATAAATAAAAAGAAGTGATCCGTGCATGGGCCGTTGATGAAAGGGTATCGGAGGATTATTACGATAAGAGAGACACAAAATATAGGACATGAATCAGTACTCTCATAGGTCAGAATCTCTTAAAGTTGATGTATATCTAAGTGTTGTATTTTCGTTGATGATGCAAGCCAGCTTAATGTATTCCCTCCAGGCCACTTAAACCAGGATGACTGCAGTTCAAAGGAGCAATTTAGAAGCATATTTAATGTTGGCCTTGATTTAAAAGAATAACCTAACCAGAATTATTAAATATATGGTGCCACTACACATTAATTCTGGTAGTTACTCTTATCCTCAGGGCTTTGCAGGAGGTCATTGCAGACACAAGAGTGGATGATAAAATGGCAGTGAGGAAGAAAAATAGGACAAAAGATATCTCCTTTCTTTCCACTGGTGGAAACTTACGCTGCATTCTCAGGTTCATGTGAGATTCTCTCTAGCGAGTTCCCTAGCTATGCCAAAGAACTTTTCTCCAGGGGTCTTTGAAGCTCAGAGCTTCAGCTAACACAAGGGAGGGGAGGAGTGTGAAGTGGCTGGATTAGCAAGGTCCTGTGGAGGCAGATGGTGGCCTCTGATGCCTTCTCTAGTGAGAAGAATCTCTTACTTTACAAATAAGCAAGGAAA
The DNA here is from genome assembly GCF_000001405.40 of Homo sapiens. NCBI lineage: Eukaryota > Metazoa > Chordata > Mammalia > Primates > Hominidae > Homo > Homo sapiens. The sequence goes on along the minus strand of NC_000008.11, from coordinate 9,508,092 downwards.
AACTGGAATCACTCAGGATCTCATGATAGAAGGAGGCTTTTTCTTTCCTTTTGAGAATGATGCCTTAAGTCAACTGACCATCCAGAGATTTCCTACCTCTGCTTACTGGGATCACAATTCCCAAATCCAGGACAGGAAAGACAAATGAGACTGTGAAATAGTTGTTAGGAGATTTAATTTGAAAGTCCATCCCTTGTGCTAAGGCTGAGGAACGAGCATGCAGGCCAAGTGAGGAGAGCAGGAGCACAGCCTGAATGTGCATTCTTCTCTGTCCTGCTAGGAACAACTTCTGAAAATAAAGTTCCACTCTTTTTCTTTCTCTCTCTGTTTTTTTCGAGACAGATTCTCATTCTGTCATCCAGGCTAGAGTGCAGTGGCACAACCATGGCTCACTACAGTCTCTGTCTCCCAGGCTCAAGTGATCCTCCTGCCTCAGCCTCCTGAGTACCTGGAACTACAGGCACACACCACCATACCTGGCTAATTTTGTTTATTTTTTTGTAGAGACAGGTTCTCACTGTGTTGCCCAGGCTGGTCTTGAACTCCTGGGCTCAATGATCCACCTGCCTTGGACTCCCAAAGTGCTGGGATTACAGACATGAGCCACCATGCCCGGCAGTTGTTCCTGTTTCTCAGAATGTCTTTTGCCCTCCTAAACCTGGGAAATATTGCCTATATTTCAAGACCACTTTTATTTTGTTTTTATTTTCTAGTTTTGTAGATGTACGAAGTACAAGTACAGTTTTGTTACACGGATGTATGGTGTAGTGGTGAAGTCTGGGCTTTTTGTGTAACCATGACGGAAATGTACACTGTACCCATTAGGTAATTTCTCATCCATCACCTCCCTCCCACATTCCCACCCTTCCATGTCTATAATGTCTATTAGTTCACTCTTTATGCCAAGACCACTTTAAAAGTCACCTCCATGGCTGGGCATGGTGGCTCACGCCTATAATCCCAGCACTTTGGGAGGCTGAGGCAGGTGGATCATGAGGTCAGGAGTTTGAGACCAGCCTGACCAACATGGTGAAACCCTATCTCTACTAAAAATACAAAAATTAGCCTGCCATAGTGGTGCATGCCTGTAATCCCAGCTACTCAGGAGGCTGAGGCAGGAGAATTGCTTGAACCTAGGAGGCGGAGATTGCAGTGAGCCAAGATCACGCCAGTGCACTCCAGCCTAGGTGACAGAGTGAGACTCTTGTCTCCAAAAAAAAGAAAAAAGAAAAAGAAAATCACCTCCAGTGTGGAGTCTTCCCAGGCTACCCCCAACTGAATTGTTTGCTCCCCTTGTGCTCTCATGGCAGTTGATTTCTTCCTCTACTTTAGCACTTAATGATCTGTCTTCAAGAGTGTTTCCCCACTAGGCTGTGAGCTCCCTGGACCATAGGCAGTGTCTCAGTCCTCAGTATATTTTAGCTGCCCAGCCCAGAGGACACACAATAGAGTATTGTTACTGAAACACTAGGGGTTCGGTCTAGGTCCTGCTGCTCACTACATACAAAGCCAATCACTGAGACAACGAGTATTGCCAATACAGAAACGTTTAATTAGGTGTTGCAGCCAACAAGAAGGGATAGCACTCTCAAATCCATCTCCCCGACTGACTAAAATTAGGGGTTCATATGGCAGGGAAGAAATGTAACTATGTGTGGAGAAACAGGAACTTGGGAGGGTTAAGGAAACAATCATGATGAATGAGGGGCCTGGTGTCTTATTTTCTGAATGCAATGATCTGGTGAGTTGCAGCTCTTTGAAACTTTTTGGGAGGCTTGGAGTCTCATGATCTGGATGTGATGATTTGGTAAGTTTCAAGACCAGAAGGTAAGACCAGAAGGGTCAATTTCTGTGTTTATCCAAAAAAACACAAAAACAAACAAACAAAAAAACTATCTGTAGAACTATTAGGTAGATTTCAGTCTCATGAAACAAATCTATCTTTTTTAATTTAACCGGTATCTTAAAACTATACTTAAATTTTCTCATATTAAAAAAACAAGTAAATTATGATTTAGAAGATACACACAACTATAAATGTTATTAAGAACCGACCATGCACCAGGTATTGTGGTCTGTTTGCAGGATACAAAGTAGAATGGAATATAGTCTCTGACTTCTGGAGTGTTACAATTTAGTGGGGAGACAAATAATTAGAGGAAAGTGAGCTGAGCTACTTTACAAGCATGAACAAGGCAGTGTGGAGGCAGAGAAGGATGTGTTTACCTCCTACTTTGTTTTAGGCAAACTAACAACAGTGAATCCTTGAGTGGGGGAGGTAGTTAAGGGGACTAATTTTGGAGCGTTTAGGTCTAGAATCATGGTGAGGAGAATACAGAAAGATACTGCCAGCTAATTAAGGGGAACCTACTCTCTTTTCTTGCACTATGGCAGTCCTGGAGATAGCCATTTCTAAAAGAAAAAAATGACCACTCCTTCAGCTCACTAGTTTGACCCAAAGTTGACAACCCCTATTTTGAGGGACCATAAGATAGAAAAAGCTTTTTTCCTGTAAAGTGAGTCTGATTCTACACAACCCAGTTGACAACAGCAAGGCTTCTACATCACTTTGTCAGGGAGAGGCCAGTAATTTTAGGGTGGCAACTGATCCATTTACACAATGAGAGAATTTCCCTCATGCACAAAGTGTTCCATAGCAATTTGCGGTCTTACAGAATGCCATTTATAGTTCCTACCATGACAGGAAAATTAGGGGGCAGACTGATGATTACTCTGACTGCAAACTGAAGGATGCATGTTGGTCAACTGGTCGACTTTCCCTTTCACACCAGCAAGGGACTGGCAGCTGGGTTTTCTATATTTGAAGAAGCAAAGCAAAAAGTCCAGTCAGTTCCCTGGTTAGATATCATCTTTCAGCTTGAAGGTGTCTTCATCAGCTGCTAACTATAGCCTAGGGTCTGAAGTCATTACCCAGAATACTACTTCATCTGCATTAAAAAATATCTTACATGCCACTTCAGGGAGATAACCTGGGCTTGGAAAGCTAGGTCTCAACGAAAACGAGGTCTTCGCCGGGTGCGGTGGCTCTCGCCTATAATCCTAGCACTTTGGGAGGCCGAGGTGGGCGGATCACGAGGTCAGGAGATCGAGACCACCCTGGCTAACATAGTGAAACCCCGTCTCTACTAAAAAATACAAAAAATACAAAAAATTAGCCGGGCATGGTGGCGGGCACCTGTAGTCCCAGCTACTCAGGAGGCTGAGGCAGGAGAATGGCGTGAACCCAGGAGGTGGAGCTTGCAGTGAGCCGAGATTGCGCCACTGCACCCCAGCCTGGGTGACAGAGCAAGACTCTGTCTCAAAAAAAAAAAAAAAAAAAAAGAAAACGAAGTCTCCAAAGAAGCCTGATGATATTGCATAGAGCTCCTCATTGTCATTTCCAAACAGTTGATTTAAATGTTTAATTTATTCTTGCTAAATACTTGGATGGCTCCCAATTTGCACTTTGCAAGGAAGACATAAACACGCTCTTCCTGTCTGGTTTGTGTGGAGAGGTATTCATAGCAGGACCTCTTTGTTGTGCTCGGCTAATTATATAGTGATGGATGTAAATTGCACTGTAGGCTTTCAGGCTCACAGGCTCACGATCCATTTCTTCAACCTAAAGGAGAAGGACTGAGAAAAATATTAAGAGACTCCAACCATATCTTTATCTATGAAAATGGAGTCTAAATGAGTGAAATAACCCTTCAGAAGAGCAGAAAAGGTTTCAGAGAAGAGGATACCAGTGGTGGCTCCTGCTCAGACCCTGCCCTGATTTTATATAATAGCAGAGGGTTATGAGAAAAATGTTCTGTGAGTCTCACTTAACATGCAAAGAAGAATGGATACTTTTGCTTGCCGGGGTAGCAATGTCCCTAGTCTCTGAATGTTTTGTTCAGAGATAACTAAACGACAGTAATAGTAATACCTTACCTTTGAAAGCCGTGTTGATGTTGTATGCCTTTCTTACATGCTACCTCCTCAAATTGTCCAGTAACAAGGTTATTGAATAGGTCATTTTATTGTTACTGAAACACCAGGGGTTTAGTCTAGGTGGTGCTGCTGGCTGCACAGAAAGCCAATCACTGAGATGACAATTATTGCCAAAGAAGAAGGCTTTAATTGGGTGCTGCCAAGGTGATGGGAGCTGTCTCAAATCCACCTTCCTGACCAACTAAAACTACGGGTTTATATAGCAGGGAAGAAATGTAACCATGATTGAGAAAACAAGAACTCAGGAGGGGAAAGGAAGCAATCATGATCAATGAGGCATCTGTCATCTCATTGTCTGGATGTGGTGATCTGGTGAGTTTCAGTTCTTTTTGATACTTTTTTTTTTTTGAGAGGCGTGAAAGTTGTTTTCTGAGGAAGGCACTCAGATAAATAGAAGTTTCAAGCTTTAAGATTAGAAGGATCAATTTTGATGTTTATAAAAAAAAAAAAAAACCACCAAAAACCTATCTATAGGACTATTGGGTCAGTTTCATTATTAACACCGACATGAAATTAAAAACCCAGGAAAGGCTAATGATTCAGCCAAGCCTCCCTACCAATTAGTTGTAAAGCAGACAGATCCCAATATCACTTTTGCCATTAGTCTCATGCTGATGTGGCCGTAGCTTAGCATTCTATTAATATGATTTGTAATTTGGTTTGCAGGTTCATTTTAAGTAGGAAGGTTTTTATTTACGACTTTCTCGCTTCCTTTCTCTCCGTTGCATCTTGGATGCTGAGAAAGTAAAAATTAGTTCAGACAAGAAAAGTAAAATACCTGCCTGGCTACTCATCACGCTGGGATAGCTGAAACAGATAAGGCCTGCTGCCATGTTAACAGCAACATACGTTCTTCCCAAGGACACTCTGCCACTGTAGTGTCATAACAACCCACTTTTTTGAAGGGGTCTTTCTTTTACTCATTCACTGAAAAACCTTGTTTTCTAAAATCATAGATTGTCTGAAATCTTGCAGTTGGAAATTATATCAGTAAGAATGAAGCATTTCATTTTTGCCTGGAAGATCTGAGTCACTTTGCAACAGAGAAGCAGCTTCGGTTACCAACCCAGATGGAGAGCTGTAGGTAAAGGTTTCTGAACGCAGGATTTCACATTCACTTAATTTCTCAGCTTCTAAAGAAATAAGACCCCGAGTCCACTTCACAGTCCTGACCTCATGTCTCAACACAGCCCTACTAGTGTTGAGGCTATTGAAACATTGCCTCCTTCCACGATGAGATACCATGTCACACCTATTAGGAAGGCTATAATGAAAACCACAGATAGCCAGGCATGGTGGCTTATGCCTATAATCCCAGCACTTTGGGAGGCAGAAGCAGGCAAATCACTTGAGGCCAGGAGTTCGAGACCAGCCTGGCCAATGTGGCAAAATGCCATCTCTACAAAAAATACAAAAATTAGCCGGGCATGTTGGTACATGCTTGTAATCCCAGCTACTTGGGAGGCTGAGACATGAGAATTGCTTGAACCCAGGAGGCAGAGGTTGCAGTGAGCCGAGATCAAGCCACTGCACTCTAGCCTGGGGGGCAGAGTGAGACTCTGTCTCAAAAGAAACAAACAAACAAAAAACACAGATAATAACAAATATTGAAAGGGATGTGGAGAAATTGCAACCCTTATACATTGCTGATAGAAATGAAAAATGGTGTAGCTATTGTGGAAAACAGTTTGCAGTTCCTCACAGAATTAAACATGGAATTACTACATAATCTAGAAATCTCACTAGGATGTATATACCTAAGAATTGAAAGCAGGAACTCAAATAGATATTTGCACACCAGTGTTCATAGCATCACTATTCCTGATAGCCAAAAAGGTGTAAACAACCCAATGTCCATCACGGATGAATGGCTAAAGAAAATGTGGCCTACATTTATACCAAAAATTTATTGAGACTTATGAGGGAAGGACATTCTGGAACACGCTATGACATGGATGAACTTTGAGGACATTATATGCTAAGTGAAACCAAGCAGTCACAGAACAGACACTGTATGATTCCACTCATGAGGTTCCTAGAGTAGTCCAATTCACAGAGACAGAAAATAGAATGGTGGATGCCAGAGGATGGGGCTGGGGATGGGGAATGCGGAGTTAATGTTTAATGTGTACACAGTTTCAGTTTTGTAAGATAAAGAGTTCTGGGGATGGATGGTGGTGATGGGAGCCCAACAATGAGAATTCACTTAATACCACTGAACTGAGACTTATAAATGGTTAAGATGGCAAGGAAAAAAAAAAACCCTCCAAATCTCTTCATTTGAATTCCACCTACACTCCACTCTTTCCCTAATCCTAAGCTAACTCTATTTTTTCCCTTTGTTGGTGAGACACCCACAGTTCCTCAGGGAGTGCTATCTCCATCATAGCAATGAGCCAATAAACCTAACTTTGTTGGACTACAGGTTTGTCCCAGGTGGTCCTAGGTTGGTTGGATTCAGAAAGTGTTCACTGTTCTCCATCTAGCACACCAGATTTTATTATCACGGAATTTGGGGAATACTGGCACATGGTGACCTTGGGGGATATTGTAGATCCATTTATGGAGCCAAGGGGAAAACTTAACTCAGTCTCCAGTTGAGGACTGGTTTTTTCTCTCCTCTCCCAGGGCCCTGAGTTTCTACAAAGCCATGGCTCCAGGCAGAGAGGGTGGCCAGTGACTGCATTTAGCATCCTCTCAAGAGCAGAGGAGCCCGCCCCAGTCCCTGGGCTCTCCATGCACCAGGCTCCCGGCCCGCCCAGGGGCAGCACTCTTCATCCTTGCCATTCTGAAGGAGCTGACTCCTCCACCACCACTGCTGGCTTCCTGCCCCTGATCCCAGCCGGCCTGCGGCTTCTATCTCTTGCAGTATTCTGGGTCCTGTTCTGTTTCTGGTCCACAGAGATATTTATGCTTTTGTTGTTGTTGTTGTTTTTACATTTCTATGCCTATATGGCTATCATTGCTATTGGTTTTGAACAGGGGATGACAGTGGGGAATAGGGAGTGCAGTGAAACATGAAGACACTGTGTTATCTGTGGGGTCCTAATTAGGGAAAAGGAGTCAGGCAGGTAGGACTGGGGAAAAACCAAAAGAGAAAGCAGATAAGCTATAAGTCTGCCTTTCTTTATGGTTCAGGATGTGTAGCCCTCCTGCACCCAACTTATCACCAGACACCTTAAAGTTAGCTGCCTGTTACCTTGCCATTATCAATCAGCCCAAGAACCATTCCATAAAATCTCCAACAAGCCTTTGTTTCCTGGCAGTCAGCTCCTGTTCGCTGATTCTGCCCATTGCAACCTTGCAACATATTTTCCAACTTTCTCTAATAAATCTGCCTTTCTTTACCAACAACTGTTTCAGTTAATTCTTTTTTTTTTTTTTTTTTTTTAGACAGAGTCTCCCTGGTCACCCAGGCTGGAGTGCACTGGCACAATCTCGGTTCACTGCAACCTCTGCCTCCTGGGTTCAACTGATTCTCCTGCCTCAGCCTCCCGAGTAGCTGGGATTACAGGTGCATGCCACCATGCCCAGCTAATTTTTTGTATTTTAAGTAGAGACGGGGTTTTACCATGCTGGCCAGGCTGGTCTCAAATTCTTGACCTCGTGATCCACCTGCCTCAGCTTCCCAAAGTGCTGGGATTACAGGCATGAGCCACCACATCTGGCCTTGGTTAATTCTTTTACTCCTGTGCCACTGGCCCAGATAGATGCTGCTCACCTGTAACATCATCTTGACCAGAGGTTCTGGATTAAAAATGTAAGTACACTAAGTTTTAAAAAGACTATCGAGCCCCTCAGCCATAGGCATTTAAAATAAAAATACCAGGCTGGGTCCGGTGGCTCATGCCTGTAATCCCAGCACTTCGGGGGGCCGAGGCAGGCAGATCACTTGAGGTCAGGAGCTGAAGACCAGACTGGCCAACATGGTGAAACCCTGTCTCTACTAAAAATACAAAAATTAGCCGGGTATGGTAGTGCATGCCTTTAATCCCAGCTACTGGGGAGGCTGAGACAGGAGAATTAGTTGAACCTGGGAGGCAGTGGTTGCAGTGAGCCGATATTGCGCCACTGCACTCCAGCCTGGTCAACAGAGCAAGATTCTGTCTCCAAAACATACATAAATAAATAAAATAAAATAAAAATACTACTAAGCTGTAAAATAAGTCACAAAACCATCTAACAGCATTTCAATTTAAATGAAGACTACTTCAATTTTTTTTTTAAAGAAATATCACCTCTCAAATTCTCCCATTTTCTTTTCTGCGTCTGCTTTGCTGGTTTCCCCACTGTGTACAGAGTGCGTCCACTCAGTAACCCAACACACAGCCACCATAAGCCAGCGACCACAGGTGGAGGAAAGCCACAGAAAACCTGCCTTTCTGGTCCTTCTGAAATGACTGACTTAGGTGTCAGCTTCATTGTCCTGCTCTGCCATAATGGTGACTGTTTCCTCTTTTAAAGCTGGGTGACTTTTAGTCAAAATCCTCTTTTGAGATTTGTTTGCTAAGGAAGATTCAGTAGGAAGAAATGGACCTTGCCTCTTGCCTCTTGGGTTTCCCAAATCTTACCAGAATCTCTACAGCTTTTTTTGTTTGTTTGTTTGTTCTTCAAGATAAGATCTCGCTCTGTCCCCCAAGGTGGAGTGCAATGGTGCGATCTTGGCTCACTGCAACCTCCACCTTCTGCTTTCAAGCAATTTTTGAGCCTCAGCTTCCAGAGTAGCTGGGATTACAGGTGCCCACCACCACGCCCGGCTGTTTGTATTTTTTAGTAGAGATGGGGTTTTGCCATGTTGGCCAGAATGGTCTCGAACTCCTACACTCATGTGATTTGCCCTCCTCAGGCTCCCAAAGTGCTGGGATTACAGGAGCAAGCCACAGGGCTCAGTCGAATCCTTTGATTTTTTAACAGTGAGCATTTCGGCTAGGTAGATGGAGAAATAATTTTCTGTGGAAATCTTTCAAGAGACCTTAAGTCACAAAGAAAATTGATTTACTTATTTGTGGCTGGGCGCGGTGGCTCATGCCTGTAATCCCAGTACTCTGGGAAGCTGAAGTTGGCGGATCACGAGGTCAGGAGATCGAGACCATCCTGGCTAACACGGTGAAGCCCCGTCCGTACTAAAAATACAAAAAAATTAGCCGGGCGTGGTGGCGGGCCCCTATAGTCCCAGCTACTCGGGAGGCTGAGGCAGGAGAATGGCGTGAACCCGGGAGGCGGAGCTTGCAGTGAGCCGAGATCCCTCCGCTGCACTCCAGCCTGGACGACAGAGCGAGACTCCTTCTCAAAAAACAAACAAAAAAAAAAGCAAAGGAAAATTGATTTACTTATTTGTAAATCTGGAGGAGGGAAAGAAAATGACAAGTGATTTTGATTCACTGGCTTAATTACTTTCACCAGTTTGTAATTCTGTGTTAACAAGCACTAATGTGATGGTCCTGTGATCCTTTTTCTCTTTTAACAAAGCACGTTCTGCGTAGCTCCCATTGTTCTTCTGTTTTTCTCTGGTGTTCATTTATGACTTTCATGATATACGTTGCTTGTGGTTAAATTTATGTCACTAAATAATACCACTGTAAATTAGGTGCCGCTATTCCCTGGTCTTGTTTAGATCTCATCAGTGGAGCTCTGTTAACTCAGAGATATTTTCAGTCGCAGATAAATTGCTCTGTTCAATTTGCATTTCAGTAATTTTCTGATTTAGACATGGGGTTGCTAATGGGCATAATAATTCAGGAAGGCGATTAAGGGGAGGGAATTTCCTGAAATGCTTGCATCTTTAGCAACACCCCAAAATAGTCTCTTTTTTTTCACTGTGCGGTATCTTCTTACATGTGCATAAGTAAAAGTTAATTATCTTTATAAAGTGGTGTTGGAAATGGTGTTGGCTATTTTCCTTTCTCTGTGCTATAGCTTGCTGTCTATTTGAACTGAAATTGGTTTGGTAAGAAGTTTTGCCCAAGGGGTTCATTTAATAGCAGCATTTCTGATTTGTCATAGTTTGCTGGAATACATGGACTATTAAAACCTCAATTCCAAAGGCAATTCTTAGAAGGAAAGCATTGGTCATTAATTTTGCAGCTTGATTTCTGCCTGTGGACTTTCAGGTCCCCCTTCTTCCGTGAAGTCTTTCCTTACAATTTCCTGTGTGTTTATATTGTTCTTCCCACCTTTTCAGAGTATGAGCTTCTTGAGAGAAGGGCTTTGTTTACTTATAGGACCTAATCGAGAACTAGACAAGCAGTAGGCACATGGCAAATTAAGTAGAATTATATACCTAAATCTTAAAACATAGTACTTGTCTAAAGAAGGAGGAGGAGGAAGGGGAGGAGGGGAGGGAAGAGAAGAAACACACACACACACACACACACACACACACACCCAGTCCTGAAGTGGTATATTGATTTGTTGCTTTGCTTTCAAAATGCCAAACAAAATGATCTGGGTGATTTATTTCCATTATTGAATTTATGTATTTGTATGTAAGGTGTGGGAAGCACTTAATCAACTGTCCTGACAGGTTGTTTTTGCCTTCTGAAAACAGAACTTTTAAACAACAACAAAAAATGGTTCCATTAACTGATATGAAATTGCTTTAACCCTATGCACTATATAAAATGTGATATATATATGTGTGTGTGTGTATGTGTGTGTTTCTGTATTCATACACACAGTATTCAAATTATAAAAGAGAAACAAGCTTGACTATTATCTTTTAAGATGCATTTCTCTCTTTTAGAAAAATAAGTCATACATGTTTATGAAAGAAAACACTTTCATGAATAAAACAGCAACAAAAAATCTCCCCAACCCACTGGAAATACTTCTCAGAAACAATCATTATTAATGGCTTCTTATATAGCATTCTGGAAGTGCTTAATGGACACACTCACATTCCATAGACTGTTTTGCTCATTACTTGAATGTTGTCTATAATGGACATTTTTTTCATATCAGCAAATGTGGTTCTCTCTCTTATAATGGCTGCAATGTATTTCCATGTAATAGGTGTATCAAATTTATTTCACAATTTCCTGTTGATTTAAATCTAATATTGACTATTATAATGAAAGTGGTGAGTGAACATCCTGTTGTAGATGTATCTTGGCACATGTATGTAGGATATGTTTGTTTTAAATGTTGGTAGATATTCTCAATAGAGAATGTGAAGCTACACTTCCACCAATAGTATCTAAAAGTGTCCGTTTTCTTGCATCCTCACCAACAGTAGGTTTCATCAAGATTTAAAATTTTTTCAGGTCAGTCATTCTACATTCCCTTAGTTGATTTACACTCCCACTCTCATACATAATCATGTCATGCATTCTCGTCCTGAACGTGATGTTCACTCACAACTTTTTTTTTTTTTTGAGACGGAGTCTCGCTCTGTCGCCCAGGCTGGAGTGCGGTGGCGCGATCTCGCCTCCCTGCAAGCTCTGCCTCCAGGGTTCACGCCATTCTCCTGCCTCAGCCTCCCGAGTAGCTGGGACTATGGTCGCCTGCCACCACGCCCGGCTATTTTTTTGTATTTTTAGTAGAGATGGGGTTTTACTGCATTATCCAGGATCGTCTCGATCTCCTGACCTGGTGATCCGCCCGCCTCGGCCTCCCAAAGTGCTGGGATTACAGGCGTGAGCCACCGTGCCCGGCCCACAACTTTCATTATAGTAGTAAATATTAGATTTAAATCCATATGAAATTGTTAAATAAATTTGATATGCCCATTAACATGGAAATACTTTGCAGCCATTAAAATGAAGGAGAGATGGGTGAAATTTGGTGTCGCTATGGTTTTGAGTTCTCTTTCTTTAATTATGAACAATGTTGAACATATTTTTTGGCTAGTATGTATTGTCATTTATATTTCTTTTGTATGTGAACTCTCCATATCGCCTTTGTCCATTTTAATCAATTGTTTTCTCTCATTGATTTGTAAGAGTTTTTGTGTATAATGAGCAAACTAGTCCTCTGTCATATTCATTTGTGTATTATTCAAAAAAATATTTATTGACCGGCTACTATGTTGCAGGTGCTGGAGACAGAGCAATGAACAAAACAGGTAAAATCGTCACTCTCATGTAACTTACATTTATTAGGAAAAGACAGAAAATAAGTAAGATAAATAATCAAAATAGGTAGTATGTAATATAGATGGGGAGATATGGTGAAAGCTTGAGAAAGGGGCCTTCTGATTGCTTCTACTCCCTCAGCAAGAGAGGAAGCAACATCATTTGCTGAAGGTGAAGGTCAGGGAGAAGATGGTGGAGGTTTCAGGAGAGAAGAGAACGCGTGATATGATTATGTATGAGAGTAGGAGAGTAAATCAACTAAGGAAATGCAGAGTGATTGTCCTGAAACACTGAGGACCCACTTGAGGTTATTAGTCACGAGTTAATGTATGTTAAGTCCCCAGGGTTGAGGGTACTTTGGTTGGTTGGTTTTGTTTTTTGCAGCCAAATTCAACTGCACAGCTACACACAGGGGGTTAACAGAAGGATTTAATTGAGCTTGGGATTTGCCAGGTGTATTCATTTGTTAGGGCTGCCATAAGAAAATAACACAGACTGGGCAGCTTAAACAACAGAAACGAATTTTCTCCTAGTTCCGAAGGCCAGAAATCCAAGATCAAGATGCCACCAGGGTTGGTTTTTCCTGAGTGCCATCTCCTTGGCTTGTACATGGCTGTTTACTCACTGTGTCGTCACACGGCTTTTCTCTGTGTGTCTCTTCCTGGTCTCATAAGCACACCAATCATATTGGATTAGGGTCCCATCCTCATTACCTCATCTAACCTTAATAATCTTCTTAAAGACCCTATCTCCAACAAAAGTCATGCTGGGAGTTAAAGCTTCACTGTATAAATGTTGGTGGTAGCTGGGGAGACTCGAGTCAGTCCATGACACCAGATGAGTTTGAAGAAGAAAGAGGGAGCAGGTAAGTGGAAGCTCAGTGCAAAGGAGTGATTGAAATTATGGAGCCTGGGATTTAAGGTAAGGAAATGAAATACCCAAGGTGAGTAAGAGACAGTAGGTTTAATGCTTCTCCTTATCTCTGTGGTAAGGGTCAAATAATTGTTCACGAGAGAGTATTAGCTGGAAACACAGGAGTGGGTGATTGGAGAACAGAGTGCTTACTGTTGACTTGTAGAGGGATGGCAGTTATTGGTAATAACAATATTTGACCATGGGAGAGTCAGTGGCTGAGACAAGGCCAGGGACAAGAACACTGGGAGGAAACAGGTCAAATAATCCAGATGCCAGGTTGTTACAAGGATCATCATTGAAACCATGAACAGTTATGAGAGGAGTAGTGTTGAAAAGAATGGAAATGGACCACGACCTCAAAAATCTTCAAGAAATGGAGGGAAGTGGCCTGGGACAGTGAGTGACTGTACTGAAGAGCGTTGTTCTTATGACGTGGCCGCTGAGCTGGGGTGCTGATGGCCCGGCCACGGTCATGAGAAGGGGGAGGACACCAACCTGATTTCCAGGACTACAGGTTAAGTGGGGGAAGGAGAGAAAATAGAGGGCCCTGGACAGGGATTTGAGGAAGCAGTGTCCTCAGAAATAGCCAGGTTGCAGTAAGAGCAGAAAGTAGATGGAAATGTCCAGAGAGGAAATCAGACGTGGTGGGGTTCTGCTGCGAACTCAGGGCACAGGAAAATTGTTTTAGAAATTAGGGACAGGTGGGCCAGGCGCGGTGGCTCATGCCTGTAATCCCAGCACTTTGGGAGGCCGAGATGGGTGGATCACGAGGTCAGGAGGTCAATACCAACCTGGCCAAGATGTTGAAACCCCGTCTCTACTAAAAATACAAAAAAAATTAGCTGGGTGTGGTGGCAGGTGCCTGTATTCCCAGCTACTCAGGAGGCTGAGGCAGAGAATTGCTTGAACCCAAGAAGCGGAGGTTGCAGTGAGATGAGATCGCACCACTACACTGCAGCCTGGGCGACAGAGTGACACTCGGTCTCAAAAAAAAAGAAATTAAGGATGGGTGAGGTGTTGGGTCAGAAATGGGATATAAGGACCGAATATGAGAGTAAGAGTTCAAGTAACAAGGGGAGTCTGGGTTTCTTGAGG